>NC_000011.10:125657273-125960303 GCF_000001405.40 Homo sapiens | reverse complement strand
TTTTGAACTCCTGACCTCAAGTGATCCACCCGCCTCCGCCTCCCAAAGTGCGAGGATTACAGGCGTGAGCCACCACGTCTGGCCTGTATTATCAGACTTCCTGAGAACACTTTGAAATCAACTGCAGTTGTGACCCATGTTTATAATAACAGACCTGGCTGACGGATTTTACAAGAGTGCCTTCCACAGAAGTGGTAATGTGACCTGTTGACTTTGTATCTGCACGTGGGCACGAGTGATGTTCAGTTTGCTAGGCACTAGTCATAGTGTTATGGACGTGGTGGAGTGTAAGGTCTTGATGAATTACGGCAGTATGCAGAAAAGGAACCAAGGCCAGAGAGACAAATAATGCCTCATGTCCCACTGCTTTAAAATTACATTAATTTATAAAATGGCCACTATGGGCTCTTTTTGACTGTTTCTCGGAGTAGGAACAAAATAAGACATTAAATGGTGGCTTGAAGAGAAAGATACACATTTTCAGAAGAAAGAAAGGGGAGGGCTGCAGGGAGCCTGTCTTGGCGGGAGCTCTCCAGTCTGTTGGATTAGCACAGGGACACGCTTATGGTGCCATGACGCCGAAACTAGTCATCCCCCATCTCCAGCATAGGCAACGGCCTGCAGGGGTGAGTGTCAGAAAAGACTTACTTTGGAAGAAAAGGGTTTTTTTTTGTTTGTTTGTTTTTTGTTTTTTTTTGTTTGTTTGTTTTGGGTTTTTTTCCTGAAATTTCCTGATACCTTTTTCAGAATGTCACCCTTGTAAATAGGCACCTAAAGCCAAGTTGGTCAGCAGAGCTCCTGACCACGGCTGCCTCTGCGTGACAAGGACATTTGCAGCTGCCTTTGGAAGGCTCTTCACATTAAAAAACAATAATTATGTAAGTGTGTTTCATAGCTTGAGTCAAGCTTTCAAGGATCACTGCTCCTTTGTGCATTGTGCATCCCTTTGGGGAAAGAAACAGAAAATTATTCTCTTTCTATAGAGTCAAGCAATTCCAGCAGAAGTGAAGAAATGTTAGTTTCCCAGAAATCGCAGTGGAATAGAATACAATACTGTGTTAACCAACTTTCTGTATAAATGCATCAGTATTCCCTTACATATGTCTATATATTTTATAATAGAACTGTTAGTGAAAATGTGCTTGTTTAAGCTGGGTCACTATGCAAGAGTTACTTCCAGTAGAATGTAGTGAATGTAATTCCCTAGTCGGATATTAGGGATGCTGTAGACCCAAGTTCTACATTCCAGATGTCCGTGCCTATAGTATACTGGATTTATTCTTCATGTTGCTTAAATGCAGTTAGCTCTGGAGGGGGATAGCTGCATCCCTTACTTCTGTGACTAGCAAAGGACAAAGTCCCAGCGCACAGAATATGAAAACATACCCTGTGTTAGCCAATCAAGTTACAGCAATGCTGTCACAAAGGGAGTTTTAGAAAACTGGGGAGTCATTGTCCGTAGACAGCCATTTTGATTTAGGAAACAGGTGTATTAGCATGAGCCTTAGGTCATGAACTGCTTTTAAAGATTGAGTTTGAATATGGGATCTGTCCACGAGGAAGAGAAAATGGCTTTACCTTTAGGACAATCTCATTGTGGACTGCTTTATTTATATTATTAGTAACGCTGTTTTAAGTGTTATTCTTTTTATTGTATTTTATTTATAAAAAATGCCTTTATATATTGAAATATATAAATATATATATATAAACACACACACACACACACACACACACATATATATATATATATATAATTGCCTTTATATTTAGGCGGTATGAGTTCTCCCTAAGCGTGAGTTGGCTCTGCCCTGCACAGGCACCCAAACAGTCCTACCTAATGTCACTTCACCAGGAAATGAGAGGACATGGTACAGTGTGGGAGACAGCACTAACACGTGCTGAATAACTACTGTGTACCAGGCACTGTGCTCGGTGCTTGTTACTGTTAACTCATTTAACCCCCACAACTCATCTACAAAGTTGGCATTAAAATCCCCAAGTCACTCAGTGAGCCATGGGACCTGAATCCGAACCTAGTTTATCTGGAGCCATAATCTGGGCTCCTCCCATTTTTCCATACTGCTTTCCAAAAGCATTGTGGTTCACTCTTTGGATGGAACCAGTCCCGTTCCGTATGCTGTGATCTATCCCTGCCGTGGAATTCCTCCGAGGCTCCAACTCCGCAGCCAGAGAAGCTGCTCTCTGGCCTCCGCGGGCAGAGCTCTGCTTATGACTTCGTCTTCCAGAGGTCCACATTTCTCCCCTTGACGCCCCCTGTCTACCACCTCCACCTGGAAATTTGATCTTTACTGTGCTCAGTGATCACGAAATTGGTCAAGCCTATTCATGTTCCTTCTCATCTAGAATTCTGTGTGATTGTTTTAGCATAAACTGCCCCGCTCCCACTGTATCATTTCACGATCTCCTTTTAATGTTTTTCTTTCAGTTTTGCACTGACAGTCTGGTGACAGGTGCTGCCAGGGTGCAAGTTACATTGCAATGTTCTAAACCTTTTGAAGTGTTCTTAGCAAAAGCCTTTCTTTCTGGGTGTTTTTGTCGAATGAGTCTATGAAGACTCAATGCATCCATCTTGGGCTGATCATGCCACAGATCTCATTCCAGCTATAGTACTGCCAAGAAGTGAAGTTTATCATTGAATTTTACCTGTGTTGCTCTCTTTTAAAGTAATGACTTTGAGATGCATGCTTTGTATCATATTGAAAAGTATGTTTTATTTTCCTTAAAGTTGTAATATTGTGTGTGAAACTGTACATATTTTAAATGATGTAGCTTTGGCAGGTTTTATTTGGTTGATATGATTTTATATTAAAAGAGAAGGCTGCTTTCATATAGCATAGCCCCTGAAGGTGGGAATACTCCCTGTTTGTACAACGCTGCTTATAGTTTGTGATTGGGGTGGGCGAATGTCTTCCTCTGAAATTCTTTGGAACCCCCCACCCCTGTCCTCCCCTGAAACTCCCCTGTGCACACCCCTCTGTTCTGACTGCAGAGATCAAGGCCCTGAAGGAGCAGGATCTTGGGCAAGTGTTTTAGGGGACGCTGAGAACATACCTGACCCTGGGGGCGATGTGGAGGCAGGCCCACCTCCTCGGGGCAACTTTGCGTTTCCTTGGAGGGAAGGGAGGTGGGTAGGAGAGGAGCTTGGGAGGATGAGGAGGAGCGGTCCCGCCTCACACATTGTCTATTTTTACCATTAACCGAGCGCCACATGTTTATGAACTTCAGGATAGAAATTTAGCCTCCTTGTGAAAACGTTTTGTTTTACTGCCCTAAGAAAATACACATCTCTAGGCTTGTCTGACCAGAAAGCCAGCAAAGTCTTTTGCATCGGGTGTGGCCCTTTTGTATTTTATTTCCCATATTTAAATAAGCCTTCCTTAAACCCTAGCCCCAGTCCTGAGAGCTTTGAGGGTAGCCGAAACCCCTTATCTAATAAAGTCTAACTCTGTGAGAACCACAGAATCTTCTTAAGCTTCTCAATTTTCTGTCTCCTTTCAGGCGCCACGTCCCTTGTGCTGGCGGGTCCCCCGTTGGCTTTCTTGCCGTTTCTTCTCATCTGTGTCTCCTGCAGAGGCGGCTCGGAGTCCCGAGTCTTCTAGTCAGTTGAACAAGCATTCATTTGTGTTTTCACCCAGATTACAGACACACACACAAACAGACACACACACTTGGAGCTAGTGAGTCATGCTGGCAGCTGACATTGTGACTCTGGAACAGCCCCGGTGCTCTGTGGGCCAGCTCCCCCAGCCTGGGGGCGGGAAGCTACATCTGCAGTACCTCTGCTCCGTATCTTGTGGGCTGCGACTCCTGGAGTCGGACCACTGCAGCGTCAGTGATGTTCGTAAGCTATGGTTGAGCAAAGGAACACACACCTACACACCTTGCTTCTTCCCACTAGCCAAACCTGGGACCCAGCCATCAGCCTGTCTCTGTGGGAGTCGCAATGGAAGTAGCCCTCTATTGGCGTGAACATCAGCTCTGATTTATTTAGGAATTGCTCCATCCACAGACTTTTTTTCTGGAAGCAGCTAGCTTGCTCATACTTCTATAGCACCACAGATCCTTCCCAGTACCATGGCTTTCACTTGCCCTCAGACACCCAGAGATCCCTGTCTCCCCATTGTGGGTCCTCTTCCTTGTCCTGCCACCTCTGTCTTCCACAAGGTGGGCCAGGGCTTCTCTTGTAACCATGTCACTTAGGGACACTGCAGCTGGGCCTTGTACCAGTTGTGAAGACTGGGTATTAAGTGAAAGTGGTAGTTGGTGTCTTAGCTACGTTGGTTTTATGACCAAAGTCTGACAGAAGGGCTCTTCCCAAATCCCACCTGCCCTCCCTAAGCCTATTTGCATCTTCCTCTTTGGGCCTTATGGTGTTGCAGTCACTGTGATGGTGACATTCACTGGAGAATCCGTGGTTTCTTGTGCAGGATCCAAACCTGGGGTGGTGGTTGGTGTTTCAAGGCCTATGAAGAGCATATGTGGGCAAAGAACAGAGGGATGCTTTGGGAGTGTCCAAGTGTTCCCAGAGCTCAAGAGAGACCAAGCATCACCCTCAGCACCCAGCACTGGTCTCCTTGTACACGAGTCGTCTTTTTCTGGATAAGGTGCTTACCTGCCGGTGCCTCAGCATCTTCTCTGGAACCCCTCTGTTGGTGCCTTTGCTCCCTGAGAGTGAAGTGGGAGAGTAAAGTTAGTGGCAACTCACTTCCCTCGCTTTCCTTTCCAACTGGAGGAAAGCCCTGGCCCCCAGGATGACTGGGGTTCCACACTCACGTGGGAACAAGCAATTGACCAAGGCCTGTAGGAAGGAAAAGAAAAGGAGCATTACTTGGCCAGCCCAGCAGAGATCCCAGGAGAATGGCCGTCTCTTTCCCAGTGGGCTCTGTACTAGGGCCTCAGGAACCCAGAAGGGGATGGCCCCAGGTGCCTGGGTTGGGGGTTAGAGCCCTGCATGGCAACATCTAGCACTGGGGAGAGGGTCTGAATTAAGGAAGAGCCTAGATTCTTCTCCCCCGGGAGTGCTGCATCTCTCCTTTGGATAGGTCAGGGCCTGGCCACCCTGTGGGGTCAAGCAGCCCGTCCCTTCCGATTCCCACTCACGGGGGAAAGTCTCTGGGTGCCGGGCAGCATACTGGAACACCAGTAGAGAGGCCACCGTTGCTACCACCATTCCCGTGCCTGCTGCACCCAACACCGCTGGGTAGGCGCTGAAGGGGGGGTCCGCTAGGAGGGGAGAGCACAGGTTCCATGGTTTAGAGCCACTGCAGAACTTGGGCCACAGTGGCTCGTAGGGAACCACTAGGGTTCTGGAGAAGCGGTGCCCTGCTCATCCAGTTCCCCCTGCAGCTGACATGGGGACCCAGAGAATCCTGGAGATCAGGTCTCTCCCAAGGAAGGCGGCGCTCTGTCTGCCTAGTGCTCTGGGGTTTGACTCTCCTGCCAAATCCCCTGTTTCTGGTGCAGAAGACAAAAGGTTGGTTATCTTGGCGGCTTGGGGCTGAAGGGGAGCATGCCGTAAAATCAGGAATTCCCAGGATGGAGAGGGGGCAGCAGGAAGCTGAGAGCCTGCTTGTAGCCCTGGAGGGGAGACTGAGGCACAGAGTCGGCTCCTGTTCTTAGTCACCAGCACCTTTTCCTTCCTCTCTATTCTGATCACATGAATTAGGGTTCCTAACCCTCAGCCTGGAGCCTCCCAAGCCCCCCAGGGAGGGACAGGAAAGAGTCGTGGAGATTATCTGAGGGGAGAGTGGAGAGAGAGGAGGACGGGCTGGGGATGGGAGAATTCAGTAGGATGCGAGCAAAGGAAGAGAGGAGGGGATGCCCTGTGAAGAGGAAGATGAACCAGGGGCCAGCGCTTTGGAGAAAAGGTGGGTCCCTCCCTGGCATTAGCTGGCACCTGGTATCTTCACCTCAGAGGGATGTCCTGCAGTGTGGTGATTCAGAGCCAGGATGCGGAAGGCATAAAGGACCCCGGGGTCCAAGCCCCCCAGCCGCCGTCCTCGGCTCTCTGGCTCGATGTCACTAGCTGCTGTCTCCCACGCCCCAGCTCCTGGGCCCAGGGCACTGGCCTTCCGCTGCACCAGGAAGCCCGTCAGGTTCCCGGGTCCTAAGATGGCCCATTGAAGCTGCACCTCTCTCCGGTGCCTCCCGTAGGTCAGGCGGCTGATGGTGACATTGGGAGGAGCTGGATATCCTGGGTGAGGGTGGGGACAAAACAAGGGACATGTATACCTACAACCACGTGACCTTGTGCCCCCAGATTTGCTCCTGTCAAGAGACAGCCTGGCAGTGTGGACAAGGCACTGGATTGGGGTCTGTGGACCTGAGAAGCCCTGCCTTGTCCCATCAGTTTTTTTCATCTATAAAATGAAAGGCGATCCTGCCTGCATGGCGTTCTGTTTGCCGTGAGTGCAGCAGATTCACGCGCATGTTGCCCATCTATCTCTTGAGTCCTGCCTATGCCCAAGGAAGCTCAAGCGTCCAAATTTTGGAGCAGGGAATCCTTGTGCCTTTCCACTTAAAGCACTCTGTGGCTGTTGGTCTCCCAGCCCCCACCTCACCACACACACGCATTCAACCCCTCACTCACTCAGGACCTCCAGCAGCACACTCTGACTGCTATTGCCCACGGCGTTGCGGGCCACGCATTGGTAGGTGCCCCTGTGGTGTGCCGGGTCAGCATCGTAGATGCCCAGGCGCAGCTGGGCACCCTCAGGGTGCAGCATGAATCCTGAAGTGCCGGGGTCCACTTTTTGTTGTTGAGGCCCCAGCCAGAGGAGCTGGGCAGGTGGTGTGCCCCCGCGGAGAGAGCACTCCAGCCAGGCCTCTCCCCCCTCCAACACTGACACGCGGGGCTCAGCCACGTCCAGCTGTGGGGCTTCTGCGGGGACAGAGAGGATGAGGCCGGCTAGTGGGAGGGCTTGGGGACAAGGTGCTGGCCAGCATTGGAAGGCATGGAGAAGAGATGGAGCGGGAGAGCTGCGGAGTTGACAATGAGGCTTGTCTGGGGCCAGTCTGCCTTCTCTTCAGGTTCCCATTCTATGCCAAGTTCCTGTCACAGTGTGCGCCAGGGCTCGCTAATATATGATGAAATCAGCAGTGTTCCTCCCTGTTCCTTCCCTGCCCCACCCTAGCCTCGGCTCCTGCAGGCAGGGCCCTGCCTTACTAGTCTCTGCATGAACGGCCCCTTCCAGCACCTGGCCTCCCTCCCACTAGTGGCCCCCCACCTCCCGGCTGGCTCCAGGCATAGTGCTGGGACCATAGCAGGTGCTCAGATTTTATGGACTGACTTATTAAAGACCCAGACTCTCAGGTGTCAATGAATCTCCTACGATGGAATTTCCGGTCCTGAGACCAAGTAATAGGGAAGGAAATATTTGGGGTTGAGACCTCCTTAGAGCCCTGAGAACATGCTAGTTACCAAGCCTTTGGAGACCAAGAGGTAAAGCATTCTGTGAGAACTGTTGTGTGTGACAGCTTCTCTGTTTGCTTTTCTCACATTATTTTTTACTTTGATATTTAATTCTTTTTTCCTGGTTGCAGTAAATAGACTGGCAGAGCCAGATGAAGATAAGGAAGAACCAGACCAAAACCAAACAGAGTAAGAGAGGTAGAGAACTGACTTCTGAAATATTAATATAATCAGGCACCTCTCTTATGCAAATCCATGTAAGTGAAGATTATGCAGTTGGCATTTCCACTTCATCTAGATCAGTGCTATCCAATATTGTAGTGACCAGCCACGTCAATATGGGAACTTGAAATGTGGCCAGTCCAGATTGAGATGTGCAGTAATTGTATATATACCAGATTTTGGAGACAAGATATAAAAAGAATGTAAAATATCTCATTAATAATTTTTATTATTACATGTTGAAATGATATACTGGATATATTGAGTTAACTGAAGTGTTTCACTTGTTTCTTCTTCTTTTTAAATGTGGCTGCTAGAATATTTTAAATCACATATATGGCTCACATTATATTTTTATTACACAACTCTGACCTAGCCTAACCCCCTCATTTTATGGATCAAAGAAAACTTGAGTCCCTGGGAGCTCAGCTCCTAACTACCTCCTAGCTTCCCCGTCCGCACTGACTCACTTTCCATGCCAGCACAGCCACCCCCTAAGATCTCTTTATCCTGATTCCAAAGGGTTCCTCCTCCTGTCCCAGCCCCAGAACAAACTCGCTAGCCCCTACTCACCCAGCTGGAGGTGGCAGTGGGGGTCAGGGGTCCTGAGCAGGTGAGTGCCCCGGCAGGTGAACTCTCTGCCAGCCAGATCTTCTTGGGCCTGCAGGAGGTGAACGGCCATCGAGGAGCTGCTGCCGCCCAGGGGCTGCTGCTGTTCGTCAAGCCAGCCCAGCGTGGCAGGGGGCTCGCCGCCAGGCCACTCGCAGCTCAGCATGATGAACTGGTCCCCCATTGTGGCTGTGCTCCAGCAGGTAGGCCTCCCGAGAGGCTCCCCTGGAAGGAATGATGGCTCAGTATGGCCCTGTGGAAGGAGGAAGGGCTTGGCAGTTCCACCCTATCCCCCTTCCTTCATTGGTTCCTTCACTCCCTCCTTCCTTCATTACTTTGTCACTCACTCATTCACACACTCATCATTTATTGATCATGTGCCAGGGAAATGGTGGGAACAGACATTAAACAATTATTATGATTTGATGTGTGCTAGAATATAGACAGAAAGACAAACTCCCTGGGGCTTCCGGAAAGAGGACAGGATGACATCTGGACTCTGTCTTGGCTGATGGCTGGGAGTTTCTCTCTGCACACTTGGCAGAGAGAATGCTGAAGGCAAGTTTCAAGCCCAACATGCGTCAGAGCGGTAGAAGTGCAGTGTAAGGGCGGTGAGAGCCTGCTGACCCTGCAGGCAGGGACAGTGGGGAGGTGTCAGGGCTCCAAGCCCAAAGTGAGGGGAACAGAGCACAGTGTGGATGGGAAAGATGGGAGATGGGGACTGAGAGCTGAGTGCCGCCCACCTCCTTGTTACATGGCGTGTTTTGGAGCCTGCGGTCTGGAGAGCCACCCAGATCCCAGGCCCCCCGCCTCTACCCTGACCTCTACCCACACTCTGCCTGGAATGTCAGAGCCCTGGGGTTTCCTGTGTCCACTCACAGAGCATGACTGTGCAGAGGGCAGGCGGTGCCAGGGCTGGGTGCTGGCCAGTGCAGGTGAAGACGCTGCCACTGGGGAGCTGGGCGGCTGCGTGACTCCAGGTGACGTTGCTGGGGGCAGTAGGGCCAGGTCCCTGAGGCCCTTCCCACTGCAGTTGGGCAGGCGGAAGCCCCCCAGGCCAGGCACAGAGCAGGGTCACAGCCTCAGGGCTGGGATGCACTGCACAGGAGGGCTGTCCCTCAGGGGGATCTGGATGGGGAAGTGGGTGAGGCTGGAGCAGGCTCCACTGCCAGTGCCCTGCAGCCCCCAGGCCCAGGCAGGGGAGTCTGGAGGCCAGGGGTGTCAGTGGGTAGGGGAGCAGGGAGAAGTGGGTTAGGGGAAAGATTGAGTCTCTCTGAGGGGCTGGTGAGGAACAGGCTGAGCTCTCAGGTCAGGGGCAGGAGGTTACCGAGTGTACAGGAGTTTGGAGTCCCCAAGGAATCCCAGAGGCCCCATGGAGGGCCCTATCTCCCATTCTCGTCTCTGTCCCTGGGCACCCAGGAGCCAGCACACCTTGCCTCACTGCCATCGCCCTTCTCTGTGCCTCAGTTCAGTCCGCAGGGCCATGGGAATAATCACTTAGCGGCGGGGTGCTATGTAGTGTCAGTAGCTTCCCCCTCCCTTCCCCTTCCCCTTCCCCTTCCCACAGTTTTCTTCTCCTCTTTCCCTGCCTCCAACTCCACTTGGTTGGAGACCTCCCTCCAACAAGAGCAGCTTTGGCACACGCCTCTCCACGGGACGGCGGGGTCTGCCCCAGAACAGCCCCACAAAGGCTCCAGCGTGAGTTGTCCCCAGGACAGGTCTGGGCGTCACCCGACCCCCACACTCACAGTAGATGGTGAGCTGGACAGTAGTCTGGGTGCGGGTGTCCAGGTAGCTGTTGCGGGCCAGGCAGGTGTACAGGCCTGTGTGGACACGGCCAGCTCTGGCGATGACATAGGTAGGCCCCGTGTGGACTTGCGTGTGGTCACGGAGCCACACATAGTGACTAGGTGGGTTGGAGGCAGCCAGACAGCTCAGGGTCACCTCTTCCCTCTCACTGGCCCAGAAGCCCTCCTCAGTGAGTCCCAGCGGCTCCATGGTGATCACAGGCTTGTCAGGACCATCTGGAGAGCAAGGAAGGCCAGTTACACCTCCCCAGCTTCATTCCTTCATTCACGCACATGCTCATCTCTGAATGTATGCATCCATCCTAGGGGCATGTAGTATGCACTGGCCCGTGTCCACCCCAAGGCTAGGCCCTCTTAGAGCTCAGAGTCCAGGGGCCATGGGCACAGTCCAGGGTGCTCAGGGCTTATGTGTGGAGGTGAGCACCCTGGGCTGTGGGCACTTCCTGGAGGGACTCCTGGGTTGGGCCAAGGTGGGGCAGAAGAGAGGTAGGGGACCAATGCTTCCCATGTGCCTGAGACTGAGGGGCTCTTGGAAGCAGACATTCGGCCACTGTAGACTGCAGAAGTAAGATACTACAGTGGGATGATGTCCTGAACCCTATCCCAGCAGCCACCTCCTTTCACTTCCTTGGACTCCACCTTCCCCTCTCTCCTGCGTTCCAAGCTCAGGGTCACCATCTTCGAAGCTCTCCCTGACTCCAAAAGAGTTCTGAATTCTTTGCCTACTTCCAGTCTGCTCCTGCCTCTTTCGCAAGAACTCTCCTGCTCACCTGCCTCAACAGTCCTCAGTTCACAATTTCCACAAACCGCCACGGTGAAGACCGATAAATAGGACGCCATTCGTCCTCGCTCCTTAAAACGTCTAAGACCAGCACCGTCCAATAGGCGGATGCCAGACACAGATTTTTTTTTATAACACGTTCTAGTAGCCAAATCTTACGTAAAAATGACCAAACCCGATCAAGCAGAAAACAAAAACAAAAACCACCAATAGGTGTTTTACTTTAAGAATATATTTATTTAACCAAATATATCCAGAATGTTATTTCAATATATAATCAATATAGAAGTTACGGATATTTTACATTCTTTCTTTTGGACTAAAGCTTCAAAATCAAGTGTGCCTTCCATGCCTACAGCACAGCTCAGTTTGGATTGGCTCCATCTCAAGTGACCGAAGATACACATGCGTGGCTGCCATGTGGGACAGCGAGCTCCAGGCCACCCTGGCCTTCATCTTTCACCCGGGGCTCCTGACTTCTAACTTCAGGCTTGCTGCCCTCTCCTCCCACTGTGGCCCCATTCCTGTCTCCTGGGGTCCTGTTGGTTTCTGAGAGCCCTCCAGGCTCAACCTAAAGGCAGACTCTCCAGGCCGCCAGTGAAATGGTGAGTGAAATTGTAAGCATGAATGTATGCACGTTTTCCTGGAAAAGGGTGTCCTTGACCTTTATAAGGCTAACAGCCTGGAACTAGAGCTGCAGTGGGCAGCAGGGGCACGGCACCCCGTGACTCTTGCCTGCTGGAGACTTTTAGAGGGCGAGGCACTCCTGCAGTGGAGGGATTTGGGGAGTTCTGAGGTGTGGAAGGCTGAGTGTGGATGGGGAGATGGGTGTCAGCCCTGACAGCCCCCCCACCACAGTCTGACTCACAAATGACGTCCAGGAAGGCCCCGTCACTGCTCAGCCTGTTCACGGAGTTGCTGGCGCTGCACATGTACCACCCTAGGTGTGTCCGGTTGACAGGGTCCAGCTGGAATAGTGGCTCAGTGACCCCCACCAGGGCCTCTCCAAGGCCTCGGGGTGCCCGATGCTGCCAGGCAAAGGTCACGGGCTCTGTGCCCTCCCGCACTGCACACGTGGCCACCACGGAGGCTCCCTCCACAGGGGACGGGTTACTCAGTCGCACTTGAGGCTTGGACACCGGCACTGGCCAGAGGAGGGAGAGGCCCGCTGTGTTATTACAGACCCAGGACACGCCCAGCTGTGTCCAGCGCCCCCACCCCTGCTGGCTGGGGACTCACCAGCCCACCCACCCTGACCATCCCTTCCTCATCACCCCAGCTTTCCAAAGTCCCTGGAGTGGGGCGCCCTTTAGAACCTGGGTCCCGCACACACACAAAGGGAATGGGCAGCACACTTCCAGAGAAATCCAAAGCAGCCCGCGGACCAGCTGCAGCTGGGGCCAGGCCCTCACCCAGCACAGCCAGCGTGAGGTGGGAGTAGGCAGCGTGGAGCTGGCCGCCAGCCACGTGCAGAACCTGGCATAGGAAGTGGCCACGGGCACCCTCGTGAAGCTCCCCCAGCACCAGGCTGCTGTTCCTCAGACTCACGACTCCCAGAGCCGAGGCGATGGCCTCCACCTTGGACATGGCTCCATCGGTGACGGCCACAGGCCGGGGAACCAGGGAGCCCAGGGGGGTGAAGCTCCAGAGGACCAGCAGCGGGGCAGGCCCTGAGCCACAGGCCAGCTCCACGGAGCCACCTCGCACTCCCTGGACAGACACCACCTCCTCTACAGGGGCCTCGGGGGTCGGGTGGGGCTGGCCTGGGGAGAGAAGGGGCATAGCAGGACTTCTGGGCTGCTCTGGGCTCTCCTGCACTCCCTGCCTTGCCTGGAGCCTCTCTTTTTGGTTCTGCAGTCCCAAGCGGCCCAGGCAGGGTTCAGGAAGACCACATAAAAGCACTTCTGGAGTTGGTGGGCAAGAGACAGTTTGTGTGGGAGCCTCTGGGTTTCCTGTTTGGATGCACTGAAGGAGGGGTTGACTGAAGTCAGAGAATGGACTGGAGCAGACATCCCCACTCCTCATGGGTCACTAGACCATCCAAAAGGCAGATTCGTGGACGTCACCCCAGACTATCAAGTCAGACACTCCCAGTGGTGGTGAGGGGGTCAGGGCCCAGGAATCCATATTTGTAACAAGCGCCCCAAGATCAGTCTGATGATCAGTCCCGTGACGATGGTGACCCTGGAGATAAGGAGATCTGCTTGGCCACTGGTGGCTCGGGGTCTGGAGTTCCTGTGTAAGGATTCCAGGAGGATCCCAGGGCTCCCTCCCACCCTGTTCCAGTTGATTGCAGCAAGGGAAAGAGGACACCGCCCGCATCAGCCCATCCAGCATTCGTTCAACTAAGCATAGAGTGCCGGGGTCACAAGGACAAATGAGCCCCCCACCCCTGCTCTCATGGAGTTCCCAGTCTATCAGGGACCAGCCATTAAGTAGTTCCTGTGGAGTAAGTCACTTAACAGGTGTTCTCGGCTCAGGGCCCAGCCCTCAACCCCAGCCTAAGCCCAAGTACCATGTTCCCCGCTGTCCCCTCACATGTGGCCAGGGTGGGCCTCATGCCATGAAGTGCTGAGGACCTCAGCAAATTTGCATGAAAGTAAGTCTCTGGGGCCGGGCTCAGTGGCTCAGGCCTGTAATCCCAGCACTCTGGGAGGCTGAGGCGGGCAGATCACCTGAGGTCAGGAGTTTGAGACCAGCCTGGCCAACATGGCAAAACCCTGGCTCTACTAAAAATACAAAAATTAGCTGGGCATGGTGGCACACACCTGTAATCCCAGCTACTTGGTAGGCTGAGGCTGGAGAATCACTTGAACCCAGGAGGCAGAGGTTGCAGTGAGCCGAGATCACACCACTGCACTCCAGCCTGGGTGACAGCAAGACTCCATCTCAAAAAAAAAAAAAGAATAAAAATATGTAACCCAGAAACCAATTTCTTCCAACCCCATGGACATTGCTTTGGCCCAAGATGCCAGCATCTCTCACCTGGATTATGGCAATGATCTCCTGATTGCCCTAATCCCCCTCAAAACCAGGGAGCTTTCTGAAACCTGGATCTGACCATACCACTCCTAGGCTTACCACCTCACAGTGGCTCTCAGGATGACTCCAGCTTCTCAAGGTTAAGCAGAGTGCTCTCACCTACGTGGCACATAGTAGTCGCTCAGTGAACGCTAGTTAAATGTCTAGCCGATGAATGACTGAACGGACTTCATGGAATGGAGTGCAAAAGGAGGATCCCCCAGGAAGTGGCAGGAATAATGGGATGGGAGTGGGAAATGAACCCCCTGGGGGGTCTGAGTATCACTCACCTGAGGCCCTCAGGTGCAGAAGGCAGAGGTGTATCAGCAGCAGGAGGCTGACTGGGCTGTGCTGGGCCCTCTGACCCACCATGGCCCCATCTCCCTGATGGCCACCCACCTGAGGCTCCTGCCTGACCTGTGGGCCCCTTCTACCCAGAGCAGAGCCCAGCCCTGGGAGGATGGTGGTCTGGCTCAGGTTGCCAACTTTAGCCCTGCCCATGCCTCCACCCCTGCTCTCCTGTTACCCTCAGTGCCTCGATGACTCGTTAATTATTTACCAGATGATTCACCCCATCCATAATGCAGAATTGGGGAGGGTAGGACGTGGCTGGGGCAGACCCAGGGGAGAGGACCACGAGCTCCCTGCATTTTCGCTCAAAGGATATTGTAAAATTAGAATCACTGGACAGAGTTGAGAAAGGCCCCCAAACTCTTCTGGTCCAATTACCTGCCCAACACAGGACTCCCGACCACAGGGACCTTGAGGTTCAAACAACCTTTAGGTGGAGTGGCGGGAGGAGCTGTGGAGTCAGACAGCTGGGGTTGGTGATAATCTGAAAAGCGAGGACGTTTCCGAGCCTCCCTGGGCCCTAGCTTCCTCACAGATAAGTGGGATAATAACACCTTCTTTGTTGTAAAGAGTATATTGTGAATATCAAATGACAAGACTTAAATTAGCACACGGGGGTGCTTTTTGGGTGCTGAAATGTGCTGTTCCTTGAGTCGAGTGAGGGTTACAGTTCCTCAAGCTGTACGTTTATTTTTTATGTACTTTACAAATCTTTGATATAATTCATGCACACATATGTGTTTGATATCATTCATTCATTCATTCATGCCTGTCCACACATGCGCTCATGCACACACACGGATGAACAGTGCCCAGCATGCAGTAGGTGCACCATTCATGCTCCTAGCTAGATTTGAACTATCAAGTCTGGATCCCGGAGCTGGGCTGGAGCCCAGCATTCCTGCTGTCCAGGGCTCTCTGAATTCTCTGTCTCTCTAGCTCTTGGAGCATATCCTGTTGTCTAGCTGTCTCTGAATGACAGCCCGAGAGGGGGTCAGATTTTTCCATCCTCTGGTGGCAGGGTTAGACGGAGGATGAGATTCCTGAACCCCAGTGAGAAGGGGGATCTGATGTCCGGTTTCAGGTTCTCCAAGGCTCAGCCAAGACAGGAGCTGTCAGAGTTGAATTCCAGGTGGCTCCTCCAGGGCCCAAGATGTCACTGTGGCACTCTGGCTTCTCACTTGCCTGGGACAGTGGCTGCATGAAGAGGCTGTATGGACAGACCCCTATCCCACCCTCACTCGATCCACGGCCAAGCCCTTCCATGCCTTCCTCAGGGTCTCGAGTTCCCTTTCCCTCCTAACTCAGCTATGGAGCAGAATGGCAGGTGGTCCCTGAGAGTCAGGTTTGACTGCCCCTGGTGACCAGTGCATACGGGCCACTCATTTGATTCCCCCACTCCCCAGACTGGGAATCTCCTCCGATCTCCCTTAGAGGTTCCTATGGAAATAAAGTGTGGGGATCCGGCAGCACTCTCCACCTCAGGGTGGCCGGCCCCTGTCTCTGGAGAGAACGGGAGAATTCTAGCCATGTGAATCAGGGGAGCTTTAAAGGATCCTCTGGCAGTGGCAAGAGCTTGTGCTGATGCAGAGTTAGTCTACGCTGCTTGCGTTATCAGCCCCCCAGCCTTTTCTCAGCTGGGGCATCAGGAACACGGAAGTCAGGTGGGGCTCCTCAACCTGCTCTTTCCCCTTAGGAAGGGGACCCTCGAAGGGAGAGTCAGGGAGAGAGGGTATATTAGTCAGGGGTCTCCAGAGAAAGAGAACGAAGAGGTTGTATGTATATACAGAAAGGGATTTATCATAAGGAATCGGGTCATGTGATTATGGAGGCTGACAAATCTCAAGATCTGCTGTCCACAGGCTTGAGATCCAGGGAGAGCTGAGGTTTCAGTTTGAGTCTGAAGGCAGGAAAAGACCGCAGTTCCAGTTCAGGCAGTCAGGCAGGCGGAGTTCCATCTTACTCAGCCTTTTTGTTCTGTTCGGGCCGTCACCTGATTGGATGAGGCCCACCCATGTTGGGGAGGGCAATGTTCTTTACTGATTCTATCAATTCAAATGTTCATCTCACCCCAGAACACCCTCCCGAAACACCCAGAGTGATGTTTGAAATATCTGGGTACCCCATGACCTAGCCAAGTTGACACATAAAACAGACCATCACAGAGGTGAAGCCTACCCCCATCCTGTGTCCTGGCTCTGCCAGAACAGGAACCCCATGGCAGAGCCACAGCCCCTGTCTGGAAGAGAAGAGATGTGTCTGGAATGGGAGAACAGGCCCAGGGCTCCTGTCCCTGCTGCCTCGGGAGGTGAGGAGCTGGGAGAGACAAGGTGAGCTGGTTCCTTGCTTTGAGAGACAAGAAAGCGCAGTAATGAGAACACACATTTATCTCTTTATTACTGTGTGACCTCAGCATCTTACAGAACTTCTCTAAGCTTCAATTTCTTCCTTTAATGGTTTTCCTGTGAGGAACACATGAGATTATGCATGTATAGCTCCTGCCTCTTAAACTTACTTATACCTCTTAACCAAAGAACGTAAACAATGAATTGAACAAATGTTTCTTGAGCGTCTAAGTTTAAGGCACAGGGATGGGGTCAGATTTTTCCATCCTCTGGTGGCAGGGTTGGAGGCCTGACAAGAGATCCTCTCTTTCCCTCCTTCCCCCCTTCCCAAGGAGCTTCATCCAAGCTGAGGTCACCTGGAGCTGTGCTCTGCACTGTGCAAGCTCAGCAGCCGGGCCCTGGGGCAGGTAAAGCTGTGGATTCCCAGGTTCTGGTGCCTGCTTCTCATCGTCCCCTCCTGCTCAGGGCCTGTGCTCTCCACCCTCACTGCGTGGCCTCCATCCCCAGCCTGCCTGGGCCCCCAGGGCTCACATCAGCCTGGAGGGAAGGACAGGCAACTGTGTGGACTAAGGGGCAACCTGGAGTCCCTGGAGTGGCCTCGTAGCTGAACTCAGAAATGAGGGGCTTATAAGGAGGGACTCAGGACCTAGACTCCAGTAGTTTGAGGTGAAATTCTGGAGGACCAGGCTGAGGTTCCAAAAGGGCTGGTGGGACCCTCCTTTGCACGCAGGAAGCCCCTCTGCCACCTCCTCGAAAGAAGGCCCTGCAGCTCCTCCCGGGGGAACGTCAGATGGGCGCTGCATGAACTTGGGTGAGCAACCCGCTCCGTCTCCATCTTGTGGCCTCATCTGTGAAATGAAAATAATAATAACTCCCTCTTCAAGTTATTGGACAAATGACATACAACCACCAGTATTAAACCCCTCACAAGCACCCAGCATGGCACGCAGATACATTGAATCAATGTTAGCTCTCGCCCTCCTTCTCTTTAAGTTGAATGAAAATCTGCTTCCCTGACACTTCTATCCTTGGGGAATTCTTTCATGGAAGTTTTGTAAAATTACTCAAACCCCACTCACTTCCAGATGAAAGTCATTCACTATTTGAAACTGCGTGTGCTGCTCTTCTCTTCTCCACCTAAATAAATAATACTAGTCACCATTTGTTGTACACTTACATACACCAGGCGTGGGTTAGGGGTTCCCAACAGCCCCATGAGAAAGCATTGCTATTCATATTTTATGAATGGGCTCAAATGCTCCCCTATTTTCTCCCCATGGCTTGATTTCCTGTGCCCCAGGTTGCTCCCCGTCTTTGGACATTCTCTGGTTCGTCCCCGTCCACTCTGAGACTGTGGCTCACTCAGTCTGGCCAGGGGCCTGTGGAACTGCTAAATCCCTTCTCTTCTGATAAAAATGCTCAAAGTCTTGCTCAGTTATTTACTGAGTTTCACGGATCCCCCTCAGCTAACGTTTATCCTGTATCAGGGCATGTTGGCTACACTGCCCCCTTGAGGCCTCCCCTGGCTCCTGAGGATGGCTGGGCACACCTGGCTCTCCTGAGAGGAAGCGGCGGCTCCCTGAGTCTCCCTGTGTCTTTGGACGAGGCAGTGGTGCGGCTGGAACAAGCGCCAGGTGCCTGCAGCTGCCTCCTCTCCAGGACCCTCCGCTGTGCATGGGCAGCAGCTACACCAGACCGTGGGTACTTGGTAAACTCAGGGACAGATGACGCTTGTCTCGCACCACATCCCTGTGCCTCTGAGCCAACCTACAGGCCCCTCCTTTTGTGCTGTGGGTTTTAACCCAGCTCTCCTGCCTTGTGACCATTTTGAATCCTGATTCTGAAATCATAGGGCTTTGGAGCAGCAGCATGTGAAAGGACAGGGACAGCTGGGCTGAGGAGGGGAGCAGATGCTCCTGGAGGAAATGGCTTCTCCATGTGTGCTGTTGGGCCAGCCCGGCCCTCCGGGACCCCAGCAGGAGACCAGCCGAGGGCTGCAGAGGAAATGGGTTAGAGGCTCCACAGGCAACGTGTCCCCGGCTGTGTTCATGGCTAAGGAAAGGAAGGAGGACAACAGGGACAGAGGACAGGCAGGGGCCACTGCCTAGTCACTTTGTAAACTGATCCTTAGAGACTAGAGAGGAAATGAAGGAGGCCCTGGATGGAAGGGTTGGGAACAGGAGGTGAACAGATCAGGAGAGGAAGGAAGGGGAGGCAGACGCAGGCCAAGGCTGAGGCAGTGACAGTGCTGGGAGAGCACCTGTTGGGGCCGCAGGGAAGGAGGCCTAGTTTCTGGCGCCAGCTTCACCTGGGAGCTGACCCTCCTTCCATCTGCTTTCCATTCCCGGAGCCCTTTCTCAACCAGCCCTACCTGGGCATGTGGAGCAAAACACTCATGGCTTCTGTTTCCTGATTGGTTAAAAATGTGATTGCAATGCTCACCCTGACACTGCTCAGAGCTGTTGTAAGAGCGGGATGGTGGATTAGTAAGAGCGTATAAGCTGCTGTGCAGAGATGTGAAGAAAGAGGAGAGCTGGAATCACATCAGGGTTCAGATCTTGGTTCTGTTCCCACTACCTGAGTGACGATGAACAAGTTACTCACCCACTTCAAGTCTTAGTTTTTCCTCTGTGAAATGGGACTAATTGTTTATTAGATAATATTAGAAGCCAGGCACGGTGGCTCTCGCCTGTAATCCCAGCACTTTGGGAGGCCGAGGCGGGCAGATCACTTGAGGTCAGGAGTTTGAGACCAGCCTGGCCAGTATGGTGAAACCCTCTCTCTACTAAAAATACAAAACTTAGTCGGGTGTGGTGGCGTGTTCCTGTAGTCCCAGCTACTCAGGAGGCTGAGCCACGAGAATCACTTGTACCTGGATGGTGGGGGTTGTAGTGAGCCGAGACCACGCCACTATACTCCAGCCTGGGCAACAGAGAAAGACTCAGTCTCAAAAAAAAAAAAAAGTTAGAAAATTAATTTTGTTATATGTGAGAATAGTTTTTTGATGATGTAAGACAATGTTTCTGTTTTTTAATGAATACTAAAACACTCAGCAATGAGATGTCCCGATGTCTTTAGCTTACCTTAAACTACTACGCAAAAACAGACCAGAAGCTGCTTTCACCAGGCCTCTAGCCCTGCATTGCCATGGGGATTCTTGCAGGGAAGAAGCTGTACATTAACATCTTCCTAATTTTGTAAAAGTTGTGTGAGGTATGCCGGGTGGTGGAAGGGGTGAGATGGAGAAAGGAGAGTGCCTTTGGGGGCAGTTAGAGCAGAGAGGAAGAGATTTCCCTGAGTTTGGGGACAGTTCAGAGGTCACTAGGTACCTGGGAGAAGAAGAGTCTGGAGACAGCAGGCCAGGACCCCAGAGCGTACAGGACTGGAGAGCTATTGCTGACTGCACAGGCCCACAGAAAGCTTGGACAACGAGCAGGCCAACAACCACCACGATGGACCAGCAGTTAGAGGCCTTCCCTTGGTTTCATCCCTCCTAAGTTTCTTAGTCAATTTGTGTGGCTATACTAGAATACCTGAGACTGGGTAATTTATAAAGAACAGAAATTTATTTTCTTACAGTTCTGGAGACTGGGAAGTCCAAGACCGGGGCTCCAGCAGGTCCGGTGTCTGGTGAGAGCTGTTGTCTTCCAAGATGGCGCCTTGTCACTGCATCTTCCAGAGGAGACGAAGGCCATGTCCCCACATAGTGGAAGGCAGAAGGGCAAAAAGGGATAAACTCCCTTTGTCAAGCCCTTTTATAAGGGCAGCTACTCCCATTCACAGGGGAGGAGCCCTCGTGGCCCAACCACCTCTTGGAGACCCCATCTCTTAATACTACCACACTGGCAACACCTGAATTTTGGGGACACATTTAAACCATAGCAATAAGCCCCCGGGTTCTGGTGGGACGCTGGAAAAAGGCAGGAGCCCCAGGAATGAACTCAACTCTACTTGATTTTAGTGAAATAGAGAAATGGATATTTTTGTGCACCTAAGTTTATAGAGTAAGAGTCACACCTACTGCACCACTACGATTATTATTATTAGCGTTGCTGTTGTTGCTGTTTCCCGGGCTGTGACACTAGGCCTCAGTGCATTTGAGTGCTGTCTGATATGAGCAAAGTGCTCAGGACAGCTGCAGTTCCTTCCCCCAGGAAAGACTCCTAGCCCTTCAGTTCCCAGGTTCTTCCTGGGTTCTGCCCCATCTGGCAACAGTGCTGCTACCAGGCCGGGAATGACAATATAGGGACAGTTCTCTGTAGTTGAGGGTCTGGTTGGAGGTCCCTGGTAGGAGTCTGTCTGGACCCAGCACAGGGGATGCCCACCAGGCCAGCCCTAGCCTTCAAGGGTGGGCCAGACTTTTGAGGTCTGTTGGGGAAGCCAGGGCCCAGGGAAACTTCTAGCTGCTCTCTCCATCTTCAGGCTTGTCACCTCCTCTCTATCCCCTCCCAGTGCCCTCCACCCAACCTGGCTAGATTCTCCAAGTTCCCTGGCTGAGGAGCAGGAAGGAGTGGGGAGTTTCCATAATGTCTCTGTAGAGCTCCAGGGTGAGGCTTGGCAACTGGAAATTGTCAGTCGTCTCCTTGGCGACCAGCAGCCAAATAATTCTGGGAATGGAGGAGGGAAGGGAGCTCTCAGCAGGGCGGCCAAGAGAGGCAGCCCTCACTTCCCAGAAAACTTCAATTCCTCATTACCTGTGTCAGCTGGGGTTCAATCAGGAGACAGAAACCACACCAGTTAGTTTGAAAAGAGAATTCAGCATAAGGAACTGATAATGAGGTATGAAGTTGTTAATTAGGTAAGGAGAGGGTAAGGAGAGAGAAGAGTAAGCTTTCATGGGGGTTGCACCTGCAGGAGCAGCTACCACTCCAGGGCTGGAGAACCCTAAGGAAGAGTTTTGAAGGAGGGTTCCAGAGCCTGTGACCCAGACATCTGAGGAGGGGGCTCAACTCAGCGGGAGCTGGGGTCTCCGGGTGTGAAGAAAGGACTCCTGCACCCAGACCTCTGCGGAAGGGGCACCTGCCAGCTGGTGCTGGGGTCTCTCAGGTAGGGATGCAGGGCTGGGGTGGGGTGGATGATGGAGCTGCAAGTGTTGGGAACACTGCAAACTGGATCAGGTGCTGCTCCAGGAGGGGCCTGCTGTTCCTGGGGTGAAGATGTGTTGCTGGGGTGCCCTCACAGGGAACACACAGATGCAAACAGGAAGGAGCCTGTCCACACTTCCTGTCCCGCCTGCAGCCTCCCTCTAGTGACTGGCAAAACAGAAATGGAGTTGGTAGGGTCCAAGCCCAACATCGCAAAACTGGCTGCAGAAGATACAGGTCCAGAGCTGAGAAATAAGAACCTTGTTACCCCATTGCTGGAAGTTCTGGTCTTCCAGCTTTGTCGTTAGTGGTAAGAGCAATGCTGAATGCGTAGTGGGTGCTCACCTAATGTTGTTGTCTGGCCACTGCCTCAGCTGATTCCTGAAAAGGCACATGGACAGGTAAGGGACAGGCCCATCCCTCCCCTTCTTGGCTTTATTCTGGCCTGTTTTGAAGTTACTGACATTCACAGGCTCTGATAGCTGGAAGGAATTTTTTAATGGTAATGATGAAAACAACAGCAGCAAAGAAATATTACAAGTGGCCTAAGGAAAACTATAAAGTTACTGGGATCAAATCGTACATTAAAAGTACAGGACAAGATAAATAGCCCCATAGGGCAGAAATAGAACAAAGTTCAGAAATTTATCCCCGTGCGTATGGATTATAGGGTACAATAAAGGTGGTATTTCAAACCAGTGGATTCAAACTATGGTTTCTTTAATAAATTGTATAGGCACAGTTGACTCTATGTCTGAATGAAAAAAAAAGGTTACGACCTCTACCTCATTAAGTTATTAAAACAAAATTTCAGATCCGAAAGATTTAAATATAACATTTAAAACAGTTTCATGAGGAAAAATATTAGAATATATGATCTAGAGTTTGAAGAGATTTTTCTAAATAAAGTAGAAAATTCAGAAGCTACAGATGAAAAGAGAGACATAAGAAGCTTAAATTTTAGAAAGATAAAATATACCGCTGGGATCATGAGGTCAGGAGTTTGAGACCAGCCTGGCCAACATAGTGAAACCCCATCTCTACTAAAAATACAAAAATTAGCCAGGCATGGTGCCACGTGCCTGTAGTCACGGCTACTCAGGAGGCTGAGGCAGGAGAATTGCTTGAACCCAGGAGGTGGATGTTGCAGTGAGCCAAGATTTCGCCACTGCACTCCAGCCTGGCCAACAGAGCGAGACTTCGTCTCACAAAAAAAAAAAAAAAAAAAAAAAAAAAAAAGATACCGCTGAGTGCAGTGGCTCACACCTGTAATCCCAGCACTTTGGGAGACCAAGGTGAGCAGATCGCTTGAGCTCAGGAGTTCCAGACCAGCCTGGGGAACATGGCGAAACCCCGTCTCTACAAAAAATTCAAAAATTAGCCGGGTATGGTGGCGCATGCCTGTAGTCCCAGCTACTCGGGAGGCTGAGGTAGGAGGATGGCTTGAACCCAGGAGATCAAGGCTGCAGTGAGCTATGATCGCACCACTGCACTCTAGCCTGGGCAACAGAGTGAGATTTTGTCTCAAAAGACAAAAGACAAAAAAAAAAAAAAAAGAAAACAGAAAGATAGAAGATACTATATGTAAAGTCAAAAGACAAACTATAGACTGGAGAAAATATTTCAATATGTACCACCAATAACGAGTTAATATCTGGTACACAAAGATCCTGTCTGTCAATAAGAAAGAGAAATAACCTAGTAGAAAAATAGGCAAAAGATAGAAATAGGTGATTCATGGAAGAGAAAATCCAAATGGATAATACATTTATGGAAAGATGCTGAACCTCACTAATAGTCAAGGAAATGCAAATTTTAGAGATGGGATACTGCTTTTCACTTATCAGAATAGCAAAACTTAATAAGAATGATCATACCTAGGGCTGGAGAAGATGAGGGAGAAACCACTCTTAATCACAGCTGGTGGATATGTGAATTACCCCAGACTTTTGAGAAAGGGACCTGGTAAAATATATGAAAACTAAAAATATACATCTCTTTGAGCTATGTAATTTTTGGAAATTATGCTATGGGGGATAAAAAGCAAGCTTTAATATTTGAGGATATGCATACAAAAATATAGCATTTTTTTGTAGTGGCAAAACCATTAGTATTGATTGAATGATATACATATACCCATGTAATGTAATGTTATACATCTTTTAAAACAATACATTACAGAAGGACAAATGCTCTAGGATTCCACTTAGATGAGATACCTAGAGCAGTCAAAACCACAGAGACAGAAGGTAGAAGGGTGGCTACCAGGAGCTGGAGAGGGAGGGGAAATGGGGAGTTGTTTAATGGATATAGAATTCCAGTTTTGGAAGAGAAGAAGTTCTGGAGAAGGGTCGCACAACAATGTGAATATAGTTAACGCTACCGAACTATATACTTGAAAATGGCTAAGATTGTAAATTTTATGTTATGTGCATTTTACTGATTAAAAAAAAGAGAATAAATTAGAGGGATTTTCACAATGTTTTGTTAGGTGAGAAAAGCAATCTGCACAGAAATCTATGTGGTATTTGTAAAATAAATGACGATAAAGGTAAATAAACGCCTGCTGGGTAATCCAGACCTGCCTGGCCGCGCCCAGAGTCGTCCAACTGCAGAGCACTCTCCAGGCTGGTCCAGGCCTAGGGCTCCGGGCAGGGGCTGGTGTTGAACTAAGCTTACCGGCTTTGCCAGCCCTAGGTGGCAAAGCACCCTTTAAACAGACTTCTGCCCTGGTGTTCTCCGTCTCGACTCTCCTCCCCCAAACGCTAGGCCTCCACAGGTTCTGGCACAGCCAGCCAAGTCCCACAGCTGTTTCTAATATTCTGCACACACTTTATTGAAATGAGAAGCCCCGTTTATCATCCTTCAGGCCCCTGCTCCTCCTGATTAGGTACAGATGACCTGACAGTCAGTGGGGCCTGAGCCAGCAATCAAAGAGGAGATTGTTCTAAGCCAGGAGGTGAGAGGGGCAGAGGCCTGGGAAGCCGAGCAGGGTCCAAGGAGACTTGGGCCAGCCAGGAGGAGATGGGGGAGGTTCTCAGGCTGCAGGAAGGAGGGGAGGGCAGGGCTGAGTAAATTCTTCAAGGACCCCTGGTTTGCTCATCTTCTCTGGCCATATATTCTCTCTGGCCTCCGAGCCTTCTTCAAAAGGCTTGCATTCTATGCTAGAAACATCTCCTCATCTCCAGTCTCCAAACTCAGCCCCCATTTTGCTTTACTTTCATCTCTCAACAATACCAGTAAACCTCTCTGGATGTAATAAAAAGACAGGGCATCTCTCTACCCTTGGCCTCTCCATAATTCTACTCTTCCTAGAGCTACAGAATCAAAACTGAAATATTGAAAACAACCTAGAAATCACCTAAGTGTCAATCCTACAGCTCCCTCTACAGCATCCCTGACCAGCGGCTATTCCAGTTTATGCCTGAGCATTCTAAACTGTGCTGTCCAATATGGTAGCCTCTAGCCACATGTGGTTATTTAAAATCAAACTAAAATTTCATTTTTTTGGTCACACTAGTCACATTTAAAGTGCTCAATACTACAAGAAATATGAAGGGTCGCATATTTTACCACAGTTGCAAACTAACAAGTTAGTCTGACCATTTCATGGATGCTGGCAGAAGACATGAGACTCCTGGGTCAGAGACAAAGAACTTTATTATTTATAGCAATATCAGTAACCAGAGTATCAGTATTTTCTTGCTCCAGTTTCCTGAGCTCCAATTGCCACAGGGCAACATGAATGAGGCCAAAGGATACCCACACATACAGTGGGTTGCTGTACAAGAAAGGAACCCTGAGTTTAGGAAACCTGGTTCTTTTGCAATGTGCAGTAAGCATCTGCCCTATGTGCTGGAGGAAGACATTGTCTTCCAAGACTGCTGGTTACATATTAATACAAAAATCCTTGAAAGGTGTCCAGAACAAAAGCAGTGCCTCTGCTTACAAAATGTGTAGAAATGCGGCCGGGCACAGCGGCTCACACTTGTAGTCCCAGCACTTTGGGAGGCGGAGGAGGGCGGATCATTTGAGGTCAGGAGTTCAAGACCAGCCTGACCAACATAGTGCAACCTCGTCTCTACCAAAAATACAAAAATTAGCAGGGCATGGTGGCGCGCACCTGTAATCCCAGCTACTCAGAAGGCTGAGGCATGAGAATTGCTTGAACTCAGGAGGTGAAGGTTGCAGTGAGCCAAGATTGTGCCACTGTACCCCAGCCTGAGTGACAGAGTGAGATTCTGTCTAAAAAAAATAAAAAATGTGTACAAATGCACGAGACCCATGGGGAATTGTCTCCCAACACAGTGTGGATATGAAACACTGCCATCATTGCAGAAAGTTCTATTGGACCTGCAGGGCTCTAGGGAATGTGGAACTCACTTATTTGCTAGGTCCTTTCCATCATTTCTGAATCCTGGCCCAAGGAGTCACAGAAAAATAAGCAAGCACTGCCACTTTGTTACAGGAAAGAGGTCCTGATCCAGACCCCAAGAGAGCGTTCTTGGATTTCACGCAAGAAAGAAAAGCAAAGTGCAAAGCAAAAGCAAGTTTATTTAAAAAGTAAGAAATAAAAGAATGGCTACTCCACAGACAGAGCAGCCCTGAGGGCTGCTGGTTGCCCATTTTTATGGTTATTTCTTGATAATATGCTAAACAAGGGGTGGATTATTCATGCCTTGCCTTTTGAGACCATATAGGGTAACTTCCTGATGCTGACATGGCATTTGTAAACTGTCATGGCGCTAATGGGAGTGTAGCAGCGAGGACGACCAGAGGTCACTCTTGTGGCCATCTTGGTTTTGGTGGGTTTTGACCAACTTCTTTACTGCAAGCTGTTTTATCAGATCTTTATGACCTGTATCTTGTGCCGACCTCCTATCTCATCCTGTGACTTAGAATGCCTTACCCAACTGGGAATGACGCCCAGTAGGTCTCAGCCTCATTTTACCCAGCGCCTATTTGAGGCGGAGTTGCTCTGGTTCAAATGCCTCTGACAACTTTGCATGCTCATGTGTAAATTTCAAGGTGTTTTCCTTGAGGCAGATGTTCATCACATTATAATCACTGTCTTTCTGAACTCAGCCATGAAAGGCTCAGTCTGATTTCATGTGCTCTGTCCTCATAATGACACTGTGAGAAGAGGAGATCAGAGTAATCCAGGAGGGGCAAATGGCTCTGGCAAAGGCCCAGAGGTGGGGTGAGCAGGGCATGGCTGGAGGGGCCGGGGGGCACACAGGTGAAACGACCAGGACACTCTTAAGTGGTCAAACACTCTAGCAAAGCGAACATTTACTGGCATCAGGATAACAGAAGAGTTTGAGGGGGAGGTTGCTGAGCCCCACCCCCAAGGGCTTCTGATTCATGAGGTCTGTGGTGGGGCCCGAGAATTTGCATTTCTAAGAAGTTCGTAGGTGCTGCTGCGCTGCTGCTGCTGCTGATCTGGGGACCACATTGTGGGAACCGCTGCTCTAGTGTGATAGATGCACTTTGGGCAGCATGCCAGTGACACGTGGATGGACAATTCTTTTATTTGTTCTAATGCATATTGGAAAAATGCAACTAGCACATCAAACTAGTTATATTTTTAAACAATCAGTAGATTTAAGAATTTAGTTACATATACATGTAGCTGTGTGTAGTGTGAAGACTAGCGAAGATGGTGATGGTGCTATGGGAATGATTGAGGTTTGGGCAGTGCTGACGCAGGAAAGGGCCAAGAATGGGATTCAGACAGGCCCCAGTCAAATTCCACTTCCACTGTGTGATGGCAGATGCAGCCCCTCAGCTTCCTTGTTTATGAAATGGCATTACTGCATTTCCATGAGTGTTTCTCAGGATGTGTGAGGATCAGCTAACAACTAACTAGCTCTTCCCTCCTTTCCATCCTTCCCCAGGAGGAGGGCACAATCCCTGCCCTTGGACTGTTCTCATTCTAGGCGACAGGCTCTGTCACCTTTAAATGCCAAGAAATTGTGAGGGCCTATTAGAATCCCAGGTCCCCACCCTTAAGACAGAAACCACCCCTCCCTCTGGCTGAAGCCTGAGGATTCCGGAAGGGGAAGCAGGCTTGGGCTGGGGAGCAGAGGGTCCCGCAACCGTCCTCCCGGATGGGCAGGCACAGACCCTGGGCCCCCAGCTCCCCTGCCTCCCTGGGCTCAGGCGGCACAGTGCAGTCCTGTGGGGCAGCAGTGCCTTTTCTAATCTTGCTGTCTTAGGTTAATATCAAAGCTGCTTGGCGAATCCTGAGCCCGTGCCCATGTGAGGTGGGTGGACCTGGGTCTGGCCTGGAGAATCCATCCAGGACCGAATACACGTTCCTTTTTCAGGGGCAGTGGGCTCCATCACAGGGCCTAGTCTTAATGGTAGTGGGGCAGCAGCAAAGAAAACCAATGACTTAACAAGGAAAATTAAAATATTCTTGGGATCATCAGCATGGAGAAACCTCTCTGGAGGTGCCCTCCAGGAAGCTCATACTCCAAGCAACTGGTCTTGCTCCTGTCCAAAGGACTACTAATGGGAGGGGTGACGATGGGAGACATGCAGCGTTTAAAGTGAACCCCTAAATCCATGTTTTTGGCGGAGCCCTCTAGATTCTAGTGGTGTTTCCATCACACCATTCATTCCACAGGGCTTTCTGCTCCCTTCCCTCCTCATTTTAATGATCTCAGACAGACATAAAAATGGCTGAGCTCAGCATAAGTGACTGAGACATGAGCATTGCCTCAGGGTCCCCGTGGACCCCAGCTGGGTACCATGCCGCCCTAGGTTCTACTTTGACAGGATAAAGTGAACTCATATATTCAGTTGTTTTAAGTGAGCTAACGCTAGGCAGTGCCAGAGGACGAAGACATAAATCTTTCCTAGAGCTCAGAGTCGCTGCCAAACACCTTGGATAAAACTTTCTGCTTGTTCAAGATGGTTTTTCCTCCCCTCTAAAAATGAGGAGGGGAAAAGTACTAAAAAATCTAAGGGGCTAGCGGGAGGGTGTTAGCAGATTCTGGGACTGACAAACTTGTCAACGCTTTGGCCTCATAAAAATTCTTTTTGTAAGAAAGGCAAACTTTTAAATTGATTTTTCTTACCGCTCTTAGTGGGTGCCAAGGGTGTCACTGGTCACCTGGTCTGCCTGTGTGTTATCCCTGGCTGAGGAATGAAGGCTTTTCTTATATCTCTGCAGGCTTCATTTGCATCAGAGGTGGGACAGCTTGTTACATATCACCCTTGGCTGTGATCATAGCCTCAGATGCTTCTCAACTGGAGCAAACTCAAGCAGGCTGTTTGAAAACATTTTGAAAACCTCCCAGCCAGAAACCTTGTTCCAGCAGTGCAGAGCAGCTCAGGTAAGAGGCAACGAGTGGTGTGCCCCACATGGCCTCTGTGTGGCTGAGAATGAACTGCTTTTTTCCCTTTCACTGATTTTCTTTGCAGTTTTTATTCTTTGCAAACACTTTATAGCAAGAAACACGTGAAAGAAAGTCACCCACACGCTTATCAGCCCTATAATTTGTCAAATGGCTTTGTGTTTCTAAGTTTCTTGCCTATACACATACCTTTTATTTTTATTTTTTTATTTTCTGAGACCCAAGTCTCACTCTGTTGCCCAAGTTGGAGTGCAGTGGCGTGATCTTGGCTCACTGCAACCTCCGCCTCCCGGGATCAAGCAATTCTCGTGCCTCGGCCTCCCAAGTAGACGGGACTACAGGCATGTGCCACCACACCCAGCCAATTTTTGTATTTTTAGTAGACAAGGGGTTTCACCATGTTGGCCAGAGTGGTCTCGAACTCCTGACCTCAGGTGATCCACCTGACTTGGCCTCCCAAAGTGTTGGGATTACAGGCATGAGCTCCTGCACCTGGCCTGTACACATACCTTTAAAGTATAACTGTGACCAGGATTCTAGCACCCCTAACCCCACTCTCCTTTTTTTCAGCCAAGAATCCTCACCTAGATCCGTGTTCTAAAACTTTGCTACTCAAAGTGTGGTCTGGAAACTAGTAGCAGCACCACCCCAGACCTACTAACCTAGAAATCTGCAGGTTAACGAGATCCCCAGGAGATCATATTTATGTTAAAGTTTGAGATAGAGTGCTCTCAGAGATCCCCAGCCTTTCTGCCACCAGGGACTGGTTTTGTGGAAGACAACTTTTCCACGGACAGGGGTGTGGAGGGAATGGCTTCGGGATGATTCGGGTGCATTGCATTTATTGTGCACTTTAATTTCTATTATTACGTTGTAATATATAATGAAATAATTATACAACTCATCATAATGTAGAATCAGTGGGAGCCCTGAGCTTGCTTGTTTTGCAACTAGATGGTCCTATCTTGGGGTGATGGGAGACAGCGACAGATCATCAGCATTAGATTCTCAGAAGGAGCGCGCAACCTAGATCCCTCACATGCACAGTTCACGATAGGGTTTTGTGCTCCTATAGGAATCGAATGGCGCTGCTGATCTGACAGGAGGCAGAGCTCACGTGGTAATGTGAGTGATGGGGAGGGGCTGTAAATACAGATGAAGCTTCGCTCGCTCACCTGCCACAAACCTGCTGGGCAGCCCGGTACCAGTCAGTGACCCGGGGGTTGGGAACCCCTACTATAAAACACATTAGCTAAGACAAAACTCTACTACAAATTGGGGTTACACAATTTCCTCCTTCCCTCCTTCTTGCCATAGTTGTGCAACATCTAGGGGGTGCTAGGCACTGGGTTGGGTGCTGGGCCTGACAGAGAGCCAGGTCCATTACAAATGGTCTCTGTCTTCAAGCCACGCAGGCCTGTCAAAGGCTGAAGCATGATAGCACTGTGGTGTCAGGGAGGAATAGGATTGTAGAGCTGGAAGAGTCCTGGGGAGGTGGGGCCCAGGCAGGTGATGTGGCTTTGTCCATGGCCACAGAGCAGGTTCATGGGCAGGCAGGACTTGAGCCCAAGCTTCCTGCCCTCACGTGCACTCAATCTGCCAGCAGAATTCGGGCCCCTGGCAGACAAGTTGGCATATGGAGATGCACAGAAATGAAATGCCCGAGCTTGTTGCCAGGTCCTCCTCCGTCAGGCACGCCCCTGGAGACCACCTCAGCGCCGACCCTCCCTGCCTCTCCCCTTGGCTAGCACAGCCTCTTGCTCAGGTGTCTAAGGGGCTTTGCTCCTAGCATATCTCCTGACCTTTTTGAGACAAGAGAGATCTAGCATTTGATTCAAAACTGTAAAGAAATCTATTCTCCACAAAGTAATGTATGGACTGAATACATTACTCCTGCCAAATGGATCCCATCAAATAAAATATCAGAGGAACTTTTGGAAATTGGTTAAATGGATCTAAAACTAATCTTGAGGAATAAACTGAGTAATGACATTTTTTCAAATATGAGAGATAATGAAAATAGCCAAGAGGGGGAACAAGTCCTTAAAATAAAACACATTTTATAACAATAATACATAAAACTGTGGTGTTGGCCCAAGAATAAACTGGCATTAAGTAGATACCCAGAATCTTGTTTTATGTGTCAGGTATGTAGAAATTTAATATGATAAGGAAGATATAATAATAGGAAATAGAGGTTTCTTGGTGATATACCTCACACCAGAACAAATTACAGATGGACTAAAGCTGAGTATCTTTTTAAAGATAAAAATCACAATAACTAAAAATAAAATTAAACATGTTTTCTAGAGCAGTGCTAATATTCTAGAACCAGTAGACAATCAATTATTGATATATTTCATTACAAAAAATTAAATAACTTTGTGTGAAACAACTATAACACATTTTAAAATGCAGTCAGACTGAGATAGACAATATGTTGTCAGTAAAATAGAAGGTTAATGTCTTTATTTTATTTGGAAAAATAAATTCACACATATATTTCACACAACTTGACAAGGAAACCATTAACATCCCACAAGATAAATGGGCAAAGAACACTACAGATGCTTTTCAAATGATGAACCACTTTAAAAAATATAATCTTGCTTGTACTAAGAGAAACATAAACCAGAAAAGTTACCAAGCAATTTTAAAATGAAAATATCCCTTGCTGGTAAGGTGAGGTGAATTTGCTGTGCAACTATATATTGGTATAGCCAGTCTACTGAATGCAATGTAGCTCTAACAAAATCTGTTAAATGCTGTTAAAGTGCTTCTAGTTTTCGACCTGGTACTCGCACTTAATGTCTCTAATCTTAAGAAATAATTCGGAATATTGGGCGAGAAGATATTTACTGCAGCATGATTTATAATTAAAGCTTTGGAAAAATGGACATCCTATAAATGTTCAACAAAGTCAGCTATATGCATATTCACTAGATAGGACAATCTGGTCAATTATTATTTTGAAAATATAATCCCAAACACTGTGTGGTAACATGAAAAAAAACTTGAATGTTTCAAATAAAAAGATATAATACTATAATTAACCACAGATGTTTATATTAAGAACAGGACTATATCAAGCTGATAATTTTTATGATAAAGTCATTGGATTGTTGATATTTTGCTCTACTTTGCTGTTTCATTGCTTTTATAATATGAACATTAAATTAAAAATAATCCACATTCAGCCTAAGCTTTGAATGAAGAGATGGTCACATGGGGAAGGAACCAATGCATCTGAACGCTAAGACAGGGTACAATTAGAAGTTAACCACCCCATTTTCATTTGTGGAAAACAATCTTCTTTTGTGCAAAGCTTCTCAGACTCATGTTGCTCCACCTGTGTAGCTATTGTGTGTAGGGTCATGGAAACATGGTATCTTAGAATGGACAGAGTCTCCGAGATCATTTTATTCTGAACTCCTGGTTATTCAAGAACCAGAACTACAGCATCTGATTAACTATTCATCTTCTGATTGATTGAATGCTCTCATGAATGGGGAGTTCACCACCTCACAAAGCAGCCTGCTCAGTCTGTGCCTTCTAAATCATGCCTGAGGCCATTATACATGACCTATACATGTTACCTCCGAATATAACAGAAAGCAGAGATTTCAAGCCATGATCACACACTAAGGAGCTGGAGTGAGGCAGTACCATTCTTTCTAGCAATAGAAAAATGTTAAGCTCAAAATAGGAGACCATCCTCATTTATGAAAATTATATTCTAGAAACTGGAATAGAGAAACCCATGGTTATTCTACTGAACAGAAATAATTATGGGCAAAGGTTAATTCCCAAAGAAAAATGCTACAGATAGTTGCCACGCTTCTCTAGAGACTTATGAAAACTTTCAGTTCTTCTGAATACAAGAGGGAGAGAGAGCCCCTCTTCAGAGCTCATCTTTATTATATCAGAGCCTCTGGCTGTTTCTACCTCAGCAGAGATGGAAGGCTGATAAACTGGTAAAGGAGGGCCAGGCAGTTCCAGACATGGGCCTGTGGGCCCCTCCGTGGGTTTGCCAAACACCATGGGACATCTCTCAGCCAAGAATCATCCCAGTTCACGTGTGTTTTCTGTATTTCACTAGAAGAATCTAAAAGTTTAATGTTTAAAGGGGGATGGAAAATCCACATTAAAAATGGAGAATGGTGCTTCAGCCCCACCCACATTTAAAACTGATAGTTTGCAAAGCAGTAAGAGAAACCAGCCAATGGCTCAAACTGCATCTCTTCAGGCAGACACCAGGCAACACAGTGAGGGGCAGCGAAGGAGGGTGTGGGAAGTCCAGACCCATCCTTCTGAGGGACCCAGGCAGCACAGGAGGGTGGCAGGGGATAAGGCAGAACCCCGAGGGTGAAAACATCAACCTGCGGATGTGAGCAGCAGAACGGGAAGAGGAGTCAGCAGACAGAAATGAGAAGGGGAGGCTGGGCGCCGTGGCTGATGCCTGTAATCCCAGCACTTTGGGAAGCCAAGGCGTGTGGATCACCTGAGGTCACGAGTTCGAGACCAGCCTGACCAATACGGTGAAACCCCATCGCTACTAAAATAACATACAAAAATAAGCCAGGCGTGGTGGCATGTGCCTGTAGCCCCAGCTACTCGGGAGGCTGAGACAGGAGAATTGCTTGAACCGGGGAGGCAGAGTTTGCAGTGAGCCGAGATCACGCCACTGCACTCCAGCCTGGGCAACACAGTGAGACTCCATCTCAAAAAAAAAAAAAAGAGAAGGGAAAATGTCAAATTCTCTCAGCCACGGATTAGCAAAAGTATAGAAAATGTTGGGGTTGAGTGCCTCTTGGATGCTTTCTAGGGCAAAAAGTTCGTATTCCCTGTAGCATAGAACAAGACTGTGATGATTTCATAGTCTGTGGGTTAATATGATATGAGGGTCTTGGATAATACATCATTATTCCCCAGAAGTAGTGGAGAGTTGAAGTGAGAGGGTTAGGATTGAAGAGGATCTGACCTTTCTGTTACTCCCTTGGGAAAAGCAGTATGTGCCAGATGGCTGGGCTCCTGAAGACCCTCCTGCAAGGCTGAGCATGATGGGCTGTCTGTACAATGTGGGTGAGAACATAGTAATGCCCCCCGGTTCAGAGAGCAAAGTGCAGGCCCATCCCAACAGCTGGACTGTCTCTGCAGGGGTTCTCTTTCTAATCTAGGTCCTGCCTTGAATCAAAAGGAAGGAGACTGAGCCTCTCAGAGGACCAGGAACCAAGCCAAGGCTTGACAAAACCAGCCTCTCTCTCTCTGCTGTCTGGAAAGGTACTGCCCACCACCCACCACCCCCATCACTCCTCTAAGATTTTCCACTGTTGGTCATATGTGCAGAGACTGCCAGCAGCTTTCATGGTGACCGAGCTTTGCTGAGGAGGATCAACACTTTCTCATGACCAAAAGCAATAATGTCTCTTGAAAAGCGGCTGTCACACATCCTACCAGACTATGACCAACTTATTTGCCTTTCCTATTATTAATGGTTGCCTTAGATCCAGCACCTAACATCATAGCAGCCGTGTTCCATGCGAGGTGTTCACTTACCCACTGGAAATCACAGTCCTGCTCTACGTAATCATGAATTTCAATATGCTAACAGTATTAAGCTGGCCAAGATAAACTTAACGGATTTGGTTTAGTATTTGGTGCCAAGAAACATACAGCTGATGAACCCAGCTCACAGTTGCACTGAAATCACCTGGTGTTTCCTTGCCTCTCTATCTACTCTGTCCTCAGGCAGGCACTGAGAGAGATGACCTTGGCCAGGCCATGCAGGAAGACGGGAAAATTGCTTACAGCTCTGACAGGAGCTGCACCCTGCAAAAAACAGCCTTTGGATTGTTGACTCACCAAACTAGCCAGTTCGTGTTAATGCAGCTGTGACACAGGATGGCTTTGCTGCCTCCTAGGTGGTGAGACAAAGGGACGTGAGGAGGGGGCAAAAGGGAACGCAGAAAAATACCTGGTTCATGCAGACCTGTGGGAACAGCTGCCAAACAAAAATTACTGAGGACATTTGTGAGGGTAACTGGCGGAGATCTTACCAGAGATTTGAACTGTAAAGGAAAGTGGTAAAGTTTTATTTAGGACACCCCAAGGCGGAGCTGAGCACGGTGGAAGGTCCAACTCGATTCTCGAATAGTAAGAGAACAAAGTATCTGGATACACTTCTCATGCTCATTCATCCTGTGCCATGTAATTGGGGTTCAAAACTAGGATGGAAAACCTAAAAAAAAATTATTAGTGAATGAGGAAGTGGCAAAAGAAAAAAAAATTTACTCAACAAAGACAAAGGTTCCTTGGGCACTTAGAATGCACTGGGCACTGTGTTAGGGGTATTGAGTGGACAAGAGTGATCACCAGCTTCCAGTCCAGAGAGAAGGGCAGATGTAGGATAAGGAGAACCAGGATGGACACCGAGCAGCAGGAGTTCCATGTGTTACAAGTTCTGTCCCCAAGGGCCTCTCTGCCTGAGGGTCTCCCGCTGGGACGGCCATCTTCGTTACCACTGCTCTACCTGCACTTGCGGCTCCCTTATGGAAGTGGGTATTTCTGGGCTCTGCCCTCGGAGAGTCTGCTTTCATCTGCATGGGGAAGGAAATCTGTATTTTTTTCCCCGGGCTCTCCAGGTAATTATGGTAAGCTGGGTCTGGAACACTTCCTCTCGTAGACTCAGGTTAGAAAGTTGCTGGGTGGTACAAAGTCCATGCTGAGAAGGCACAGTTGAATACATCCTGCTCTCCTGTAGGAGATCCTGAGTGTCCTCTCCTCTGGGAGCCAGCCTAGATGGTGTTAGGGTCCCTCCTCTGTGCTACACTAGTGATCTGGGCCCGCTTGCTTTAGCACAGTCTGTTATCATGCTGGCTTATTCTAGGTCTCTGCCATTAGGCTCTGAATTCCAACATGGCTGTTGTATCTCACTCACCTCCTTTTCCCTGGTGTTTGGCATAAAGGGTATACAATAAATATCTGTTGCTAAATGAGGGAGGGGAGCGCGTTTTTTTTGAGATAGAGTCTCACTCTGTCGCCCAGGCTGGAATGCAGTGGCACGATCTCGGCTCACTGCAATCTCGGCCTCCTGGGTTCAAGTGATTCTCCTGCCTCAGCCTCCTGAGTAGCTGGGATTACAGGCACGCGTACCACCACGCCCAGCTAATTTTTATATTTTTAGTAGAGAAGGGGTTTCACCATGTTGGTAAGGCTGGTCTTAACTCCTGACCTCGTGATCCGCCCTCCTTGGCCTCCCAAAGTGCTAGGATTACAGGTGTGAGCCACTGTGCCCAGCCACGTGATGATTTTTATGTATTTCTGAGCCCTGCTCTCCGGGAGAAAACATGGGCAGGGTGACATGGAAGAGGGATATCAAAATAGATATGCCAGGAACCACCATGCCACCGATGACAGGGCCACTCACTGCAGCCACTGGTGCAGTTTGGTGCCGTGACAGAGCTGGTACCGGCGCTCTGGTTACAAGATCCGCTCCGGCTTTCTGGGGGACTCTCCATTTACCCCATCTTCTCAAGCTCACTACACTTTACTTTTGAGTAGGAAATATGAAAAATTAAAAAGTATCTCAATGGGTCTTGTGGGAAAATGTCCAGGATTCTGACATACCTTTAAATTCTTAAAAGCAAAAAACTTTTGCTCTCTAAAATGTTACTTCTTTAATAGGGTATGTGGGTTTTTTTTTTACCCTCCCGACTGCTTTTAAGAAATGCCCATAATACAGCCACACTTTTAGAGACTATGAAATAACTGATGAGGGAGTAAATCTTTAATTTGAAGAGAAGCAAAATAGAAAAATACTCTGAAATTCTGTATGTCCCTTGAAACATTAAAGAAGTAAAATACTCTTTCTTTCAAATGGTTTCACTTTTTAAAAGTTTTAATCTGTACTTTCACTTAAGAACATGCATGTGCATGCATGGGGGAGTTTAAGGCGGGGAGCGGGGAAAGGCATAAATGGCTGGAAAGGGCACCTGTGAGTGAGGTCTGAAGACATGGGCTTTTTCCTACTCGCTCCGCTTCCAAAATCAGCGAAGCTCTACCGCCCTCTTGTGACACAGTAAGATGCTCCCAAGAGGCACGATCTGCTCAGATTGTATCAACCAAATCCAAAAACACCCCCATAGCCCACATTGAGACATTACCTGTACAAAGATTAGAATAAGAAATAATCTTGCCTTTTTTTTATTCAAAAGGATCACAAGCTTCACATCAATTTGGCTTCAAAAAGACCTCATGTCTTAAAACTAAGTACCGTGACATTTATTTTGCCATCTGTGACAGTTTCACGTCGAAAAAGCCTCAACATAAAAAAATTACCTTCAAAACCCACTGAGACATTCTCACATAAACTAGGATACTGCACAAACAATAAAGTTCTTTCTTCAATAGTCAATCTTTTCAATTTCATCCATGTCTTCAGCGTTGAGTTGCTTAATACTGCTGTCTAAAAGAACAAAAGAGAACAGAACTAGTCTCATGTCAGGGTCTAAATGGAACTTCATTCCATCCATATTTCTGAAGACAGTGATACCTCGTATAAAAAGCCTTGGTATAGGAACATAAGGAAGGAAGGGTGCCAAAATCACTGACCAATACTAACTCAAACAGCATCAAATGCACCAGACCATGGAATGTATGTATCTAGATACGCTGGGGCAGAGAAGGCCAGAGTGGAAGTGAGGAGAGCCTGGGAGGGACTGAGGCTCTTCTACTGCAGTCACTTCCTGAGACCAGGGCCTTAGAAGCTCACCATAGCGACAGTGGCCTTAACACATCTTCCTCACCCTGTCCTCCCCAGTTAGCCTAACACAGGGGCACTTAACCTACTTCCCTGAAAGGTCGGTGGATGTGCTACACTCAGTCTGCCAACCTGTGAAAATTATATTCCAAATGGCATGTGTGTGCCTGTGTGCACTTCCCTGGGGACAGCGCTTATTGCTTTCTACAAGGTTAAGTACCACTGTCCTGGAAGGTGTTCCTTCTCCCCTGCTCCCCAGCCACATCCATGGGCTTTGGGGCACAGGACAATTTGAACCATGGGACCTTTTGAGTTTCCATCAGAGAAATCTGCCAGTCCAGAGTTCCAGCAGGCCATCATCAGAGCCTGCCTTGTTTAGATGGGGGGCTGGAGGAAAGGTCGCGGACTTCAGAATTTAGGACTTTCCTGTTTGGGAGGGTGGGCAAGAGGAGGGAAAAAGCGTAAGTAAAAGAGGAGAACTGAAGAGAATCTTAAAGGATGTTACTACTTTGCTTAGGGAATTTCTTTATAAGATACGAAAATCTGCTTCTGTAATCTGCTCTGCCTTCACAAGATGTGAAATTCTGACTCCAGAATGAGTTATAACATGTAAATCTGAGCTCAAATTTTATTTTTTTGAGACGCAGTCTCACTCTTTCGCCAGGCTGGAGTGCAGTTGTGCGACCTCAGCTCACTGCAACCTCCGCCTCCTGGGTTCAAGCGATTCTCCTGCCTCAGCCTCTCCAGCAGCTGAGACTACAGGCATGTGCCACCACGCCCAGCTAATTTTTGTATTGTTAGTAGAGATGGGGTTTTACCATGTTGGCCAGGATGGTCTGGATTTCCTGACCTCATGATCTGACCACCTCGGCCTCCCAAAGTGCTGGGATTACAGGTGTGAGCTGCCACACCCGGCCTGAGCTCATATTAATTCTGCTTGATCAAAATAATTTTTAATTACCATATAAGCATTATTTAATCATCTGTCTCATATTAGAACCCTGGTCCTGTGAATTAGAAGCCTTCCAGCTCATGCATTCTGCTTCTACTACTCTCATGAGCCCCTGGACTCCAGCTCTCCAGCACACATCATCACTGTCAGACCGGCAGGTCTGTAGTTCATATTGTGAGGGTGGTGCTACTTACTAAAGTGGTCCTGGATTTTCATGAGCGAGGGCAGCTCATCTACTTCAATCATGTTGAAGGCAAGGCCTTTTTTCCCAAAGCGCCCCGTCCGCCCTATGCGGTGGAGGTAGGTCTCATAGTCCGGCTCCTCTCCTTGTTTTACAGGGAGATCAAAGTTCACAACAATTGTGACCTGCTTCACATCAATCCCTAGAAGAGGAAAAACACTGTAGGGTCCTGCAATGCTTTCCTCAGTACACGGGCCATTCAAGTACCACGTCTGCCAAGGGAATTCCTATTTATAGAGAAAATTTAGAAATCCAACCAGGGCTTATGTAATTGAGACAGGTACTTTGGTTAGGAAGTTTGCTTGCATGCTGTGATGTCTATGATGCTAGATGAGCGTGTCCATAGAGAATGCTACAGAAATGTAAATATACACAAGGCGTGTGTGTGTGTGTGTGTGTGTGTGTGTGTGTGTATGTGTGTGTGTGGTGGAGAGGTGCCCTCACCAAGCCCACAGAGCCACCCTCTCCTCTCTGCTCCTGCTGTGCCAAGTCCCCAGCAGGCCCCATAGTCTCACACCCGCTTGCCCGTCATGGGGCTCTGGCTCTGCTCCGTTTCATGGCTACTGTCCTGGTCAGGTCTTTTGAGCCCTTGCCTCAGTGGTTACAACAACTTCCAGACTGGTTTCTCACCACTCTCTTCCCCTACTCCTCTCATCTCTCCTACGATGGTCACCACAGCAATGTCCAGCACACTTACGTTCAAAACCCACTGCCCAAATTGTACAGGAAAAGTACAAGCAATTCAAGACTGCAAGCCACCTCAAGTCTCATCTCTTTCTCTCCTGACTCTCAAATACAACACTCCAGTCAAGGTCTGGCCATTTCCTGAACAAACGTAAATTCTCATTCAACTGAACTGCTACCCTTCCTGCAAAACTTTTTTCTTTTTTTTTTTTGAGATGGAGTCTCGCTCTGTAACCCAGGTTGGAGTGCAGTGGCACGATCTTGGCTCACTGCAACCTCTGCCTCCCGGGTTCAAGCGATTCTCCTGTCTCAGCCTCCCGAGTAGCTGGGATTACAGGTGCCCATCACCATGGCTGGCTAATTTTTGTATTTTTAGTAGAGATGGGGTTTCACCATGTTGGTCAGGCTGGTCTTGAACTCCTGACCTTAAGCAATCCACCCGCCTCGGCCTCCCAAAGTGTTGGGATTACAGGCGTGAGCCACCGCACCCGCCCCTGCAAAACCCCTTTCAGATTGAAGGCTGCCTCGGAAGACTTCTGCACTTCCCCTCCCCACTGTACCTTCCTTCTCAACATTAACAAGCTGTCCGGGTCAGGATCCTTGCACTCCTTGTACTGTGCCTTGACCTGGAGCTCTCTGTGCCTTCCTTCCTCTAGGGTCTAGGGTTACGCTGTCCAATATGATAAATGTTAGCACCATGTGGCTATATTTCAATTAAATAAAATTAAAAATTCAGTTCCTCAATCACACTAGCCACATTTCAAGTGCTCAGGAGCTGATATGGCTAGTGGCTACCCACTGAAGAGCACAGAATAGAACATTTCCATCACTGCAGAAAGCTCTGTTGAATAGTGCCAGTGTAGAGAGGCAAGAGCCTAGGCTGTGAGCTCTTAAGGGATAGAGACATCATCCTTTTTTCAGGATACCTTTCCCAAGAGCAGAGTCAGCATCCACTCCTAGCATGGCAGGTTGTCAGTTCTGTGTGCTAAACTAAGAATGAACTAGGAAATGTGGTATGAGTATGGGGTGCAAGCAATGATTTAGGAGGGATGAAGAAAGCCGGAAGGCCCTTCTCTTGAAAAAAAAAAAAAAAAAGGATTTTTTTCACCAGTAGTCAACACTTTTAAGATGAGAAACTCCAGAGAGATGCTCAACATCATTAGTTATCAGAGAAGTGCAACTTAAAACCACAATGAGATCCCAGTATACAGCCACTAGAATGGTTAAAATTAAGAGTGACGTTAGCAATTGCTGGCAAGAATGCAGAGCAACTGGAAGAGTTTTACAGCTTCTTATAAAGCTAAACGCACACCTATCATAGGGCCCAACAACCCCACTCTTAGATATTTACCCAAGAGAAATGAAAGCATATCTCTAAATACAGACCTGCACATGAATTTTTGTTACTGCCTTGTTAAATATAGCCACAAACTGAAAGCAGTCCAAATGTCCATCAACTGGTGGACAGACGAACTGTCAATAGAATACTATCAGCAATGAAAAGGAAATGAACTGCTGGTGCATGGAACAATACTAATGAAATTCATTAGTATTATTACGAGCATTATGTCAGGTGGAGGAAGTTACACAAAGGCTATATACAGTATGATTTGATTCTGTGTCTCCAAAAATATGGAGACAGAAATCTGATCAGTAGTTGCCAGGGGCCATGGGATGGAAAGGGAGATTGGCTGAAAAGGAGTGTGAGGAAACTGGGGAGATGGAGATGCTCTGTATTTTGATGACAGTGATAGCTGCATGATTGCATGTTTGTCGAAACTCGCGAAACTGTACACTTAAAAGGAATGCATTTTATCATATGCAAATTAGAACTCAAGACCTGACTTTTAACACACACCTCGGGCACAAACATTAGTTGTTATGAGAACCTTCTCTTTCCCATCCCGAAACCTCTGAATGATGGAAGCTCGCTGCTCCACGGTCAGCTCCCCGCTTAACAAAGACACCTGGTGGCCATCCTGTATCATCTCCACGGTCAACCACTTAGCGTTTCGACGAGTCTATGTAAAAAGGCAAAACCCAACACAGCACCCCAAGATTAAGCAAAGCAGCCTAGCTGTGCTTGTGACACCATGCATGCAGGGCGGGGGTGGGAGAGGGCTGCAGAGGAGTTGAGCTTCACCTCTCCCTCAGTCCTCCAGGGCCTTAAAATGTGGCAGGGCATCCTCCCTCCGCCTGTGTTTCTAAGGCTCACATCCTCTCCACCAGTCAGACCTCTGGCTTTCTCACGCATGAAATGGAGATAAATGTGCTACATCTGCCTCACAGGTGCTATGATGACAAAATGATATCATGTAACAATGGCAACAACAGACACTCTAAGAGTGCTTGCTTCCCATGTGCCAGGCATCTGGCTGAAATCTTTATGTGCATTATGGTAAGGGTCATGTGTTTTCACAACAAATTAATGAAGTAGCAACCTAATTTCATTTAAAAAATTAAAAACAGGCCAGGTGCGGTGGCTCACACCTGTAATCCCAGCACTTTGGGAGGCCAAGGCGGGTGGATCACCTGAGGTCGGGAGTTCGAGACCAGCCTGGCCAGCATGGTGAAACCCCGTCTCTACTAAAAAAATACAAAAATTAGCCAGGTGTGGTGGCAGGCGCCTGTAGTCTCAGCTACTCGGGAAGCTGAGGCAGGAGAATTGCTTGAACCCAGGAGGCGGAGATTGCAGTGAGCTGAGATCATGCCATTGCACTCCAGCCTGGGCAACAGAGCGAGACTCTGTCACAAAAAAATAAAAAATAAAACAAATTAAAAATTAAAAACAGACAAAACTCCCAAAGCTTAAAAATGTTATGTAACTTGCCCAAGGTTGCATGGTTAGCCAGTGGCAGAGCTGAGCTTTCTTTTATTCTACACATATGTTTTTGGTGCTGTCCATGTGCCAGATAGGTGCTGGTCTAGTGCAGTGGATATGGGAGTGAATGAGAGAGAGGAGACCCTGCTGTCGTGAAGCTTAAAGTGTTTACGGGGTAGTGAGAAAATAAAACAGATGAACATGAGAATGTCAGAAAGCAAAAAACAAACATAAAAACGGGGTTTTGTTAATAGTGAATAACATCCTTCACCTGATAAAGGGTATCTGTACAAGGTACAATAAACATAAGCTGAAATGGGGAAGTGTTAGAAGCAGTCCCTCTAAAAGAAGGCCCTGTGTTTAACATCACTTTGAAGATCCTATTCCATTACTTAACCTTTTTACATTTCACCCATAAAATACAGGTAATTTCTGTTTAGAGCTGTTCTGAAGATTAAACTGGAGACACACAAGAAGTGCTGAACATGGTGCCTGGCTCTAGGGCACTTATTGTCGTCCCCCACCTCGGCCTGTAGGCATATCTGGGCTCGATGAAGACACATCCACAGAGTGTACCTGGCAGAAGATGATGGCCTGACCAATGGTGATGCTGCCATAAATGTTGCACAGAGCTTGGTATTTGTCTTTCCTGTGCTCACACAGCACGTAATATTGCCGGATGTTGTTCAGTGTGAGCTCCTCTTTGCGTAACTTGATAACATTAGGGTCAGGGATGATTCGCTCAGCAAAGTGCCACACAGAGTCCTCAAAGGTTGCTGAAAAGAGGAGCATTTGGCATTCGGAGGGTAGAGCTCTGTGATAGAGGAGAGAAGGCTGTCACCAAGCTGCCATCCCATCACTCTTCTTCAAGCACTTCATGCCACTGCCATCAGCCGCTGCACGCACCCCTGTTCCACGTGAGGTGCTGCCTGCAATGACCAGCTGTATCTCCAGGCAGATAGCCAAGGTCCTGCCCCTCCTTGCCACCAAGAATTTAGAAAAGTATATAAACAGAATGTGAAGCATAGGGCAAAGTTTAGGTATATATTCTGGAGGTTCTGAGATTTCTCATGCCAACTTCCTCCTTAGGAGAGGCAGACTCACGCAGCCACAAGAAGGGTAGACTAGATGCTCTTTATAGTTATAATCTCACACAAAGGTAAATGGAGATGAAGGAAACAGAGCCAGTTATTTGACAGCAGGCATTATATATCTTGGGAGGGAAAGAACAACCACAACTAACTTGATTCAGAATGGGAAGAACTAGATACAAATTAAAGGGGAGCAACAGGGGAAAGTACAGTGACTGAAATGTACCCATTCTGAACCCAGAATGAATACAGGGCTGATTCACATAAAGTTAAAAAACAGGTGAAATAAATCTGCGGAGTTAGCAGTTAGGATAGAGGCTAATCCTTGGGAAAAGAGAGGGACCAGTGAGCAGAAAGGGGTTATTAAGAAAATTCTAGGGTGCTGGTAAAATTTTATTCCTTCATCTGGGCTGCTGTTACAAGAGCATGGCTTCTTGTGATAAATCACTCAATGGTACACTTATCATTGGTGTATTTCTCTGTATATATTTCATATATCAATAAAAAGTTAACTTTTTAAAACAAAATAAATGAGAGAGACCAGAGGGAAATCGGCTCTTTTGAGAAGGAGACAGAGCACTTTGAGGAATAAACTGTTAGTGCTAAAAGAGAGTGAAAGAGACCATATAGTCCAGTGATTCTCAAACTCAATTTTAAGCCTAGGGTCTCGATCATCAAACAACAATCCGATAGACCTCTGGTCAATGATGTCAGACCGTCTACCTGTGTTATCTTCTTAGCTGCCCAAATCCCACTAATGTGATCATAAAGAGATAAAAAGAATCCACGGAAAATGTGGAGAATGGGAGAGAAGAAACTGGTGGATAAGTTATCTAAATACATTTTTGGAAGACGGAAGGGGTGGTAAATGAGAAAGTGGATGAAGCTACACCATGAGCACTGCAGAACACAGAGTTGATGAAAACGCAGCTAACTGTTCCCTCAGAACCACCGGGAGGTCTAGGAGCTGTGAGCTACAGGAACCAGAGAATCAGGGGGAAAGAACTGAAAACAGGACATATGTTAGAAAACATGAGGAAAACTCTGCATTCCACATGCTAGAGCCTCTTGGCCACCTGCTGGGTCACAATCCTGCATCTGGAGAAAGATGGCACAAGGATTTATATCCTAAGGCTTGGGCCATTTTGCTGGGATAAATATTGTGGAGAAGTAGTCTCGTTTGAAGCTTAGTGAAAGTTTAAGAGTTTGGATTGTTACTCACAAAGAAAAAATGTATATAATACATAAGGAAAGAAAACCATGGCTGTTCTGTAGAACACACTGGATTTTGAAGACTTAGTATGAAAAAAGAATGTAAAATATGTCACTAATAATTTTTATATTGATTAACTTGTTGAAGAGATATTTTGATACAATGGGTTAAATAACATATATTTATTAATTTCATCTCTTTCTTTTTGGATGTGGCTATTAGAAAATTTAAAATTATACATGTGGCTTGTATTAAGTTTCTGTTGGACATCACTGGTTTAACCTGTTTTAAGCAAATGGAAGGAAGACTATAACAATGGACGGCTGATCAACCAACATAAATGCTCTATCTAATTATTACTTAATATTCTCTTGAGTATAAAATAAAAGAGACTTTCTTAGAAAGCCCTTTTTGGGGCCACGCATGGTGGCTCACACCTGTAATCCCAGCACTTTGGGAGCCTGAGGCGGGTGGATCACTTGAGGCCAGGAACTTGAGACCTGGCCTTGAACTTAATGTCACCCGGATATCCAGGCTTTTGTTTATGACCATTTTTTGGTCATAAACAAACTAGCCAACATGGAGAAACCCCATCTTTACTAAAAGTACAAAAATTAGCTGGGTGTGGTGGCACGTGCCTGTGATCCCAGCTACAGCTACTCTTGAGGCTGAGGCAGGAGAACTGCTTGAACCCAGGAGGCAAAGGTTGCAGTAAGCCAAGGTGGCGCCACTGCACTCCAGCCTGGGTGACACAGTGAGACTCCATCTCAGAAAAAAAGAAAGCCCTTTTTCACTACTAAATATTTCCTGGAGTTCTGAATTTTTCATTTGCTATTATATAAAACAAACCAACTTATTGGTAAGAGGATGACAAGAAGGGAACCTCTTTTGATCTCTGCTGAAAATTATTTTAAATAGGAAGGCTGAGGCAGAAAATACGTATAAGGAGCAGGTGGATCCCCCTACTTTAGGTAGCTAGGCCTGTGGAAGCAGAAGATTAGATGTTTATTCTGTGCAGAAATTCCAGATTTGGGGATACAAGCCTTAGTAGAAAGTGGAGGCAAAACATATGGCTGAAAAGAGGAGATCAAGTGAAAATATGCATACCGAATGGGACGGCCCTCTCAGCCTGTTCCCCTGCCTTGCTCCCAGAATGTCAGCAACCAAGGGTCTATCCCCCAGAAAAGAGAACAGAGACATTACATAGTCCTAAAGACCTCCAGATGACAATCGTCACACAGTAGGACTTCCCAAGTGGCAGCCCCAGCCATGCACACAGAGCTGTCCGTTGGAATTGTAGCTTCTCACCCTAGATCATGAAAGGCTAGCCAAGTGTCACCACATATAAAGAGGAACGTTCTGCTGTGAAAGAGGCTGTAGCAAACAAAAAGGAAACTTGGATAATTCACAATGTTAAAACAGAAAAAATTTTTAAATACTAGAATTAATGTTCTCAGAGAGACAACTGAAGATACTGCATCTGTAATGCAAGAAGAGGAAGCTCTATAAAAAAAAATCAGAGACCACCACCAGTGTGATTGAGACAGACAGAAACGGAATGCTCAATGACTGTGTTATTTTAATGACAAATGGAAGGAAACACACAACAAAATAATAACCCTGTGTATGATTATTTCTTCTATTTTATATCATTTTTTTTTTTGGATTGTTATGATTGTGTCCCAGATGGGCTCTCTAAAAAGTTGGTCACTTTGGGGAAAGAGATAACTGAAGAAATTTTCCCAGAAGTGGCAGGCCCAGGTTTTGAGAATGAAAGGGTGCAGTATGTGTCTAGTATGATGAATGAAAAAAGACCTGAACCAAAGTATGTCACTGAAAAGTTTCAGAATACCATAAAGAAAGAAGACTCCAAAGGCTTCTCGCGAGAGAAAAAAAAAAGGTCATAAACAAAAGCTTGGAGATCAGGGTGACATTAAACTTTTCAGTAACAACAGTGGAAGCTGAGGATATTAATTATATATTGAAGTTATTTTTAAAAACTTTTCTGTTTTCAACATTTCTCTGAATTTAGAGAGAGAATGACACAGGATTCCTATCCGGGCAAACTATTAGTCAAAAGATCAAATTTACAGGTACAATAAGGACATCTTCAGACATGTAAGGGCTGAAAAATGAATCTCTTTTATATTGTTTTTCAGGAAGGCATTAGAAAATATACTCCAGCATACTGAGGAAGTACTCCAAGAAAAACGACCCAAGATATAGGAGATTTAAAACTTAAGTGAGCAAAGGAAAGACCCATGATGACAGCTGTACAGCAGATCTACCAGACTGAAGCTGGAGAGAGGGAGCTTGGAATATTGGCAGGAAAAAAGAGAAATGGATGGTTTTTTTTTTTTTTTTTTGAAATGGAGTCTTGCTCTGTCACCCAGGCTGTAGTGCAGTGGCGTGATCTCGGCTCACTGCAAGCTCCGCCTCCCGGGTTCACGCCATTCTCCTGCCTCAGCCTCCCAAGTAGCTGGGACTACAGGCGTCTGCCACCATGCCCAGCTAATTTTTTTGTATTTTTAGTAGAGATGGGGTTTCACCGTGTTAGCCAGGATGGTCTCGATCTCCTGGCCTTGTGATCCACCCGTCTCGGCCTCCCAAAGTGCTGGGACTACTGGCGTGAGCCACCGTGCCCAGCTGAGAAATGGATGGATTTTTAAATTTTATTTTACTATTTGGAGATATCACAGACATATGACACATACGATAGAATAGCTAAGGGAAAATTAAAGATCCTTACACAGTGATACTAACAAAATGAAAAAAAAAAAGCAAAAGCAATGATTACTTCTAGAAGAAAAAGCTTTACAAGAAAAACAGCCCTTTATATTAGTGCCATCTGTATCTGTGGGCTCTGCATCTGTGGATTCAAACAACTGTGGATCAAAAATATTTGGAAAAAATTGTGCTTGTACCGAATGTATATGGACTTTTTTCTTGTCATTATAAATAATCTAGAAATGATTTAAAGTACACAAGAGGATGTGTATAAGTTACATGCAAATACTACAACATTTTACATCAGGGACTTGAACATCCACAGATTTTGGCACGTGCAAGGGGTCCTGGAACCAATCCCTTGTGGATACGGAGGGGCAACTGTAATTATAATAATACGCTGTTTGGCTCAGCAGTGAACAATACTTACACTGTCACATGATATCAATACTGACAGTTACTGTAACCTAATTCATGACATAATTACAGAGAGGTAATGGGGGGATAGGAAAGGTAGAATGGGTGGTGTTTTCAAAGAACTCAATTCCCACTTCCTATAATGGGAAATCAGTTGACAATGACTATACATCAGGAAACAGCAGTATGAAAATATTATTTACAAGTATGAAGGTTAATATCAGAAAAGAGAAGTATTCTCTTCAGGTTGGAGCAAGGGGTTACTGTTTTTCATTACAAGTCTTTCAATACTAATTGAATTTAACATTGAGTATGTAATACTTCATTAAAAAATACGTGATACAGATTCCTAAATCCCACTTACAGAAACTCTCATTCAGTAAGTCTGAGGCTGCGTCCGGTAATCTGTAGTTTTAAATCCCTCAGGTGATCCTGATAGAGAGGCCTAGGAAAATGACACGGCTTTTTACAAATTAGGGGGAAAGTCAGGACTAGATTACCAGTCTCCTGATCCCACATTACTGTGTCCTCTACTCTATCTCAATTATCCATTGTATTCTCACTAGGCTTTAACAGATCCTCTTTAGAATTTTGGCCAAAATATAGAACATATTGGCAAATTTGGTGCAGATGCACTATATATTAATAGAGTCCATCTGTAAGCTGTGTTGCAAAGTAAAGCACTCAGGCAAGATTACAAACTGAAGAAGCTGGAAAACTATAGCAGTCTGAGGGACCCTTGAACTGGTGAAAATAATGTAAAAACTCAAATTTATTTTAGAGGTGAAGGTGGTGAGGAGTTAAGCAATAAAGATAATGTGGAGGAGTAAACAAATGAAATTCCCCATCTGGACAGAAGGCTGAGGAAGAGAGGAAGACTCTGAAGATTACCTTTGAATACGAATACTATGATCTGAGAATCCTTGAGTGTCAATCATCACATCTGCTTCATCCAGGACAAACACACGAATCTTAGTCAAATCAATCAATTTTAGTTTAAAACACCAATCTAGGACAGTCCCAGGAGTGCCAATTATAATCTGTTTAGTGATGTCGGTGCCTCTGGGAACTGGGGAGAAAAGGGTTTTAAGCACTCCTTCAGATGCAAACAACTCCAACAGGTCACAGTTCAGGGCAGTGCAATATAAAGCTCATAAGCAAAAATACAGTTTGTAATAATTTTCCAAGTGGAAACCCCGAGGGTCATTGTGGTTTTTGATTCTGCAGAATTTTTAGGATAAATTTCTGACTTTTTCTTAACTGTGAAAAATGGCACTTCCCCAAACAGAAAACAACCAAAATGTCCATCAATAGGTTACATTAAATAAATCATGAAATATTGGGCAGCTAGTCAAAGGAACAAACAGTATGAAAAAAAGTCCTTCTATTTTTGTAAACACTCAGTGAAAACAAATATAAATATGGGCATTTGTATGTGCATGTATGAGCTCAAAAAAAAAAAAAGCAAAACACAAAGGCTTGCCTGTTTACTATGTGATCTTTGGCATTACGTTTCTGGAAGGCAATGAAGAACAACTTTCACTTTTAATCTTTTTGTCTTTTAAAGTTTTTTCCCCATTATAAGCTTATAATATTTTAACGAAAAATCCAAAAATAAAAGCTGTCCTGCACAAAACAACCAAGTGTTGAATTACGGACAAAGGCATCCTCTTGCAGGATGTGGAAATGATGTGGCTAACATTTAGTGGGTCCTTACTACGTGCCAGGCATTGTGTACAATGCTTTACCAACGTCATCTCAATTCTAATAACAACTCTATGACATGAGTGGTATTATTTCCCCCATTTAGAGATGAGAATGCCAAGAAGTTATATAAAATGCTTATTCGTGGTGAAGCCAGGATTTGAAAAATCAGCCAGGACTGGCTTACTGGTACATACTTCGATTCCCTCGAATGGCATACATCACTTGAACATCCACACAGAATTTTCCCATCTGCTCAACCACACGGCCAGTTTGCAGAGCCAATTCATAAGTAGGAGCTAGGCAGAGGCACTGTGGGATAGAGAGAGAAGAGGGGAGGAGAAAGGTTCTTACAGGCATCTTTCAAATTTCAACTGCAATAAAAATTTGTACAGGGAGAGGCACAGAAAGGAAATTGAAGGTTTTGGTTGAATGAAATATTTTTAATTGGATACAGTTTAATAGTTGACAGATTTGAGGTGAATGTTGAGTATGAGAAGGGGAAGGGGCCAAGGAATGGAGAAACAGCTACCTTTTACATATTCCTCTCTAAAGGGTTATTTAGAAACACAAGTTACTAGTCACCCTTTTTGGAGTGGGGGAGGCATAGGAGGGGGAAGAATGGGATGTAGGGAAGCTGGGAATCAATGAATGCGAGGCAAATTACAGTTCGAGCTCTATCCCATAGCCTCTCATTTGCTATTAAAAGTCTGTCTATTTTTGAGGTTGGGCACGGTGGCTCACACCTGTAATCCCAGCACTTTGGGAGGCTGAGGTGGGCGGATCACCTGAAGTCAGGAGTTTGAGGCCAGCCTGGCCAAAATGGCAAAACACCACCTCTACTACAAATACAAAAAAATTAGCCAGGCGTGATGGCGGGTGCCTGTAATCCCAGCTACTTGGGAGGCTGAGGCAGGAGACTCACTTGAACCCGGGGGGGCAAAGGTTGCAGTGAGCCAAGATCATGCCACTGCACTCCAGCCTAGTTGACAGGGTGAGACTCCATGTCAAAAAAAAAAAAAAAGACTGCCTATTTCGGGAACACTCCTTGCTTGATCCAATCTGTTTATATTATCTATATCTTTACAATACATAATATGATATATATAACATAATATAATACATAATAGGCAGAATATTCCCCCAAACTCTGTTATTCCATACTCCATAAAAATGGTGGTTGCTGATGAATAAAGATGCTGATGGAAAAAAACGGTAATATCTAATGCACTTATATGTGTCAATTAGGAATCTGTGATAGGGAAACATAGCCAAAGGGCTAAAAATATCTTTCCCACACATTTTTCAAAATGTGCTCCAACATAACTTATCCTACATAATTTTTATTGATAATATCAAACCCTAAACATAAATTTCACTGAACTTGTCTAAAATGCGTAAGATTTCCTATGCCTTACCTATAGCTGACCTGGCTGATCAGAGTGGAAGCTTACTGAGAGAGCCTTGGTATTCCCCACAGCACTTAATGCATATGGGTACTCAGCTTGTCAAGCAAATAGGGAGAGACGACCAGATACTTTTCATGAGTGGAAACTACACTAGGAGAATGGTAAACCGGGTACCAGTGCCAGTCTTGACTCAGCCACTCTCTGGGGACCTCAAGAAAGACACTTCCCTCTCCAAGCATCAGCCTCCTCCTCTGCTAGAGTGAGGTGGACTACCTGACCTTCTGGTCCTGCAGTTAGATGGCTATAATTATTGCATGCTTAATTTATGCCAGGCACTGTGCTAAAAACGTAAATTACTTCATTAAATCCACATGATGACTTTATTCAATGTTTAATGAGTGGTTTCTACAAGCCAGGCACTGTGCTAGGTATTAGGATTTAAGGGTGAACAGATCAACTATGATACATTCCTTTACAGATGCTATCTTTACAGACAAGGATTAACAGACTCAGATTTATTAACTTGCCTAAGACATTCAGTTAGTAAGTGGGAGGCTAGCATTGAAACCACTCAAGACTATAAAGCCTGTCCTCTCCATCACTGTCCCATGCTGCTACCCAATGCTCTATGATTTTATGAAAACATGTCTTTTCTAAATATTTCATCACCATAGTAACCATATCATTGCACAGGAATATCACCTATTACTAAATTAGCACTGGTAGTGCAAGCATTCCCAGTCTTCTCTCAGCCTTCCCTTACCTGTGGGAACAATTCCAAGGCATTAACTCTGCTTAACATTGCCAACACAAATGCCGCTGTCTTTCCTGTTCCAGACTGGCTCTGTGCTATGAGGTTCTGGGGTCTGTAGAAAAGAGAAGACCACTGGGCATAAACTGAATACAAGAGAGTGGGCATAAACTGAAAATAAGAAACTAAACATAACCAAGTAGAATACCACTACCCTGGAAACTCACGGATGTGCCAGCATCATAGGGAGAGCCATCTCTTGGATTTTAGATGGCCTATTAAATCCCATTGCATAGATTCCTTTTAGTAACTCTTCCTTTCTGTCAAAAAAAAAAATCAAACACTTACAGATTATAGTTGGTCAGTAGCATCAGAAATACATACCTGAAAGGTGCATTTCTAAATTAAGTCACTTTGCAGCTGAGCTTTAAAACTAGTATTTGGAGATAGATCATTCATACCTCAACTTCCAAACATAAACAATCATGCCTGTAGAGCTGGACCACTAAAATAATAAGCTACGCCATAAGCCTAGGCGAAGGACAGTGGTAAAGGCCTTAAGTCAAACCTTCTGTTGAACAAAGCAAAAATGGAAAAACTCATCGCATAAAAAGAATATATCTGCTTGCCAAGAGAGTTATATTTTCTGCCTAAGCAGAAAACTAAGTGACATTTACTGTTTTGTTCCTTTTCACGAACGATATTGACATTTTTAACAGTAATTTTCAGAGAAGACAAATTTTTATTTAGGTGATTCTTATATTAGTTCTTTCTAGGAGTAGAAGACACAATATTACTCCATCCTTCTGAGGCAATATTTTAAAATGCAGCTTTCCTGAGGGTCTTAAGAAAAATGCCAGAATGAGGATAAATCAAGTGGACTACAACACTTCAACTTTTTTTTTTTTGAGACGGAGTCTTGCTCTGTCGCCCAGGCTGGAGTGCAGTGGCGCGACCTCAGCTCACTGCAAGCTCCACCTCCCGGGTTCACGCCATTCTCCTGCCTCAGCCTCCCGAGTAGCTAGGACTACAGGCGCCCGCCACCACACCTGGCTAATTTTTTGTATTTTTAGTAGAGACGGGGTTTCACTGTGTTAGCCAGGATGGTCTCGATCTCCTGACCTCGTGATCCGCCCCCCTTGGCCTCCCAAAGTGCTGGGATTACAGGCGTGAGCCACCGCGCCCGGCCAACACTTCAACTTTTAATGACATGCACATTTGTGTGTGCTTAATTGGTAGAGGACTGGTAGCCCATCTTAAATCATGGGTAGGCTTCTTCTACCATTTAGAAAATGTCTGGGAACTAGGATTTTGGATTTTTACCCTTTACATAAGTAGGTTTCAGTGCTTTTCTCGTTCTGTAAAAATACATTTTTTAGCGTCAAATGATAAATCCCTAGGGAATGCAAACCCATTTGGGAAAGTTATTCAGTTTAATATCATTTGAAACAAAATATAATCAGGAAAGTAAAAGTTTGTGACTTATCTATAGTGGGTGAAGGAGGATGTCTGGGTCATCAGAATCTGGGTTCTGATATGGAGAGGGGCAATCTGGCTGTGCCTAGCTTAGCTATCTATCCCCCTGAGCACTGCAGGATGAAAATATCTTACTATCAAAAATGTTCTCAATTTGCCAGGCAACTTGAGTATCCTAATGTTCTTCTTTAGAATATCCTTTTTTTTTTTTTTTTTGAGACGGAGTCTCACTCTGTCACCCAGGCTTGGAGTGCAATGGTGTCTCGGCTCACTGCAACCTCTGCCTCCTGGGTTCAGGCGATTCTCCTACCTCAGCCTCCCGAATAGCTGGGATTACAGGTGCGCGCCACCATGCCCGGCTACTTTTTGTATTTTTAGTGGAGAGGGGGTTTTCCCATGTCGGCCAGGCTGGTCTCAAGCTCCTGACCCTCGGGCGATCTGCCCTCCTCAGCTCCCAAGTGTTGGGATTATAGGAATGAGCCACTGTGCCTGGCCTGAGCTATATTTTGATTGCATGGAAAATGTACAAATCTCACTTTAATACTGAATATTAAAAATTAACTGGGCGTGGTGGTGCATGCCTGTAGTCCCAGCTACTCGGGAGGCTGAGGCAGGAGAATCGCTTGAACCTGTAAGGTAGAGCAGTGAGCCGAGATCGTATCACTGCACTCCAGCCTGGGGGACAGAGTGAGACTCTGTCTCAAATAACAAAAAAAAATATTGAATATCAGAAAACAAAGAGGAGATCCTGATGGTTTTTACTATAAGCAGATGCGTTTGTTCTGTGGTTTTCAGCATTTTTCCCATATTAAAAGAGTAAAAATACTCACAGCCGCAGCTCTTCAAATGTCTTTACTGAGTAAAGTGGAGAGCTGGGATCCTTCTGTAAAACTTCCACACGGTGACTGGATTCTACTAAGGATTGATGGATTAACTTGTTTAAGAGTGAATTAGCTGCCAAATCCACTAGAAAAGCAAAAATAAAAAAGAGGACATCAAGCTTCCTGAATGACATCAAATAAGTTGCTCTTTCTCTTTCAGTGGTTGTATACCAAGCAATTGCACCTACGCTCATTTTTCCTCTAAAAGAGGGTTCCAGAAAGAATGATATAGCACTGAGGATTCGTTCTTTATGAGGATTCAGTTTCTTACGCTCTGTTACTTCACCATCCTCTAACTTCAAAGTAGCCTAAGTCCATCTCCATGAGACCAAATCCTTGACAGATGGAAGTTCTGAACCCAATCCCTGCATATTCCATTTCAACTTCCTTTAAATAAATACACCTTACTCCTAATTTAGTGTGTCTCCTGATAGTCACTATAAGAAAACAGAAGCAAAGACAGGCCTTTTCCAATTGAGATTATATTATTCACTCACACTATTAAAGTTATAAACGGAAACAGAATGCTAGTAGATACATGCAAATGAATTCATCTCCTACCTACATCTTCTTCATCATCTTCATTGATGTTATTAATAGAACCATCTGGAAAGGATGGAAGAGAAACAATACAAGTAAAGACAAATGCTGAGCACAAATGTAAAGCATGCTATTCAATTTTTTCTTCCTGACTCTTCAGTGTCTACTGGCAAGAAGAGTCATTTCATGGAGGAATGGACGAAACGATTGGGAAGGTAATGGAGAGTGCTGAATGTCACACTAATGAATCCGCGGTGTTTCACTTGGCAGGGACGTGATGAAAGCAAAACAATACTTTTTAATCATTGAGGTCGCTCTGCTTTGCCCTAACAGCACTCACCTATGTTTCGGACTGCAGTACTCTTAATACCCCAAAGGTTCTTCCGGGGTTGGCTGAGGTTTGAAAACTATTGAGAGACACAAATTTCAACCAATATTAGGATGCAAGCCCTCAAGCAGCCCAGTGCTTCCCTACCACAGGGGCTGGGAGGGATTCAGGGAAGGACACCCGGGTATTGCTTCCTTTGCAATATTAGGTAGCAGCAGATTCCTTTCAAGGTTGGGTTTCCTGTATGAGTTACCCTAAAATTGGAGATTTTCTGTATTCCCTGTACATGCAGTTTCTCTTTCCTAGGCCTCTAGTTTAGAGTTGGGCAGTACTTGGGGCTCACGGCACCAACAAGGGGAGGGTGGCTAGGAAAGTGCGCTGGCAAATGGATGGAAGCGAGGTGAGGCTTAATGGGCAAATGGGCAGAGTAGAAAACTCGGGGTCTAGCTGGGACTACCAGCTGCGTTCCCACCCTGGATTTCCAGGGGTCGTCATTTTTGCCCTTTCTAACCAAAGGTCTTGCCTCTCGTGGGGGTGGGGACGGGGTCTCCCTCTGTGGCCCTCTTCCAAACCCTTCCCGCATCTCCCCTCCAGCATCTGACGCCCCACTTCGAACGCTCGCGGGCTCTCCCTCCCCTCCCAGCCGATCTCCCTCTGCGAGTGGGAGCTCCACCCCCGCGGCTGTGGCCCCCCGGCTCGGTGGCGGTTACGTGGCTGTTCAGCCGCTCGCTCTCCGCCGCCCCTGCGTCGCCTCCCCACAGTAACGACGCCATGGCTGCGATTGCTGCTCCCGCCCCCAGCACGTGCTTCCACCACCGGCGCGAGGCGGTGCTGGCCCCATCCGCTGGCCAATGGGCTTCCTTAGGGGGCAGGCGTCCGCGTCCGCGCCCGCGACCACCGCGGTGCGGCGCGCAGGCGCTGGAAGGCTGGGTGGCGCGCGGAAGGGGCGGAGGGCAGAGAGCGGGGCGGGGGGCAGAGAGCGGGGCGGAGGGCAGAGAGCGGGGCGGAGGGCAGAGAGCGGGGCGAAAGGGCGCGGACCGGAGGGCAGAGGGGGCAGCTTCCGCAGAGTGGAGAGCGCCCCCCGCGCCGCCCCGCGGCCCGCCGCTCACACAGCCCTCCAGGCGGGAGCCCCCCGGACTCCCCGCCGCGCTTTACGCCCCGTGTCGGTTTCCCTGGAAATTTCCGCCTCCACATCACAAGATGTCAGAAAGGTTAGCGAATTGGTTAGCAAAGTGGAGACAAAATCTGATGAATTTGATATGACGAATGACCTCGAATGCCACAGTTGCGGAAAGGAAGCAGAACTGTTCAAGCTCTAACTGCTGTTCCTGCCCTAGATACCTGTGATGTTCCACATAGGCTTTTTAAAGCTTTTATTCTGAAATGTGGTCTCTTGTTAAAAACATTACCTTTCGGTATAACCTCTACGTCCTACATGCGTTTGCATAATCCGGTATAGATCCCTGGATCCCTGGTACTAATGATTTAATGACCGCTCAATTTGGACGAAAGAACCAAATTCCACCTCCCCCCCGCCCCCCAGTTTTCTAATTGTAATTTTGAGATTTTGATCAGCATTTCTGGAATTGGGGGCAAAAATACAAAAACCCACACGAAACTGCAGTCATGATCTCTCCGTGGTGCTGAAGCAACGCTCCCCGCTCTGTTCGGTCACTCTCAGGGCACCTAGTCGTTTGTTTTGAGATTATCATATTCATTTCAGCTTTTAATTTGAATTCTAATAGTAAATGTTTTTGTCTCTCAATGGTAACTTTCTTCTCATTTAACTAGGTATAAAATCGAGCCAAGATCTTCAATCTTTTAGTTTTCGTATAAGGATAGCAGAATTTGAAAAATTACCTTTTTTCTATTATTTTAGCGTAGCACTACAATTCCTCCTTTTATTGCTGTCCCGCCACAGGCCCAGATTCTGCCCTGTGGGCGGAGAAACGGTAGCTGGACTAGAAAACCTCAGGTAGATTCTAGCACCAAGCTCGGTTCTCAGAACTACATTTCCCACAAACTTGGACTACACCTCCCATGAGGGCTCGGGCGCCTGCGCAGAAGACGCACAGTGACAGCTTCCTTTCTCGGAAACGCGGCGCGGCCGGCTGCCGGAAAGTAAGTGTGGGATTTTTGGAGTGGGTTACTTTCTGGGTTCCACAGGGGAAGGGACAAATGGACACACTGCTGAACGGTTGTCTGTTGTCTTCTTTTTGCCCTCTTTCACATACTTTGGTCTTTTCAGGAAAGCATTGCCGTATGGAAATGAGACCTCGCTTAAGACCATGTATTTTTCTTTTGTGCCTGGTACTTTCTGGAGCTCTCGGTGGAAACTCGCCGCAGTAGGGTCGTCTTTAATTCCGTTGTGACGGGAGCTTCAGTGGTACTTGTACTGTGGAGTACAAAAGTGCTCTGCTGCCCCACTTAGAATTGGGTGCTCATAAAACAGTAGAAGTTGAGAACCCAGGAGTATGTGGGAGGCTGTGGCAGCAATTTTCAAATTATTTTGGGGATTGCCTTACATACAGACCACGATTGCTTTCTAGTGATCATAGTGCGTGTCTGCTAATCCTTTGGACAGTACTCCCTCTTCTTCCCTTTGGATTAATATAAAGTTTATCAAGAGGAATGCTATTTATGTGTTAACCCACTGGTTCCTGAGATTAGGACTTTTTTTTTTTTTTTTTTAAGACTGTCGCCCAGGCTGAGTGAAGTGGCGTGATCACTGCTCACTGCAGCCTCTACCTCCTGGGCTCAAGCGATCCTTCCACCTCAGCCTCCAACTAGCTGGGACTGCAGGCGTGCGCCATCTTGGCAGCCTAGTTTTTAATTTTTTAATTAACACACGGTCTCGCTGTGTTGCCCAGGTTGGTCTCGAACTCCTGACTTCGAGCGACCCCCCCTCCCCCCCGCCACCACCCCGTCTTGGCCTCTCAAAATGTTGGGATGACAGGCGTGAGCCACGGCGCCTGGCCCAATGTATGGAACATCTGGTGATGGCCGTTTTAGTTTGTAATTGGTGCTTAGGGGACACACGAATTCCCTCTCTGTGGTTACTTCGCAGCCCTGGCCAGGGTGTTACTTTAAACGTCTGCTTGGGAACTCCTGCACTTCACCCTGAATTAGGGTAAGGTGTGCTGGAAAAAGCACTGTAGTGTACCAAGTCCTGTTTTTGCCACAAATCTGCCTTATGACCAACTAGACTCACTCCCTGGCCTAGTTCTTTAGTTAGCACGGGAGTTGAACTTTGGAGACTTTGGTAATGTTGGACTTTGAGATCCAAATAATCACTGGAGTGTTTTGCATGTTAAAATCACCATGTAATTTTTGACCTCATAAAAAGTCGAGGTATAAATACAAATTACCTTTAATCCCACTACTCGTTAGGTTTTGATCTTTCCCTGTGTGTACTGAGATCATCCTGTATAGTTTATGATACATTCATGTCACTTAATTTCACCTTCCCATATTACTTTCCCAAGATTCCCAATGACTATTTAATATTCTAATGTCTTTAAAGACATTTACTATTCCACTGTTGGTGGACAGTTTGCAGTTTCTACTTTTTTGCGGTGAGTATATCCTACATGTACCTGAGTCATTGATTACTTCTTTTCCAGACAAATGCCTAACAAATAGAACTGGGTGAATGTGTGAATTATGTGGCTTTAAATGTTACAGGGAAAATGATTTTCGCAGATAGTAACGGTCAAGGTCATTCACCTTTATGTTAGAACTTTTTCTCTGTGAACAAGCAAACTGTACTATCATTCTTCTGGCCTCTGGTGTTAAAACTGACAACTTTCAGATTTTAGATGGTCCCCGTTGGGTCAGAAATATCAAGAACAGATAAATTACAATTTAAGGTGAGCAGAATTCCTATTTTGATCTGCACCCAAACAGGCTAGGTTCATATTGGTATTTATGTTTGCATCTGATTCCAGATGTTACTAGTTTGAATTTCTACTGGAGTAGGAATACCCTTCCAAATGATGCATAATTCCTACAAAAATCTCAGGGGCAAATTATAAAAAGAATGGTATTCCAGAAATAACAGCTGGCAGGCAAAATATTAATGAAATAATTCTGAAATAAAACAAGTTTGAATCCTGTATGTTATATGGTACTGTTTTGGGGCATTTGTTAGAAAGTATTTTAAAGCTACTTGGATTTGTTGTACACCTTTAGTAATGAGGCTATCCATGTTGTTAACCTCTCCCATCCTTTAGGACTATGTAAAAGGCAGGTTTTTGTTCCTTCTTTTTTTTTTTTTTTTTTTGAGACGGAGTCTCGCTGTCGCCCAGGCTGGAGTGCAGTGGCGCAATCTCGGCTCACTGCAGGCCCCGCCCCCTGGGGTTCACGCCATTCTCCTGCCTCAGCCTCCCGAGTAGCTGGGACTACAGGCGCCCGCCACCTCGCCCGGCTAATTTTTTGTATTTTTAGTAGAGACGGGGTTTCGCCGTGTTAGCCAGGATGGTCTCGATCTCCTGACCTCGTGATCCGCCCGCCTCAGCCTCCCAAAGTGCTGGGATTACAGGCGTGAGCCACCGCGCCCGGCTTGTTCCTTCTTTTGAGCTCTCATCATAGCCCAGGTTCAAGATCATCTTAGGCAAGTATTTCATGAAATAATGTTCAAGTTCATGAATTTCCAAAATTCTTTAATTGGTAAGTGTAATGCCCAGCAACTTAAAAAACACACACTGAAGCACAGCAACTCATATTGATAGGTAAAAAAAGTTACAGGACACAAAGGGCCCTTACTAATTTGACAAAATAGAAAGACCAGGTCTGTTGTTCTTTCTCTGATATGATTTATCTTGCAATTGCTGGATTTGAGTGGCAATTTGGAAGTATCATCTGATACCAATGTGATATATAGCTAGGAAAGACCAATGATAGGTGAAGTCCTTACCATAAAATGTTTCGAAGAGCTTCTCAAGACAGTTGTTTCTATTTAAAAGGGAAGATATAAAGAGCTAGGTTATCTCAAACAATCCTGTGAAAGAAGTTTAAAAAGATTTAAGAAGGAGAAAGAGGGAAGGGAAGCTTCCTGGGTATGACACCATTTGCAAGGTCACAACGAACACCCCAACGGAGTGCAGACCTTTTCTTCTCTGTTGGTACTAGATAATTGTTTGGGACATATATATGCTGAGGTTTGGATTGGGGTTCTGCTCGACAAAGCATCTGCTCTCGGACACCCCAGCGTAATTCCTTTCTATGATCTTCACCAGGTAAACGTATTGAGTCCCAGTCCCGTTTGTACTCAAAATACCGGGCTACCCGGTCTGTCTTGCCCCGGTTTCGGCTTAACTGGTCCAGCTTTGGGAGAATAAAGGACTTGGGTCTGCTGGCAACAATCAGGTCTTGTTCGTAAGCTGGAGAGCCCATTCCTTCTCTTTGTAGAGAGCAAATGAGCTGATCTTGAGAAATTCCTTGGTATTCATGTGGTAGGTTAAATTTTTGTGAAACATCAAATGAAGATTCCTTGTCTTCCTGGAACTGTACATTCATCAGCCTTTGTCTTAAGTCCCAGAGATCCTGATCATTTTCTGTACCAGATTCTGATTCACTGATAATCGACTCATCTGTTACTAATACTTCCCCATCTGGCTTTCTGCGCAGCACCTTTCTCTTCATCACTGGCTTTCGGAGTCTTTGGGAGGCCTCAGAGACTGTTTCTGAAGGGACATTACTTTCTACATGTGGGTACTGTAGTTGCACAGGAAGAGCAGGTCGCTTCCCTGGGGCTACTGAAGCTTTACTGTAGGGATCATATTGGATAGATTGGGCTTCTCTCCTGACATCTCCTTCACCCTGCCCTGCACAGATGTGGGTAAAAGCTGTAGCAGCTGCCAACATTCGTTCTTCTGGATCCATATTAGCCCATATTTGTCCATCAGGTAGAAGTTCTTCCATTGCTTCCCCTACACTGTAGGACCTTCTGCAAGAGATAACATTGGTCAGTTTTCTGATAATAAATTCCCAGCTCATAAATTGCTCATTCCCTTATCTCCGTTTTATAGCAGTCAAATGGAGAAAGAATGGCTAAGGCCATCATAAATTCAATACAGGGTAGTATCAGAACAGTTTAGAGGGGCATTAACTCAGTTCTAGGGAATCTATTACCTGCTTTCATTTCCACTCTTACTCCTGCTTTCTACTGTCTTGCCACCTTCAGGTCCTAAAACAGGACAGTATAGTTCTGGCATAAGAAAAGCTTGAAACTACATGATATGGGGCATACTGCTTAATGCACATTATGTAACAGGTACTTAGGGAGTACTTTATGTGCCTGCCATTGTTCTATGTGCTTTACATTTATTAATTCATGTAATTTTCAGCTGTGGGATTATCTGCTTTTCACAGATGAATAACATGAGGCACAGGGAAGTTAAATAACTTGCCCAAGGTTACTCAGCTAGTAAGTAGTGGAGCTGAAATTCTAACTCAAGCAGTTTGGCTTCAGACTGAGTCCCTGCTTTTAACCATAAAAGAGTGATTTGATCTAAAAAAAAAAAATCACAAAAGCAGTGTTGTGTTCTCTCACACACATATAATGTGTATATACGTGCATACATATAATTTCTATGCTTTAATAATTTTTTTTTTTGAGATGGAGTCTTGCTGTCACCTAGGCTGGAGTGCAGTGGCATGATCTCGGCTCATTGCAACCTCCACCTCCTGGGTTCAAGCGATTATCCTGTCTAAGACTCCGGAGTAACTGGACTACTACAGGTGTGGGCCACCACGCCTGGCTAATTTTTGAATTTTTAGTAGAGATGGGGTTTTACCATGTTAGCCAGGCTGGTCTCAAACTCCTGACCTCAGGCAACCCACCCGCCTCGGCCTCCCATTACAGGGGTGAGCCACCGCGCCCAGCTGTCTTGGTAGTTTTAATGCATCTTCAGTTGCCAGCTAAATCTGTTTATTCTAGTGTCTGAAATAACTTGGTATCCACATCAATCAGCCACATACCCAATGCTAGTTTCCTGACTGGATCTGAGATAGGTATCTACTGTCCACTATTTCCTGTGTCCCCACTATTTTTCTTTTTAAACTGAAAAACTAATACATGCACATGATAATTTTAAGCAAGGATTTTCCCTCCCCCACCAAGTTTTACTCTCAAAGGCAATTTCTTATGATTTATCTAGAAATTTTCCATATTCACATGTACATTTTTTTTTAATACCGTAAAGGACAACACTACACAACTCTTCTGAACCTTAAAGATAATCTTGGTTATCCAGCTATATCAGCACAGGCCGACATTCTTCATTTTATGTTGCGCGGAATTCCAATGTATGAATGTATCATAAATTTAGTCAGCCATTCCCTTACTGGTGTAATTTAGGTTTATAGGTTTACTGATGCTAACACGAGTATCTTGCAAGTTTTTATCTATTTGTGCAAGCATATGAATGGATTAAATTTCTAGACATGGGAGAGGTGGGCCAAAAGGTATGTGTATATTCAATTTTGACAGCTGTTGCCAAAATGTTTACCTCCAAAGAAGCTGTACTGACCATACATTAATAGAGCTTGTGTCTCTATTCCCTCTCCAAAGTGGTATACTATCAAACTTTGTCTTTGCAGTCACTTCCTTGAAAAATAGTTCATATCCTTTTGCATTTATCTCAGCTGAGTAAAATTGAGCATTTAAAATTTTTTTTAAAAAATTTTTATAAGCTTTTTTCTTTTTGTTTGAAATGCTTGGTCTTTGCCCATTTGACTCTCAGGTTGCTGGATTTTTTTTTTTTTTACTTTTTCATTAAAACTGATGTATATATTCATGAAATATATATTGAGGAAGGTCGCACTTTACCATCACTTATTTTTTTCTTCTCAGTTTGTCATTTGCCTTTTATTTTTTGCTGGCAGAAGTTTTTCCTTTTAGGTCACATCTTTTTCTAGTGTCTGGGTTTCTAGACTGTTTTGCTTAGAAATGCCTTTCCTACTCCAGAATTTCAGAAAAAAGTCATTCCATGTTTTCTTCTAGTACTTTCAGTTTCATTTTTTACAATTTAAACTTTTAATCTATTATAGATACAGAAACTCATAGTAAAAAACTAAGCTACCTATACTTAGATAACATGGCCTTAGAACAGATGTGGAGATGGTCTTCTCTAACTAAAGTAACCATCAGTCACAGATTGTCTAGGACCATCCCAATTTTAAGGATGTAGTACAGTTGTCCTCAGATTATTGAAATATTACAGGAATTTCTACACTGACATCTACATTACATCAGACTGACTTTTTAAACTATTAGAGGCACAGAAATCTTTTATCAAAATATGCATTTAATTCAGCTTTAGAAAGGGGTCAGAGTGCTTAATTATCTTTTTTTCTCCCATCAAAATTGCTTAAAGTGAGAAAATCTTGTCTCTAGCTTCTACTTCCAATGTGAAATACAACCATCGGTAAGCTTCTTCAGTTAGGCTAGCTTCTATTGCACCACCTAATATTCATCTAATGAATATTAGATGATGGAGCATACAAGTCATTTATTTGAGATAATGGAAAGCAATAGAAACTCAGAGCAGATAAAAGTAGCCCATATAAAGAAATCTTATGACTAGCAAATTGAACAAATACAGTGAGAAATCAAATGGAAATGTTTTAGAGAAAAAAATCTGTAACATCAGTCCTCAATCAATTCAGTGAAGATAGAGAAATGAAATCTATAGACATTCTCCCTGAATTTTGACTGCTTTAATGAAACCTTAATAATGACAACTGAATAACAAACAGTTCTTTCCCTCTGTGAACTGGCCAGACAGGATGGAAAAGAATGCTATCTGTGGATGATCAACCCACAATAAAGCTAATGCTTGTATTCCTGGAAAAGCAAAAGTATATTCTTTGGGCATTAAATTAAATCTTATATACCATTAGAACATCATCAAAGGAACTAGCATTGAAACTGTTGTATCCCTTTGCTCTCTTTTCAGACAGGGCAGACCTGTATGGTTCGTTTATTCCTGGGGTTGTCATATCATGGCTTATAATGACACAGACAGAAACCAGACTGAGAAGCTCCTAAAAAGAGTACGAGAACTGGAGCAAGAGGTGCAAAGACTTAAAAAGGAACAGGCCAAAAATAAGGAGGACTCAAACATTAGAGAAAATTCAGCAGGAGCTGGAAAAACTAAGCGTGCATTTGATTTCAGTGCTCATGGCCGAAGACACGTAGCCCTAAGAATAGCCTATATGGGCTGGGGATACCAGGGCTTTGCTAGTCAGGAAAACACAAATAATACCATTGAAGAGAAACTGTTTGAAGCTCTAACCAAGACTCGACTAGTAGAAAGCAGACAGACATCCAACTATCACCGATGTGGGAGAACAGATAAAGGAGTTAGTGCCTTTGGACAGGTAAGGGCCAATACACTGTTTCTCAAAGCAAGCAATACTAGGATATTCTAGGTATACACACTGAGTACTGAGATTATTTGTGTCTCTAAAACCCAGTATCTTTGTCTAACTCCACAGGTGATCTCACTTGACCTTCGCTCTCAGTTTCCAAGGGGCAGGGATTCCGAGGACTTTAATGTAAAAGAGGAGGCTAATGCTGCTGCTGAAGAGATCCGTTATACCCACATTCTCAATCGGGTACTCCCTCCAGACATCCGTATATTGGCCTGGGCCCCTGTAGAACCAAGCTTCAGTGCTAGGTTCAGCTGCCTTGAGCGGACTTACCGCTATTTTTTCCCTCGTGCTGATTTAGATATTGTAACCATGGATTATGCAGCTCAGAAGTATGTTGGCACCCATGATTTCAGGAACTTGTGTAAAATGGATGTAGCCAACGGTGTGATTAATTTTCAGAGGACTATTCTATCTGCTCAAGTACAGCTAGTGGGCCAGAGCCCAGGTGAGGGGAGATGGCAAGAACCTTTCCAGTTATGTCAGTTTGAAGTGACTGGCCAGGCATTCCTTTATCATCAAGTCCGATGTATGATGGCTATCCTCTTTCTGATTGGCCAAGGAATGGAGAAGCCAGAGATTATTGATGAGCTGCTGAATATAGAGAAAAATCCCCAAAAGCCTCAATATAGGTGAGTTAAAAATAAAAAATAAATGGCACATGCCTGTAGTCCCAGCTACTCGGGACGCTTGAGGCACAAGAATTGCTTGAAGCCAGGAGGCGGAGGTTGCACTGAGCTGAGATTGGACCACTGCATTCCAGCATGGGTGACAGAGGGAGACTGTCTTAAAAAAAAAAAAAAAGAAATAGCATATCCTCCTCTCCACCGTAACTGTCTAAATAACGAAGTCACTGATTCTGCCTTCATGAAGCTTTACTCTGAATTGTAGAATGTTATGAACATGTAAGAGGGAGCAGTGTATTTTAATTTCCTCTCATTGTTCTATCCCATGAGTAAAGAGGCAGGTGTTTTGACCAGGCTCCTTAAGTAAAAAGACATTAATTTCTACATCATTGGTGTTTCTGAATTTATGTTAAGAGGTATTACTGTTAGGATGTGGTAAAATTAAAATGAACAAACTATTCATATTAAATCTTGCTTGTTTTATATCACTGAGTAGTCATCCTACTGTACTTCTGAATTTTTCCTAATTTCCTATTTCCAAAATGGTAGGAAAGAAAGAATAGTCAAGATTTTTCATTTGAGAACAGGCTGAGATAGATACCAATAATTTTACTCATACTATACAAAATTGCAATGCCATTAACAAATTTGGAAAAAATACCAGCTGTTTTTAATTTTATAGCAGTATGATGGAGCCATGTCTTGTTAGCACTGACATTTACCTTACATAGATCAGGTTGATCTATGATTTGTTGCATTTTTCATTATTGTAATAAAGGTGTTCAAGGTTAGGGATGGTGAGATATTTTCTCAGCTATTAGGCAATATTAACATCAATGGTGGCGCCCTACCCGGCTCCCTTAACGCAACTAACCCTTAGTTTTTAAAGAACTGTTAGATGGATGTTATGTATTCTCAAACTTTCTTTTCTCTTTTTCTCTAGTATGGCTGTAGAATTTCCTCTAGTCTTATATGACTGTAAGTTTGAAAATGTCAAGTGGATCTATGACCAGGAGGCTCAGGAGTTCAATATTACCCACCTACAACAACTGTGGGCTAATCATGCTGTCAAAACTCACATGTTGTATAGTATGCTACAAGGACTGGACACTGTTCCAGTACCCTGTGGAATAGGACCAAAGATGGATGGAATGACAGAATGGGGAAATGTTAAGCCCTCTGTCATAAAGCAGACCAGTGCCTTTGTAGAAGGAGTGAAGATGCGCACATATAAGCCCCTCATGGACCGTCCTAAATGCCAAGGACTGGAATCCCGGATCCAGCATTTTGTACGTAGGGGACGAATTGAGCACCCACATTTATTCCATGAGGAAGAAACAAAAGCCAAAAGGGACTGTAATGACACACTAGAGGAAGAGAATACTAATTTGGAGACACCAACGAAGAGGGTCTGTGTTGACACAGAAATTAAAAGCATCATTTAACCATAGACAATTTGCCAGGATCTAGGAACCACCTAATGGTAGGTGGACAGAAAAGGAAAAAAAAAAAAATTTACTTGCAAGTACTAGGAATTCAGATGATCAGCTCTTAAAAGAAAAAAAAAAGCAAAAAGACTAAAGCCCTATTAAGGAAGTTATTGCTTTAATAAGAAATTTCAAATATTCTCTTATCCCGGTCCAAAAGGATTAAGCGATTAAAGAACGTAAAATGGAGATGTATTTACATACACCTGGAAACCTGTGCCTTGTATTCAAATTCATTAAAGCCTAATCCTGCAAGTATCTGATTTGTTGTGTTTTTCTCTCCAAAGCAGATAAGATATTCACTACTCATCTGAATTTTCATAAAGTGCTGCATCTGAGTGTCTTATTTTCTAAGACAGAATTTAAGAATATTAAATTCATTTAATTAAAGATTGGATAAATTGGTTTAATGCCAGGCACAAAGTTACCTACCTGGAATAAAGCACAGTACCTTATCTTACAAAGCATATAAATCTAGTGCAGAGGTTGGTAAATGTTTTCTGTGAAGGATTAATGAGTAAATGTTTTAGGCTGTGTCAACAACAAATGGCCTCTATTGCATACATGTTTTTACAATCCTTTACAAATCTAAAAAGCACTCTTAGTTCATGGGCCATGGTGTTTGCCAAGCCTTGGGCTAGTGACTATAGGCAAGTTCTTATAGAGGAGATATTGAAGCTAGATCTTGCAGAACAAGTGGGAGCCAGTTAAAATGAGGATAAAGAACCACTTTAAATGTGTCTAAGTCAGAAGATCCAGTTTGTATAAAGGGTTAGAGATGACAACATATGCATTCAGGCAGCTCAATTCTTTAATACGGCTTGAGAGTGACAAGAACATAGTTTAAAAAGGTAAGCACAGGTCACATTTGTAGAGCAAAGACATTCCTTAAAAAGCTTAGATTTTGCAGGGCCACTGAAAAAATTTACATGCCCGATAGAATTGTGTGGCAAAAATATTGCTCTGAGTATTCTGTGGATGGGAAGAGGGCAAGATTGGAGGCACTGTGACCAATTAGGGGGCTGCTGGAGTAATGGAGGCAATAGATGATGAAAATGGCCTAGAAGAGATTTTTAGTGAGGCAAATGGACAGAAGTAGATGAATTTAAGATTAAGAAAGTAGAAACAACAGGACTCAGTGAATAAATATGCTGTTCAAAACTAGGGAGGCTTTCTAGATAACTCCTAAGTTTCAGATGTGAGCAAAATGAGTGGCTGGTAGTACCACATACTGAGAGAGGAAAAATGAGATAGAGCTTTGCTTGTTCTCAAAGTTAATAAGTGATCCTCAAAATATTACTTGTGAACACCAGTATTTATTCAAAAGAACTCAGAGTTGTCTTAAATACATTATCCTTTGCAACCATAAAAATAATAAACATCAAAGTTTGAACTCAGACCTTCTTCCTCAATAATAATTTTCATTACTAAAGTGAGTGTTCACCACATTTGGAATTTTTACAAATGCCACCTCAGAGAATGAGTAATTTTGCAAACTTACATTTGAAGGCTTCTTGTTTATTTTACCTATGATGACTGTCTTGACTTATGTAGTCACTAAATTCTTACTCTTCTAGATTGGATAGTATAATCTAGTCAACCTTGAAAGATTTTACTTAAGATCTAAGACCCTGATCCTCTAATTTACAATTCTACCATGTTTATGAGATCCAAAGTTTTACTTACCAACCAATAATTAGTTTTTTCCTACCCATGTTCAAGACTTCAGGTATACAAATATGTTTTCTATCCTCAAGCTGCTAGTGCAAATAACACATGGGACAATTAAAAACAATACTAATATATAAATCATAAACTAATGCTGCATAATTGCTACAGAAGGGGGGTGGACCACAGAAATAGACTTCACTGAAACAGTTCCAGATTTAGGAAGTAAAATAGCATACAAAAGGTGAGGTGACCCTGTAGTACTAAAAAGTACATTATAATAGCTGTTATATCCTAGCAGACAGGGAACCAGAAAATACCCCATTTTAGAGATGGGGAATTAGTGGTACAAATTACTTAAGATTTATTCAAAATTGCCCATTGTATGATCCAAGTCTTCTGGATTTGAATCATTATCACTGCTTTTTGGGACCCAGTCTATCAACACTTCATTATGTCCTGAGTATTCTTAAAATATAATTACTTTGGCCTTTACTTTTGATTTAAAGATCCTCTTTTTCATGTAATCAATGATCATGGTGGAATAACTTAAATATGTAAGTGCAAACCAAGGTTTTTTTTTTTTTTTTTCAATTTCTTACCTTATTTCAATGTATCTTGATTGGTATTTACATTCAAGTAAAAAAAAAACCTAGAAAAGAAGAATAGAGTTTAAAAAAATTAACTCTGAAGCAGTGATACATGGAACAAAATGCACTAACCATAAGTCATTGTTAGGATACTGTGTAGAAGCAAAGGAATCAGAAGATCAGGGTCTTAGATCTTAAGTAAAATCCCTTCAAGTCTGGCTAGATTATATTATCCAATCTAGAAGAGTAAGAATTTAGTGACTACATTTTTGGTAGTTGCCATAGAAAAAGTCAAGACAGTCATCACAGGTGGAACAAATGGGAAGCCCCCAAATGCAACTTTGCAAAAGTACTTGCTCTCTTAGACAGCATTTGTACAAATCCGAAGTCTCTGGCCCATGGTAAGGACTAAATAAATGTTGGAATAAAGGAACTATTTAGGTTGTGAAATTTAAATGACACTTTTTATATATTTATACATAAATAACGATTTGTGAGACTCTGGGCTAGGAGGATTTTTGGCAGTAAAGCCAAGAGTTAGTTTTTTTTTTTAATGGCATGTGTCCTACTATACAGTGATTAATGTGTTATTTCCTCTGCATTTCAACTGTGTCACACTCCTATTTTTTTCCTTGAACATATGAAGATGATGTTTGCAAACAATAAATAAAATAGAAACTTTAATAAGGTCCATAGGTAACTGTCAGTTCCTTCTCTTTCTAATATAAAAGATCGAACAATCCTTTCTCTTTAGAGGGAAACTTTCACATAAAAGCTAGAGCAACTTGTATTCTGTAAACACAGACAACATTGACCGAAATACCTAACCATATCTTCTCTTCAAAAGTCTTAGTGACTCAGCATCCTAGGGTTAGCTAGTTACAATCAAAAGGATTTCAAGGGTAGAAGGGGCAAAGACTTCAAAATGAGATAAAGGGACTGGGTCAGTAGACTGCTATAGGGAGGCTATTGCAGAGTTATAACAAATTTCTCCACCTCTGGGGAGGTAAGCAAGCAGCTTAAAGAATCACAGTATTAAAACAAAACAAAACATCCTACCACAAAGGCAAACAATACCATAATGAAGGCAAAAGAGACAACAAACTGGGAGAAATACTTGTAACACGTTTAAAAATCAGTAATTTGAATTCCTCTTAGAAAGCTATTAAAGGGTACACATTATCAGTAAGATAGGGGAGAAAAGACAGATGCCGTACCAAACGAATAATAACTAACAAACAGCTGGGCGCAGTGGCTCATGCCTGTAATTCCAGCACTTTGGAGGCTGAGGTGGGAGGATCGCTTGAGGCTGTGAAGGAGTTCAAGACCAGCCTGTGCAACACAGCAAGACCCCCATCTCTCAAAAAAAAAGAAAAAAGATTAGCTAGGCGTGGTGGCATAAACCTGTAGTCTCAGTACTATGGGGGCTGAAGCAAGAGGACCGCTTGAACCCTGGAGTTTGAGGCTGCACTGAGCTATGATCTGGCCACTGCACTCCAGCCTGGGCACAAAGCCAACGTCTGTTTCTAAACAGCAACAAAAATTAATAAACAGAAAACATGTTCAATTTCAGTAATGTGTATAAAAGCATTAAGACATCATTTCAGATTGATAAGATTTTTTCAGTACCCGGTGCTGGCAAGTGTGTGAAGAAATAAAAACAAGCATCCTTATTATGCCCTGTGTGTTGGGGATAATCCGTTTTTCCAGAGGGCAGTTTGGCATTATTATTATTGTTGTTGTTTTTTGAGACGAGTCTCTCTCTGTCGCCCAGGCTGGAGTTGCGGTGGCCTGATCTCGGCTCACCGCAACCTCTGCCTCTCAGGTTCAAGCGATTCTCCTGCCTCAGCCTCCCGAGTAGCTGGGATCACAGGCACCTGCCACCACGCCCGGCTAATTTTTCTTCTATTTTTAGTAGAGACTTGGTTTCACCATGTTGGCCAGGCTGGTTTCAAACTCCCAATCTCAAGTGATCCGCCCGCCTCCGCCTCCCAAAGTGCTTGGGATTACAGGTGTGAGCCACCGCGCCCGGCCCAGTTTGGCATTTTGAATCAGAATTTAAACTGTACCACAACTTCTAAGTCATAATCCACTTCCAGGAATTTATTCCAAGGACATAAATTGGACAAGAATGCAAACATGTATACATACAAGTGACCACTACCATACCATTTTATGATTATGAAGAGACTGGAAACAAATGTACATTAGTAGGGGACTGGTTAAATAATATATGATACAATACAGCCATAGCAACAAACGCCACGCATCCATTAAAAATGGTAATGCGTATCGACACTGACAGAGAAATGTGTTCCCAATTTATTACTGACTCAATAATGTATAATCTGCTTAACTGACGTTCTTTTAAATTAACATACTTTATTATATTTGTAACATGCAATTATTTAAAACACATTTTATAAGGAAATCACATAAATATAAGGTATATATTATGAATATATCTGAAGTAAACCTAAATGTGAACAGTGTTTGATGGTTATCTGTGACTGATGAAATTTCGAGTATTTTCTTTCTTCTTTACACGTACTAAATGTTGCTCGGATTGCTAAAAACATGTACATACTATGTTTGCATTCTTGTCCGATTTATGTCCTTGGAATAAACTCCTGGAATTGGATTATGACTTAGAAGTTATGGTACTACTTGAATTCTGATTTATGTTTTTCTTTTCTCTTTTTTTTTTTTTTTTTTGAGACAAGAGTCTTGCTCGGTCGCCCAGGCTGGAGTGCAGTGGCGCGATCTCGGCTCACTGCAACCTCTCCCTCCCGGGTTCAAGAGATTCTCCTGTCTCGGCCTCCCGAGGAGCTGGGACTACAGGCGCCCGCCACCAAGCCCGGCCAATTTTTGTATTTTTAGTAGAGACGGGGTTTCACCGTATTGGTCGGGCTGGTCTCGAACTCCTGACCTCACGTGATCCGCCCACCTCGGCCTCCCAAAGTGCTGGGGTAACAGGCGTGAGCCACCGCGCCCGGCCTGAATTCTGATTTATAATGCCAAACTGCCCTCTAGAAAAACAGATTATCCCCAGCACACAGGCCATAAAGGTGCTTGCTTTCATTTCTTCACTCTCTCAGCAGCATGGGGTACTGAAAAATCTTACCAATCTAAAAAGATATCTTAATGTTTTTCTTTGCCTGCTTAGTGAGATTGTATACTGTTTAGAATAAAAAAGATTTATTTCCATTTCGGGGTGGACAAACACCTTGGACGGTTCCATGCTGCAGTCCACAAAAGGTGCAGCTAGAAGGCGACAAGACACGCTCCGCCTTTCAACGGCAAAGCTCGCAGTCGCCCCGCCTGGCCGTGGGCGTGGCTTGGACCCAGGTCGCTAGCGGCCTTCGGGACTCCCCTCCAGCCCTGGGGCCGTCCCCGGCCTCCGCCTGGTCCCAGGGGCGCGGCCCAGGAGCTCAGAAAGGCCACCGGGGCAAAGACCGCGGCGGCGGCCAGCGCACACCGTGACCTCCAGGGGCTGCGGCCCGCCGCGCACATCGCCTGTAGCTCACGCTGCCCCGGCCGCCTCCCTCAGGAACGCAGACGTTGGGGACGGCTCGCCAGGCAGGACCTGGAATCCACGGAGGGAAGCTGCCACTCTGCACCGTCCCGACGGTGGGAAAAGGAGCGAGGGCTCCCGCCGCAGTGGGCCGGCAGCCACCAGGTCCCCGCGTCCCTCCGCTTCCGGCCTTCGCCCGGCTTACCCGCGTCGCGGAAGTCCGCTCTCTGCACCGCGTCCTGCCAGTCGCCAGCAGAGCACCGCAGATTCTGTTAGCTTTCGCGTAACTTGCGCAGGCGCACTGCCGGCCCACGCGCCGAGCCTGCGGTTAACCGCCGACCGCTGAGGTTTAAATCCGGAGAGCGAACCGGCACCCTTGGCCCGGTCCGCCCTCCCTCTTATTGGTCCTGAGGGTAAACGTCCTCCAAGTCTGTATCCTGATTGGCGCACATTTTGTCTGGGCCTTCTCCGCCGGCGGGAGCATGCCCGGGATTTCCAATGTGGCCTTAAAAATATCCGAGCCCGCCTAGCTGAGGCGCGCAGGCAGCAGCCGTTGCTGCGACGCCTCTGGTGTACTAAATCTGGAGGGGAGGTTGGGCCCTCGAAGAGAAGGAGAAGACCCTCAAACCTTGGCTAACGGCGACATAGCTGGCTTTTTGGAGAGGCCGCCTAACGGTCTGCCACTTCATTGGAATCAGCCTCCGCCCTTCTCAACTGGCTGCTGCGGGGCCAGTGGTGCCGGGAGACGAGGGCGGGCGCTCAGGGACGGTTCGAACAGTCTGGGGTGAGTCCGCCTGTGCGCTCTAGACGTTTCCTTGGGGCCTGAGAGAGCGGCTGTATGAAACCCTGGCGCACTGAGCTCTTCCTTTCCTCTGCATGGTGTGCAGGGCCCTGGCGTGACCCGTGGCTGCGTCTCCACAGCTCCTCCCACGTTACTCTAACTGTGCTCCAGCCACCGACTGCCTTGCTCCGACATGCACTTGTTTTCTTTTGGAATGTGCCTGTCTCCTTCACATGGTGTTACTCTCAACTTTTTTTTTTTTTTTTTTTTGAGACGGAGTTTCCCTCTTGTTGCCCAGTTGCCCAGGCTGGAGAGTAGTGGCGCGATCTCAGCTCTCTGTAACCTCTGCCTCCCAGGTTCAAGCGATTCTCCTGCCTCAGCCTCCCGAGCAGCTGGGATTACGGGCGAGCACCACCATGCCCGGCTAATTTTGTATTTTTAGTAGAGATGGGGTTTCACCATGTTAGTCAGGTGATTCTACCCCCTCGGCCTCCCAAAGCTCTGGGATTACAGTTGTGAGCCTCTGTGCCCAGCCACTAATTTTTTTTTTAAACCCGATGTTTTAACTCTTTTTGCATCTGTACCTGTAAAAAAAAAAAAAAAAAAAAAAAAAAAAATCTAGTGCTTGGGGATTGCTGAGGATGAGATCTGTAAAAGCAAGAGGAGAGGCCCTCAGGGTTCAATATCCTAGTCAATACCAAGCAAACCTATCTCAACTGGTCTTGAGTCCTGAGCATTGCATTTTCCACCTTAAACAAATAGGTGCTAGTTGTCAAGTTCATCTTACACCATTTCTTAAATCCAGGATTCAGTGGGAGGGGAGAAATGTTTAATCCTTTTCCTCCAAACACTTCGTATTATCTCTTACTCTCCCTCTTTGCCTCAGGGCCTTTGTGCTACCTCTAAGGCACTTTGAATTTGTGGGAGGAAGAAAATGGAAAGAACAAAGGAGGGAAGATGACAGAAGTAGGTTGTGGAGATTTGAGTGACTGCCCCTACATCTGCAATATCATAACACTCCTTTAGTGCAGCGGTCCCAACCTTTTTGGCACTAGAGACAGGTTTCATGGAAGACAATTTTTCCATGGCTCAGAGAGGGGGTATGGTTTTGGGATGATTCAAGCGCATTACATTTATTGTGCACTTTATTTCTATTATTATATTGTAACATATAATGAAATAATTATGCAACTCACTGTAATGTAGAATCAGTGGGAGCCCTGAGCTTGTTTTTCTGCAACTAGATGGTCCCATCTGGGGGTGATGGGAGACAGTGACAGATCATCAGGCATTAGATTCTCATAAGGAGCATGCAACCTAGATCCCTGGCTTGCGCAGTTCACAATAGGGTTCACGCTCTTGTGAGACTCTAACACCCCTGTTCATGCGACGGAAGGCAGAGCTCAGGCAGTAATGCCAGATGGGGAGTGGCTGTAGAAACAGATGAAGCTCCTACGGCTTACCCCCTGCCTTGCGGCCTGGTTCCTAGGTGCCTGTCCGTGGCCTGGGGGTTGGGGACCTTTGTTTTAGTGCATATATTCTTTTCTTTCCATAGGAGCAAATTTAATATGCTCAGGTTTTATCTTATGCCAGCATGACTTTTTCTTTGGCTTTGAATCTCCAATCTGTCTTAGAAACCAAAGAGTAGATGGAATCATTTTTCTTCCAGCTTTGAACATCAGCATTCTCCTTATGGATCCCCCAGTTCGTTTCTTTTTCTTTTTTTTTTAATTTTTTTTGAGACAGAGTCTCTCTCTGTAGCCCAGGCTGGGGTGCAGTGGCACGATCTTGGCTCACTGCAACCTCCACCTCCCAGGTTCAAATGATTTTCATGCCTCAGTCTCCTGAGTAGCTGGGACTACAGGCGTGTGCCACCACACCCAGCTAATTTTTGTATTTTTAGTAGAGACAGGGTTTCATCATATTGGCCAGGCTAGTCTTGAACTCTGACCTCAAGCGATCCGCCAGCCTCCACCTCCCAAAGTGCTGGGATTTCCAGCGTGAGCCACTGTGTGCAGCCCCAATTAGTTTCTGTTATCCTTTTTATTAAATTTTGATCTTTGAAAACGTTTAATACATAGCAGCTTGAAGGATCTACTCCTGAATATTTCATATTGCAAGTGGTATCTTGTGTTCTACCCAACCCTGGTTTTTTTGTGGATTGCTTAGTCCTCCAATTTTTCTTAGATCTGATTTAATAATGCTTGTGGTTCCCAGAAATCTACTGAACCCCGGTCAAACCTTAAACAAGAAACTTTAACCATGACCACTTAAAATACAGTATATAGAGAAAAATCCTACTCTGCAAACCAAATCTCATCTTAAAAATTTGTTATGGAAAATTTCAAACAAATGTTAAAAAACCATACATAATGAAGCCCAGTGAACTCAATACCAGATTCAGCAATGATTAACTTATGACCAGTCTTGTTGCTTCTATATCACCACATACCTTGTCTTGTATTATTTTGAAGCAAATACTGAGTATCTGAAATCTAAATATTTCAGTATGATCTCTGAAAAATTAAAGGACCTTTTAAAAGCATAACATAATACTATTTTTGTTTGTTTGTTTGTTTTTGAGACGGAGTCTCACTCTTTCACCCAGGCCGGACTGCAGTGGCGCTATCTCAGCTCACTGCAAGCTCCACCTCCCGGGTTCATGCTATTCTCCTGCCTCAGCCTCCGGAGTAGCTGGGACTACAGGCACCCGCCACCGCACCCGGCTAATTTTTTGTATTTTTAGTAGAGACAGGGTTTCACCATGTTAGCCAGGATGGTCTCGATCTCCTGACCTTGTGACCCGCCCACCTCGGCCTCCCAAAGTGCTGGGACTACAGGCACCCGCCACCGCGCCCGGCCAACATAATACTATTATCACACCTAAAGTAGTTAATATATTTTCTTACTATCATCAGATATCCAGAGTTCAATTTTCTACTTGTCTTTCTTTTTTTAAAGTTTGCTTAACTGGGTCAGGATCCAGTCAAATCCACATGATATGTCAAATCCATATGTTCTTTAAGTTTCTTTTATTCTTTAAATTTCTCCCTCATTTTTTTCCTTGCAATTTATTTGTTGAAGGAACCAGGTTATTGGCCCTGTACAATCTCCCACAATCTGGATTTTGCTGATTACATCTAAGCAGTGTAGTTGAATATGGCTTCCTTACCTTTTGATTGCAACACAGCTCTCTTCCTTATGCTTTCCCCAATTAGGTGTTGTTGGTTTATCAACTCATCAACTTCTTTATGAACTCAAATATTGCTTTCAACTGGTTGTATCATCATGCTTGTTAACCACTCTTTTTTTTTTGAGACAGAGTCTCGCTCTTGTCGCCCAGGCTGGAGTGCAGTGGCACGATCTCGACTCACTGCAGCCTCCGCCTCCCGGGTTCAAGTGACTCTCCTGCCTCAGCCTCCTGAGTAGCTGGTATTACAGGCGCGTGCCACCATGCCCAGCTAATTTTGGTATTTTTAATAGAGACAGGGTTTCGCCATGTTGGCCAGGCTGATCTTGAACTCCTAACCTCAGGTGATCTGCCCGCCTTGGCCTCCCTCCCAAAATGTGAGGATTACAGGCGTGAGCCACCACGCCCGGCCAAGTTAACCACTCCTTTATGATATCTTTGCTTACCTCACCTCTTTGTTGACATTTTCAGACAAACTTTTCAACTATAGTCCTCCCTTGTCTGACTAATTACATCCTGTCGCTAATATTTTCAATTCTTCTCTGTTTAAGTCTTCTCAGTATTGGAGGCAGAACAATAATGGCATAAAGAATAACAAAATGAAAATAACCAGCTTTCCCTTGAGACTGCTGCTCCCTTCTGTCAGCCTTTTTGTCCATTCTCTCTTCCCTATTTTGTTTGCTCAGTTGCTCCTTAAGTCCCTGCATTCTGGATTCTACCCTCATCAGTATATTCAAACTGTACTTTCAAAGGTCACCAGTGATCTTGGTAGTCAGCTCCAATCGTCTTGCTCAGCCCTCATTCTTTTTTACTTCTTAAAAGTATTTGATAAAAAGGCGGGGCGCATTGGCTCACGCCTGTAATCCCAGCACTTTGGAAGGCTGAGGTGGGCGGATCATGAGGTCAGGAGATCGAGACCATCCTGGCTAACACGGTGAAACCCCGTCTCTACTAAAACTACAAAAAATTAGCCAGGCATGGTGGCCAGCACCTGTAGTCCCACCTACTCGGGAGGCTGAGGCAGTAGAATGGCGTGAACCTGGGAGGTGGAGCTTGCAGTGAGCCGAGGAGATGGCGCCACTGCGGTCCAGCCTGGGCGACAGAGCAAGACTCTGTCTCCAAAAAAAAATAAATAAATAAAATAATAAATAAAAAATTTAAAAAAGTATTTGATAATCAATTCTGCAAATATTTAATGAACACCTGTTGTAAGTGCTGTGCTATGTCTTCGTGATTTGATAGTGAATAAAAAGACACAATTTCTGCCCTTATGGAGCTTTTGGTCTGATAGGAGAAATTGACATTGATGAAACAATCACAAATTACAGTTGTCCCTCAGTATAATCTGGGTATTGGTTTCAGGGCCCCTGCATATACCAAAAATCCATGCATACTTAAGTCCTAAAGTTAGACCTACAGAACCCACTTATATGAAAAGGTTGGCCCTCTGTATACCCAGGTTTCATATCTCTCAAATACTGCATTTTCCATTGCCTTTTGTTGAAAAAAATTCACGTATAAGTGAACCTGTGAAGTTCAAACTTGTGTTGTTCAAGAGGCAACTGTATTATAAAATTACAGTTGTGTTCAATGCTAAGGAAAGGCAAATGGTTCAATGAGAACATTTAATAATAGGGAGATTTGGCATAGTGTCACTGAACCAAGAATTGAAGGATAAGTAGGTGAAAGGACGTGGAGGGAAGTGAAGAGGGTGAAAGGAGTTTGCTAGGTAGTGGGAAAAGCATACTCAAAGGTCTATAAGAATGGAAGAGTCAAGAAACAGAAAGACCAGCAAAGAAAATAATGGTAGAGATGAGACTGAGAGATAGGCAGGGGTCAAATCATGCAGGTCCTGTAGGCCAAGGCAAGAGATTTGATAAGAGCTATAGAAACTGAAGTGTTTTAAGCAGGGTTGGGGCATGGCTAATTAGTCAGATAAGGGCTACATATTCAGTTTTGCATTTGAAATTATCTGTTGGCAGCACTGAGGAGAATGGATTTGAAGAGGAGAAGATTGTATGTGAAGTCCAAGTGGGAGATAGTTGGATTATTCCAGGTGGAAGACTGTGGTGGTTTAGGCTAGGAGGATAATAGCCAGAGATTTCAAGAAGGGGATAGAGATAGTTAGTTGCTAGAACTCATGATGACTTGAAATGGATTGACTGGGGTTGGGATGTGAAAGAGAGGCAGGTCATGGATTATTCATAGGATTCCTGTTTGTGCAGCTGGATTCTGTTTTCTGAGATAGGGAATACAGGAAGAAAACTGTTTTGAGAGGCAGAGTTAGATTTTGGGCATGTAGAATTTGAGATACCCTGGGGACTTCCAGGTGGAGATAAAAGTAGGTAGAATATAAGCTCATATTATGGTATCATATTATCTAGGCACAAATTCTGCCTCCTCTACTCCCTGGTTTGTGATAAGGACAAGTTACTTAGCCTACTTTTAAGAAGTAAAAAAGAATGAGGACTGAGCATGGAGCTTAGATGAAACATATGGCCTGGAGATATGGATGTATGACTCATTTGCATATAGGTGGATGTAGTTTAAGTAAAGGGTAAGAATAAAGTCTTCCAGGGAGAAAGTGCAGAATGAAAGAAGGCAGCCTGTGTGATACCAAGTGTGTTCACTGCCTTCTCCTGAAACTCTCATTCGTGGAACTCTGAGAGTACCCTGTCCTGGCTCTCCTCCCACCTCTTTTCTGCCACTCAACTATTGCTGTACCCCAAGTATTGATCCTTTCCGTTTTTTTTTTTTTTTTTAAACCTTGGAGAGCTTAATGGTTTTGTTGCTTCCACTATCCATTTTATGTGGAGTAATTTCAAAATCTGTATTTCCAATCCTTACCTCTTTCCTGAGTTTCTAATATCTACCTTAGCTGTATTCTAGAATTTCTACATAGATGTCTTTTCATCTTCCCAAATGCAACATATCTGAATTTTTTTTTTTTTTTTTTGAGACAGAGTCTTGCTCTGTTGCCCAGGCTGGAGTGTAGTGGCGCAATCTCAGCTCACTGCAAACTCTGCCTCTTGGGTTCATGCCATTCTCCTGCCTCAGCCTCCCAAGTAGCTGGGACTGCAGGTGCCCGCCACCACGCCTGGCTAATTTTTTTGTGTTTTTAGTAGAGACGGGGTTTCACCATGTTATCCAGGATGGTCTCAATCTCCTGACCTCATGATCCGCCCGCCTCGGCCTCCCAAATATCTGAAATTTTTATTACTCATCTTTCCTCTCTGGATTCACCTTGCGATTCCCCTGTTTCTATCTGTGGTATTAATCACTCCCAACACTTAAGCATTTTTTACTCTTTCTCATCCCCATTTTTCTAACAAACATTACATTATTCAGCTTTATTTCTCTCCTTTCCATTTCCTTTTTGCTACTAATTACTAGTTCAGTCCTAATTATTTCATTCTTGGATTCTTTCAGTAACACATTTAATAATATGGGAGGACATGACTATCAAAAGATACGATTACAGCAAATTTAGCTTCAAGTTCAAATTGGCTTTTATTTGTGATTCCAGAATCAACACCTCATTTTATAAAATAGAATGAGTGTTCAGATGAAGTGAGCAGAGGAGTTTGGCTTCATAGGCAGAAAAGGGTAGAAGAAAGCAGAAATGGAACAAAAAGTAGATTGGTCGGTTCAAAATTTCTTTCCTTATAGTGTTAAAACAGGGAACATCCTCATCATGCTAGCTTAGGTAATCCGTACTCCTGATTGGCTGCTATGAATCTTCTGTTTTTGGAAAACTGGCCTGTTTCAGAGGTCAGTTTGATTATGTGGCACCTAATGTGAACGACTTCATTCTGGTTGGTTTGATCTCTTGGAACCTCGTGCAGGAAGCTAGTCCAAACAGTGGCCTCCCATACTTTGTTTACATGGCATAGTTCAGAATATAAGCTCATATTATGGTGTCATATTATCTAGGTACAAATTCTGCCTTCTCTACTCCCTAGTTTGTGATAAGGACAAGTTACTTAGCATCTCTTTGACTCAATTTTCTCACTTATAAAATGGGGATAATACACTTGAGCATGGGAGGTAGAGGCTGTAGTGAGCTATGATCACACCACTGCACTCTAGCCTGGACAACATCTCACCCAGGCTAGAAATCTCACCTTTGAAATCTCTTAAATGATAAGAGTGGCTTTTGAATGCTAGTGAGATGACTGGTTGCAGGATGGGGGCTGGTCACCAGAAAGACCGAGGCATGATGAGTGTTGGGACTTTCAGCCCCATCTCCCAGCCACCAGGGAGGGGAGAGAGGCTGCAGACTGAGTTGATCACCAATGACCAGTGTAATCAATCATGCCTATGTAATAAAGTTTCCATAAAAAGTTAAAAGGATAGCTTGTGGGGAGCTTCTGAATAGCTGAACATATAGAGGTTCCTTGAGGGTGGCATGCTCAGAGAGGGCATGGAAGCTTCATACCCCCCTCACATGCCTTGCCCTATGTACCTCTTCCAGCTGGCTGTTCATCTGTATCCTTTGTAATATCCTCCGTAATTAGTGAGTTGATGTAAGTAAAATGTTTGCCTGAGTTCTGTAAGCTGCTCTAGCAAGTTAACTGAATCTAAGGAGGGGGTTGTAGGGGCTCCCAATTTATTGCTGGTCAGTCAGAAGTATGGGTGACAGTCTACTACTTGTGACTGGCATCTGAAGCGGGGGGAATTCTTGCGGGCCTGAGCCCTCAACCTGTGGGATTTGACCCTATTTCCAAGTATATAGAATCATAATTGAACTAGAAGACACCCAGCTGATGTCCACTGCAGAGCTGATTGCTTGGTGTGTGGGGAAATAACTCCCACACATGTGGTGTGGGAAGTGTTGTGTTGAGTGGTATGTGAGAGTGGAGGGGAAAAAATGTTCACTAATTCAATTTCCTTTGTAGGGTTGTGATGAGAATTAAATTAAAAAGTGCATGTTAGCACAGTGTCTACCAAGTAATAATAACTAAATACATTATAGATATTGTATAGTATTGTTATTCTTTATTCTTACTCTTATTAGATGAATAGCTCCCTGCCTTCCCTTATATCTCTCTTGGCTCAATCCATCCTACGTCATTGCCAGATGAATCTTCCTAAAACTTTAATCAAGTTATTCTGCTTAAGCACTTGCAGTGACTTCTCTTTGCCAGAGTAAATTCAGTTTGCCTGGGTTCCTGCACAATCTGGAGCCATCGTGCCTTTTCAGTCTTATTTCCCCTCTACTCAAGTCCTCTACTCTAGCTAGTTTTGTTTCTTCGCTGTCCTGAAAGCCACTTGGTTTATTTAACTCTGTGCCCTATACTGCCTTCTTTATCTAGATTGACCTCTCCTCTCTTTCCAAATCCTGTGGAGCTCTTGAATTCTCAGCTCCAACTCACCTCTTCTACCAAGCCCTGCCTAACTACCCTTAAGCCATCGGAATCTGACCATCTTTGAAATTTTTGTAGCACTTGCTTTTATTTGTCATTTAACATCTACAACATTTAGATCGAGACTGTTACTATTCTGTTTAGTCTTATCTTTTCTTCTTGAGATGCTCATTCCTTTCCAATCTTACTTTCTGATATTTCATAATGTGAACCCTTCACCAGTATGTTTACTAAACACTCAAATGTCAGCTCTGATGATGATGGACAATCAAAAATGTCCCCAGACATCACCAAATGTCCACCGTGAGGTCAACATATCCAGGATTGAGAATCAGCATCTAGTATTCACAACATCTAGCATTGCTACATGATGATGATGATGATGAAGAGATGATGTACATTTCCACTGATAGTCATACACGGCCTTCTCTGTTTATGTCTTTCCAGCAATCACAAAGGCAGTGTGTTATACAGGAAACAGCAACAAAGGATCAGGAATCAGGAGACTAAAGTTCTGGTCTCAGTAATTTGCTCTCATAATTTGGATAAGTTAGTCAGTCTGTGTTTCAGCTACTTCACCTACAAAATCAATAGTTAAATGAGATATTGTTAATTGCTTCCATTCTAAAATTCTTTTCTTCTTAAATCTATTTTTTAAAGGCCAACTCATTTTTCTCAATTATTCTTACTTACATATTAAGCATTTTTACTCACAATTTGCCTTACTGTTATTACTTTTCCAAGTATATGTGTCTTATTCTCTCAAGAATATTAAGCTTTTTGGGGCACCATATGTCTTACATTTGTTGTTATTCATAACATCTAGTATTGCCACATGTACAATGAAAATCAAGTTTGGTTGAATTAATTTTGCTTTATTTTCATTTTTGGTAATTTTAGCCTTGGGATCCCTCAGAAGAAGAACATTTAGTTACTACCTTTCACTTAGTAATTTATTTCACTTAGTTCCTGTCCTGAAATTACTAATAATAAATGAGATTCCTCATTTGGGAGGGACAGATGTTGTAAATGTTGATGCAGAGTGAAAGATATTAATGTTGTAAATCAGGGTTTCTCAACCTCAGCACTATTGACGTTTTTGTCTTGATACTTCTTTTTTTATTTTTAATTTAATTTAATTTAATTTATTTTATTTTATTTTTGAGATGGAGTCTCACTCTGTCGCCCAGGCTGGAGTGCAGTGGTGCAATCTTGGCTCACTGAAAGCTCCGCCTCCCGGGTTCACGCCATTCTCCTGCCTCAGCCTCCCGAGTAGCTGGGACTACAGGCACCCGCCACCACGCCCGGCTAATTTTTTGTATTTCTAGTAGAGACGGGGTTTCACTGTGTTAGCCAGGATGGTCTTGATCTCCTGACCTCATGATCCACTTGCCTCGGCCTCCCAAAGTGCTGGGATTACAGGCGTGAGCCACCCGCCCAGCCTTGTCTTGATACTTCTTTGTTATGGGGGCTGTTCTGTGCATTTTAGGATGTTTGGCAGCATTCCTGGCCTCTACCCACTAGATGCAGCAGCACTCTTTCGATTGTGACCATCAAAAATGTCTCTAGACATCACCAAAAGTCTACTGTGGGAGTTACAACATCCAGGATTGAGAATCAACTATTTTAAATAAAAGGAAGACTAGACATGCCAGATTGTGAGTGAGGTTTTCTTGTATTTCTTTTCTTTTCTTTTTTTTTGAATTTTACTTTAAGCTCTGGGATACATATGCAGAATGTGCAGGTTTGTTACATAGGTATTCGTGTGCCATGGTGGTTTGCTGCACCTATCAACCCGTCATCTAGGTTTTAAGCCCCTCATGCATTAGGTATTTGTCCTAATGTTCTCCCTCCCCTTGCCCCCCACCCCCTGACAGGCCCCCATGTGTGATGTTCCCCTTCCTGTGTCCATGTGTTCTCACTGTTCAACTCTCACTTATGAGTGAGAACATGCAGCGTTTGGTTTTCTGTTCTTGGGTTAGTTTGCTGAGGCTGATGGTTTCCAGCTTCATCCATGTCCCTGCAAAGGACATGAACTCGTGAATGAGGTTTTCTTTACATCATATTTCTTTGTATCTGATTTACTTCTTAAATTTTTAGAAATAAGAGATCCTCTGTCACTTTATCCAATTACCTCCACTGGTAACATCTTGCAAAACTACAGTGCAATATCACACAAGGATATTAACACTGATAAGGTCAAGATAAAGAACAAAGTTCCCTCATGTTGCCATTTTATATCCACACCCAATGTCTTTCCACCCTAACTTCCTATTTAAATGGAATCATACAGTATAGAACTTTTTGGGATTTTTTTTTTTTCACTCAAAAAATTATCTGGAGATTCATCCAGGTTGTTGTTCTTTTCCATTGTTGAGCAGTATTCCATGGCTTGGATGTATCACAGTTTGTTTAAACATTTACCCGCTGGGGGACATCTGGATTATTTCCATTTTTTTTTTTTTTTTGCAATTTTGAACAGTGTTACTATAAACATTCACATACAGATTTTTGTGTGAGTATGTTTTCATTTCTCTGGGATAAATGCTCAAGAGTACAGTTGCCTGGCTACATGGTAGTTGCATGTTTAGTTTTAAAAGAAACTGCCAAACTAATTTATTTTCATGTACATTTTACATTCCCATCAGTGGTGTATGAATGATGCAGTTTTTGTGCATCCTCACCAGCATTTGGTGTTGTCAGTTTTTAATTTCAGCCACCCTCTAGGTATGTAGTAACATTCCATTGTGGTTTTAATCTACATTAAATTCAATGTAGCTAATAATGTTGAAAATCTTTTCATGCATTTTTTATTTGAATATTCTCTTTAGTGAACTGTTTTCATGTCTTTTGCTAATTTTCCAGTTGTATTATTTATTTTTTTAATGTTGAATTTTCAGAGTTCTTTATATATTCTAGATACTAGTCTTTTGCCAAATAGGTGGTATGAAAATATGTTCTCCTGGTCTATAGGTTGTATTTTTATGCCCTTAATAGAGCCTTTCACCAAGCAAAGCTTTTAAAATTTATTAAGTCCAATTAATTAATTTTTCCTTTTATGGATCATACATTTAGTGGCAAGTCTAAGAACTCTTTACTTAGTTCCAAATCCCCCAAATTTTCTCCTTTTTTTCTAAAAGTTTTATATAGTTTTACATTTTGTATATTTAAGTCTGTGATCCATCCTGAGTTAATTTTTGTATAAGGTGGATATGGTTTGGATATGGTTTGTTTGTCTCCACCAAAACTCATGTTGAAATTTGATCCCCTATGTGGTGATGTTGGGCTGTGGGACCTAGTGGGAAGTGTTTGGGTTTTGGGGGTGGATCCCTCATGAAATGGCTTTGCATTCTCACTCTGGCAACACAGGAATGGATTAGTTCCCATAAGAGTGGGTTGTTATAAAGCCCAGATGCTCTTCAGGTTTTCTCTCTTTGTACCTGTTCTCTTCTCTTTTGACCTTGTCTGCCATGTTATGACACCCTCACCAGAAGCCAGGGTGGCCATGTCCTTGAACTTCCAAGCCTGCAGAACCATGAGCTAAATAAACCTCTTTTCTTTCTAAATTACCCAATCTCAGGTGTTTAGAGAATGGTTTACCCTTAGAGAATGGTTCTGGTGAACTTCTGGATTTAAAATCTCCTTACTAATTAAGTACTGTTTTAACTGGGGGCAGAATGTGTGCCTTAAAAGAACGTAGGGACCTAATGGCTGTTTTCCTGCTGATGGGACAGTATCAGAACTAAAATTTGGCTTTGGAGGACATTTTACTCCTAATTGTTGAAGGCAGTGTTTTCGCATTCACAGAAGGGGCATAAAGCCTGGTCTCTAGTATAGGGGTGCAAAAAGGGAGGAGAATTGGGAGGCTAGAGTGTTACAGCAATGGACCAACGCTGTGCCTCATGGAGAGGATTCCTATTCCACTAGGTGGCGACGTTGACCTAGAAATACCGTGCGCTTCCCAGAGGAAGGGTAGAGGGAGAAATGCTTATTGAGAAGGGCTCTTTGCTCCTAGAAAATGACAGAAAACAGCATTCCCTTGTGCTATATTCTCAGTTACTATGGCATTCGCTAATCTTTCCTAACAGGACTATTTTCCTGAACTGTAAAAATTCTCAAACACTGCATACACAGAGAGGATAGGAGACATGGCCTTTGCGGATAGGAAATGAGGAAATTTTGCGATAGGACAGCTGTAGATCCTGTTGCGGACACCCAGCCGGGCAGTTGGAGGTGGGGTCAGTCCAGAAGCCTTCAGATAACACCAGGGTGTAGTCCTGGCGAGAAATCTTCAGTTGCTTCAGGACCTTTTCTAGCCCCACGCGACGGCTAGGTCCTCCGTGAGAGAAAACTGGTTCGAGAAGCATGGCCAACATTCCCAATGATCCGTGAGTATTGAGAAGTTCTCCATGTTCTCCCAAGCAAGCCTAACATCTGAGACTTCCCGCATGGCGGCCGCCCTATTAGCATTTAGGTGGCTATAGGATGCCCATTGTTTGAACTTAAGATGGAGGCCGAGAGCCTCCAAATGAAAGGACAGAGTTGAAAGTTAAGTTCTGCGCCTGTACTCACCCCTCTGATGAATATACCTTCTGTTCTGATTCTGATCCTGGGCGAGTCCCCACAATGAAGTGGTGTTGTCTGTCTGGGGAAATAACTGAGGTTCGTTGTCTCGCGCTAAGGAGAACAAAGATGTGGGCACACAGGGAATGGGTTTAAGAGCAGAAAGTTTAATAGGTGAAAGAAACAAGAGGAAAGCTCCCCTGTGCAGAGGGAGGGGGTTCCGAAGGGATCTCCCGGGTTGCGGTGGGAAGCGGCTGGTTTTATAGAGGGCTTGAGGAGGCAGTATCTGATTTACATAGGGCCTAGGGATTTAGTTGGACCAAGTGTGCCATTTACATAGTCCACAAAGAGGCTGGCCATCCCACCCTAATCTTTCTTTTATTAGGCAGATGTGGTTTCCACCTGGCCGGTGCCATGACACCCACACACATGGCGACAAGGAGAAGGGAGAAGAAAACCTATTTGTTGTATATACCTGGCTTTTGGCACAGCTGCCGGGATTCACCTGTGCAAGTTTCCAGCTTGCTTATCTATGCTTGCAGCTTGATTTTTCAGGCTACTTTCTGTTAGAAAAGAAATGATTTGGGGGCTGCTTTCTATTAAAAGAAAAACCTTACCAAGGACTCCTGTACCCTCACTATCTGCCTAAATAATTTCTTAACGCCTATATTATTCCCTTTAAATAAATTTTTTTGTGGTGTTTGTCTTATTGTTATTAGGTTATGAGAATTCATTATACATTCAAGAAATATATAATTCATTATATAAAAATAGTTTTATAAATTAAATATAAATATATAAATATATAATTTATTACATAGTCAGGAAATATATTCAGTCCTTTTTGGGAAATATTTTCTCTCAGTCTATAGTTTGTCCTTTCTTATACTTAACAGTATGTTTTTTAGAGCAGAAGGTTTTACTTTAAAAAATTATTAATATTATTTTGACTGATATCTTTGACTAGAACATTACTGGTGTATAGAAATGGCACTGATATCTGTACATTAATTTTGTATCTTTAAACTTTAACTGAATTCATTTATCAAATCTAAGCGATTTTTGGTGGAGTCTTTAGGGTTTTCCAAATATAAGATTATATCGTCAGTGAACAGGGATAATTTGACTTCCTCTTTTTTAATTTGGATGTCTTTTATATTTTTCTCTTGTCTGATTGCTTTGGTGAGGACTTCCAGTACCATGTTGAATAAGAGTGGTGAAAGTAGGCAACTTTGTCTTGTTCCAGTTCTTGGAGGGAATGCTTTCAACTTTTTCCCATTTGGTATGATGTTGGCTATGAGTTTATTATATGTGACTCTTATTATTTTGATTTATGTTCCTTTGATGCCTAGTTTGGTGAGGGTTTTTATGATAAAGGGATGCTTAATTTTATCAAATGCTTTTTTAGCATCTATTAGATGATCATATGATTTTTGTTCTTAATTCTGTTTATGTGATGTATCTTATTTGTTGATTTGCAAATGTTGAAGCATTCATGCATTTCTGGTATAAAAGTCACTTGATTGTGGTGTATTATCTTTTCAATGTGTTGTTGAATTTGGTTTGCTGATGTTAAATACAGTGAATTCTAAATTTCTCTTCAAAGGATCAGTATGTCAGTATGTTCAGTTCTTTGTTCTCCATTTTAAAGTTTAACTTCCTCATTCTCCTCATCTCCTTGCCTCTAGTTTCAGTAAACAACCTTTTACACCAGTTCTAATCAGTAGTTCACATCTGTTCCCCTGCTCACCTGCTCTGCCCTGAGTCACTCCTGGTCACCTGCTCTGTCCTGAGTCACCTCTGGTCACCTGCTTTGACCTGAGTCACCTTTAGTCACCTGTTCTGTAACCATCCTTCCCACCAAAACTGCTCACCCCACCACTCTGGTTCATAACCCTGCTCTCTTTAAAATAGCCAGGCAGAATTAGCTTAGACTGTGTGGTTCAACCCTTGCCAACAGGGGAATGACACAGCAGTAGGGGCTACCTGCATCAGGGATAAGACCCCCTTCTCCTTCTTTGTTCAGGTGTGCTCTTGCCATTGCTCCATCTGTGAGATGCACCCTTCTACAGAAGTAAATTGCCTTGCTGAGAAAATTTATGCTCGAGTGCTGTTTCTTTTGCAGCACTGAAATACAAATACAAATTTGAGGGCTCATCCAGGATTCCCATTCTCTTCTGGGGAGGGTCTAGATCTCTCCCGTGAGGAGGCATGCCCGCTGCCTTGTTACAGTGGCCTCAGGGGTAAGGAATCAAGACCCACCTAGTGTGATGAATAAACCCAGACTCTCAGCAATGCAGAAAGAAACCAGCTGGCGACTTGGGGGAAAGGATCCTCAGATACAACTGCGACCAGGTAACTCTGTGCACAGACCAAGGTAAGAAATGTCGCAGGGACAACAAAATACTTCCTTGGTGGTGGGGATATTCTGGGGGTTGAAAGTGTGCGTGAATGCAAGGAGCCTCCAGCAGGTGGGGCTAAAGGAAAGGCGAGACATCTCTAATATGAGCGATTGAGTCTAATAGCCCCAGCAAGCCTCCAGAGAAGGCTAGGTGAGACATCTCTAATACGAGAGATTGAGCCTAACCAGGACCCAATGTGGGAAATACCCCAAGCAAGACAAGGAGCAAGAAGGATAAAGATGGTAATAAGGATATTCCCCTTGATAGCCCCCTAGATCTCATGTTAAAATACTGGAAGGATAATGAAGGGACTAAACACAAGAAGAAACAACAAATGATAAAATATTATTATTATTATTATTTTTTTTTTTTTTTTTTGAGACGGAGTCTCGCTCTGTCGCCCAGGCTGGAGTGCAGTGGCGGGATCTCGGCTCACTGCAAGCTCCGCCTCCCGGGTTCACGCCATTCTCCTGCCTCAGCCTCCCAAGTAGCTGGGACTACAGGCGCCCGCCACTACGCCCGGCTAATTTTTTTGTATTTTTAGTAGAGACGGGGTTTCACCGTTTTAGCCGGGATGGTCTCGATCTCCTGACCTCGTGATCCGCCCGCCTCGGCCTCCCAAAGTGCTGGGATTACAGGCGTGAGCCACCGTGCCCGGCCATAAAATATTATTGTTTTATTTGGACTCAGGGCCCTATCCTCAAACCCTCAATCTTCTGGCCAAAGTTTGGGTGGAATGAGAATGTAATGTGCTAGCTTCTAATTCAATATGTTAATGATAAAAGTCCAGTTTCTCAAGAAGAACAGGTCTTTGTTGGAGGCAGGGACCTGTCCTTTTTTCCTTAAAAACAACTAGGGAAGAGCCCAATCTTGCACCTCAAAATGAAAAGTCAGAGGAGCCAGTTCCCATGCCTAAAGACTCCAGCTCATGGGACCCCCTAGACCATCTATGCCTGCTCAGTGTCCCCAATCTTTCCCCTCAGACAGCTGCTGCCGCCTCAGATTCCATTCCAAATCCTTCTTCTGTTCACGTTATCCCTCCTTCTTATAACCCTGACTCTTGGGAATTACCGTCCCAAGAGCCTATTCTCTCCCAACCTAAATACCCCTCTCTAAAAGGACTCCAGTGTGAAGTAGAACATTGTAAAAAAGATAATCAGAATTTCCCATTTCCCTCCACACCTAAGGAGTCAGCCTTGACTCTCTTTCCCTTAAAAGAGGTACCAAAAGGAGGGGGAGCCATTGGCTTTATAAATGCTCCCTTAACCAGTTCAGAAGTCCAGAATTTAAAAAAGGAGCTTAAGCCACCATTAGATGACCCTTATGGAGTGTCAGATCAAATTGATCAATTCTTAAGACCTCAGTTATATACTTGGGTCAAGTTAATGTCCATCTTGGGCATCCTCTTTTCAGGGGAAGAAAGGAGTAGGATTCATAGGGCTGCTATGGTAGTTTGGGAACATGAGCATCCTCCTGGTCAAAACGTTCCTACCGTGGAACAGAAATTCCCTGCCCGAGACACCTGGTGGGACAATAACAATGCAGATCACCGGGAAAACACGCAGGACCTAACAGAGATGATAATAAAAGGAATTCGGGAATCAGTACCCTGAACCCAAAATCTTTCTAAAGCATTTGATATACAATAGGAAAAGGATAAAGGGCCTATGAGATTCCTAGACAGACTGAAGGAGCAAATGAGACAATATGCAGGCTTCAATTTGAATGATCCCCTTGGGCAAGGAATGTTAAAACTCCAATTTGTCATTAAAAGTTGGTCAGACATTTCAAAAAAATTACAAAAGATAGAAAATTGGGTAGACCGGCCCCTAAGGGAACTTCTCAGGGAAGTTCAAAAGATATATGTGAGGAGAGACGAAGAAAAGCAGAAACAAAAGACAAAACTTATGTTATCCACCTTCCAACAGATGGCTCCAAACCCATGTACTTTTAAACAGAACTTCCAGGGAGCCAGAAACTATAAAAGGTCCAAACCCTCCTTTAAAGGACCCAGCCTCCATCTGGAGGACTAAGACCAAGGGGTTTATCAGGCCCCCTAAAGGGTGTGGGGGAGCAAGGTCAAAGAATCCCAGAACTGAGAGGGAGGAAGTGTAAGATAGGTGCTACCAATGCAGAAGAACAGGTCACTTCAAGAGAGAATGTCCCGAACTAAGAAAGGAGAAAGAAGCCCTTCCACTCGTGACTTTTGAGGAAGAATAGGGGAGTCAGGGGCTCTGTCTCTTTTATCTTGAGTCCCACCAGGAGCCCTTGATAAATTTGGAGGTGGGACCTAAACATGAGCTTGTCACCTTTTTAGTTGATTCAGGGGCTGCTCACTCCTCTGTTTGTCCATCTCCTCGATGGACAGTCTTGCCCCAAGACAGACTCCCCTAATCTTTTTGGCCAAATTTTAGAACAAGTGTTAGAAAAAGTGGTCATCCCAAAGCAAATATGCTTGCTCTAGTACATGGATGATATTCTTATATCTGGCGAAGATCTAAAGAAGGTAACTGACTTCTCTACACATATTCTTAACCATCTGCAGTTCAAGGGGCTATGAGTCTCAAAAGGAAAGCTTCAGTATGTAGAGCCTGACGTTAAATATTTAGGCCACTTAATAAGTGCAAGCAAGTGAAGAATAGGGCCTGAATGAATTGAGTGAATCGTGCCCCTACCCTTGCCTCAAACTAAACAAAAACACAGGAAATTTTTAGGGTTAATTGGATACTGCTGCTTACGCATTGACACATATGCACTATACAGTAAACTGTTATATCAAAAACTTGCCCAGGAGAAGCCTGACCATCTCCTGTGGACTCCTGAGGAAGTTGATCAGGTCGAAGAGCTGAAAAAAGACTCATAACCACCCCTGTTTTAGCCTTACCTTCCCTAGAGAAGCCATTCCACCTTTTGTCAATGTGAACAATGGAGTAGCATTAGGAGTGATTACTCGAGAACACAGAGGCTGTCGGCAGCCCATGGCCTTTCTGCCAAAAGTCTTAGATCTGGTTACTTGTGGATGGCCTCAATGCATCCAGTCCATTGCTGCTACAGCAGTATTAGTTGAAGAAAGTAGAAAGTTAACCTTTGGAGGAAAATTGACAGTACGCCTCACCAAGTTAGAACTGCTTTAAACCAGAAGGCAGGGAGATGGCTTACTGACTCAAGAATCTTAATGTATAAGGCCATTCTGTTAGAAAAAGATGATTTAACATTAACCACTGATAATTCACTTAACCTAGCAGGTTTCCTAACAGGGGATCCAAATCTAAAGAGTTTAGATTTAATTGATTACCATACAAAAGTCTGACCAGACCTAGGAGAAACTCCCTTCAGGACAGGATGACACTTGTTTATAGATGGTTCCTCCTGGGTGATTGAGGGAAAAAGACACAGTGGGCATTCAGTAATTGATGGAGAAATTCTTGTAGAAATAGAGTCAGGAAAATTGCCTAATAAGTGGTCTGCTCAAACATATGAGCTGTTTGCACTCAGCCAAGCCTTAAAGTACTTACAGAACCAGGAATGAACCATCTATACCGATTCTAAGTATGCCTTTGGAGTGGCTCATACATTTGGAAAAATTTGGACTGAATGAGGTCTCATTAATAGTGAAGGTCAAGACCTTGTTCACAAGGAGCTAATCACCCAAGTATTGAATAACTTTCAGTTGCTGGAAGACATAGCTATTGTCCATGTTCCCGGACACCAGAAAGGCCTTTCGTTTGAAAGTCAAAGAAATAACCTAGCAGATCACATGCCAAACAGGCTGCTGTCTCCTCTAAAGCGCCTATTTTCCACTTAACTCCCTACCTTCCTCCTCCTACCGTAATCCCCATTTTCTCTTCCACTGAAAAATAAAAACTAATAAATAGGCACTAAAGAGAATTCAGACACAAAATGGATATTGCCAGACCAGAGAGAAATGATGAAGGAAATCTTATCCCAACTACATCAAGGGACCCACTGGGGACCCCAGGCCTTGTGTGATGCAGTTCTCAGAGGTTATGGGTGTATAGGAATTTGTACCCTGGCCAAACAAGTTACAGATAGTTGCTTGGTATGTAAGAAAACTAATAAACGAACTTTGGCAATTGAGACAGGATATAAAGATGCTAATGCCTGGTTAGAATGGATCAAGCATTCTGTCCACACTTTAAACAGAAGGAATTGTTATGCTTGTGCCCACGGCAGGCCAGAGGCCCAGATTGTCCCATTTCCACTAGGATGGTCCTCCAGTCGACCAGACATGGGCTGTATGGTAGCTCTTTTCCAGGATTCCACAGCCTGGGATAACAAGCCATGTCAAGCTCTCTCTCTGCTATATCCTAAAGTTCGACACCCTATGGGTCAGCCCCTGAGGGCCATCCAGCCTCCATCTCCCGAAACTAAGTTCACTTCATGTCTGTCACGACAAGGAGGAAACTTAGCGTTCCTTGGAGACTTCAGCCTCCCAAGTAGCTGGGATTACAGGCACCTGCCACCACGCCTGGCTAATTTTTGTATTTTTAGTAGAGATGGGGTTTCACCTATTGGCCAGGCTGTTCTCGAACTCCTGACCTTCTGATCTGCCCGCCTTGGCCTCCCAAAGTGCTGGGATTACAGGTGTGAGCCACCATGCCCAGCCTACAATACACTTCTAATCCCTGAATATGGGATAGATTTCCTTTTTTTGTTTTCTTTAATTTCTTTCATCAGTGTTTTATAGTTTCCAGTATATAGATTTTTTACTGCCTTGGTTAAACTTACACCTACATGGCCGGGCGTGGTGGCTCACGCCTGTATTCCCAGCACTTTGGGAGGCCGAGGCGGACGGATCACGAGGTCAGGAGATCGAGACCATCCCGGCTAAAACGGTGAAACCCTGTCTCTACTAAAAATACAAAAAATTAGCCGGGCGTAGTGGCGGGCGCCTGTAGTCCCAGCTACTTGGGAGGCTGAGGCAGGAGAATGGCGTGAACCCGGGAGGCGGAGCTTGCAGTGAGCCGAGATCCCGCCACTGCACTCCAGCCTGGGCGACAGAGCGAGACTCCGTCTTAAAAAAAAAAAAAAAAAAAAAAAAAACTTACACCTACATATTTAATTTTTTTGTTGCTATTTTAAATAGGATTATTTTCCATTAATTTCTCTTTTAGATAGTTCATTTTTAGTACATAGGAATGCTACTGATTTTTGTATGTTGATTTTGTATCTTGCAACTTTGTTGAATTCATGTATTAGTTCTTTTGTAGAATCTGTACAGTTTCTACAAACTGTAGAATTTTTTGTAGAATCTGTACAGTTTCCCGTATATAAAATTATGTCATCAGCAAATAGAGACAATTTCACTTCTTCCTTTTTTTTTTTTAAAGAAATTAGGATGCCTTTTACTTCTTTCTCTTGCCTAATTTCTTTTGCTAGAAATTCCAGTACCATGTTGAAAAGAAATGGTGAGAGTAGGCATCCTTGTTTTGACCCAATCATGGAGGAAAAGCTTAAAACTTTTCACCATTGAGAATGATGGTAGCTCCAGATTTGTCACATATGGCTTTATTGTGTTGTGGTCCATTCCCTCTACGTCTAATGTGTTGAGAGTTTTTGTGATGAAATGGTGTTAAATCTTGTCGAATGGTTTTTCTGCATTTATTGAGATGATCATAGGATTTTTATCTTTCATTCTGTTGATGTGGTGTATTACATTAATTGGTTTGTGTATGTTGACTCATCCTTGCTTCTCTGGGATAAATCCTACTTAATCATGGTGAATAATTCTTTTTTTAAATTATACTTTAAGTTCTAGGGTACATGTGCACAACGTGCAGGTTTGTTACATATGTATACATGTGCCATATTGGTGTGCTGCAGCCATTAACTCGTCATTTACATTAGGTATATCCCCTAATGCTCTCCCTCCCCCCTCCCTCTACCCCACGACAGGCCTGGGTGTGTGATGTTCCCCATCCGGTGTCCAAGTGTTCTTATTGCTAAATTCCCACCTATGAGTGAGAACATATGGCGTTTGATTTCCTGTCCTTGCGATAGTTTGCTCAGAATGATGGTTTCCAGCTTCATCCATATCCCTACAAAGGACATGAACTCATCCTTTTTTATGGCTGCATAGTATTCCATGGTGTATATGTGCCACATTTTCTTAATCCAGTCCGTCACTGATGGACATTTGGGTTGGTTCCAAGTCTTTGCTATTGTGAATAGTGCTGCAATAAACACATGTGTGCATGTGTCTTTATAGCAGCATGATTTATAATCCTTTGGGTATATACCCAGTAATGGCTGGGTCAAATGGTATTTCTAGGTCTAGATCCTTGAGGAATCACCACACTGTCTTCCACAATGGTTGAACTAGTTTACAGTCTCACCAACAGTGTAAAAGTGTTCCTATTTCTGCACATCCTCTCCAGCACCTGTTGTTTCCTGACTTTTTAATGATCGCCATTCTAACTGGTGTGAGATGGTATCTCATTGTGGTTTTGATTTGCATTTCTCTGATAGCCAGTGATGATGAGCATTTTTTATGTGTCTGTTGGCTTCATAAATGTCTTCTTTTGAGAAGTGTCTGTTCATGTCCTTCACCCACTTGTTGATGGGGTTGTTTGATTTTTTCTTGTAAATTTGTGTAAGTTCTTTGTAGACTCTAGATATTAGTCCTTTGTCAGATGAGTAGATTGCAAAATTTTTCTCCTATTCTGTAGGTTGCCTGTTCACTCTGGTGGTAATTTCTTTTGCTGTGCAGAAGCTCTTTAGTTTAGTTAGATCCCATTTGTCAATTTTGGCTTTTGTTGCCATTGCTTTTGGTGTTTTAGTCATGAAGTCCTTGCCTATGCCTATGTCCTGAATGGTATTGCCTAGGTTTTCTTCTAGGGTTTTTGTATAAGGTGTAAGGAAGGGATCCAATTTCAGCTTTCTACATATGGCTAGCTAGTTTTCCCGGCACCATTTATTAAATAGGGAATCCTTTCCCCATTTCTTTTTTTTTTTTTTTTTTAATTTATTTTTTTATTGATAATTCTTGGGTGTTTCTCACAGAGGGGGATTTGGCAGGGTCATGGGACAATAGTGGAGGGAAGGTCAGCAGATAAACAAGTGAACAAAGGTCTCTGGTTTTCCTAGGCAGAGGACCCTGCGGCCTTCCGCAGTGTTTGCGTCCCTGATTACTTGAGATTAGGGATTGGTGATGACTCTCAACCTCAACGAGCATGCTGCCTTCAAGCATCTGTTTAACAAAGCACATCTTGCACCGCCCTCAATCCATTTAACCCTGAGTGGACACAGCACATGTTTCAGAGAGCACAGGGTTGGGGGTAAGGTCACAGATCAACAGGATCCCAAGGCAGAGGAATTTTTCTTAGTGCAGAACAAAATGAAAAGTCTCCCATGTCTACTTCTTTCTACACAGACACGGCAACCATCCGATTTCTCAATCTTTTCCCCACCTTTCCCGCCTTTCTATTCCACAAAGCCGCCATTGTCATCCTGGCCCATTCTCAATGAGCTGTTGGGCACACCTCCCAGACGGGGTGGTGGCCGGGCAGAGGGGCTCCTCACTTCCCAGTAGGGGCGGCCGGGCAGAGGCGCCCCTCACCTCCCGGACGGGGCGGCTGGCCGGGCAGGGGGGCTGACCCCCCCCCACCTCCCTCCCGGAAGGGGCGGCTGGCCGGGCAGAGGGGCTCCTCACTTCCCAGTAGGGGCGGCCGGGCAGAGGCGCCCCTCACTTCCCGGACGGGGCGGCTGGCCGGGCGGGGGGGCTGACCCCCCCCACCTCCCTCCCGGACGGGGCGGCTGGCCGGGCGGGGGGCTGACCCCCCCACCTCCCTCCCGGACGGGGCGGCTGGCCGGGCAGAGGGGCTCCTCACTTCCCAGTAGGGGCGGCCGGGCAGAGGCGCCCCTCACCTCCCGGACAGGGCGGCTGGCCGGGCAGGGGGGCTGACCCCCCCCACCTCCCTCCCGGACGGGGCGGCTGGCCGGGCGGGGGGCCGACCCCCCCACCTCCCTCCCGGACGGGGCGGCTGGCCGGGCGGGGGGCCGACACCCCCACCTCCCTCCCGGACGGGGCGGCTGGCCGGGCGGGGGGCCGACACCCCCACCTCCCTCCCGGACGGGGCGGCTGGCCGGGCGGGGGGCCGACCCCCCCACCTCCCTCCCGGACGGGGCGGCTGGCCGGGCGGGGGGCCGACCCCCCCACCTCCCTCCCGGACGGGGCGGCTGGCCGGGCGGGGGGCTGACCCCCCCACCTCCCTCCCGGACGGGGCGGCTGGCGGGCGGGCGGAGGGCTGACCCCCCCACCTCCCTCCCGGACAGGGCGGCTGGCCGGGCTGAGGGGCTCCTCACTTCCCAGTAGGGGCGGCCGGGCAGAGGCGCCCCTCACCTCCCGGACGGGGCGGCTGGCCGGGCGGGGGCTGACCCCCCCACCTCCCTCCCGGACGGCATGGCTGGCCGGGCGGGGGGGCTGACCCCCCACCTCCCTCCCGGACGGCACGGCTGGCCGGGCGGGGGGGCTGACCCCCCACCTCCCTCCCGGATGGGGCGGCTGGCCGGGCGGGGGGCTGACCCCTCCCCACCTCCCTCCCGGACGGGGTGGCTGCCGGGCGGAGACGCTCCTCACTTCCCAGATGGGGTGGCTGCCGGGCGGAGAGGCTCCTCACTTCTCAGACGGGGCAGCTGCCGGGCGGAGGGTCTCCTCATTTCTCAGACGGAGTGGTTGCCAGGCAGAGGGTCTCCTCAATTCTCAGACGGGGCGGCCGGGCGAGACGCTCCTCACCTCCCAGACGGGGTCGCGGCCGGGCAGAGGCGCTCCTCACATCCCAGATGGGGCGGCGGGGCAGAGGCGCTCCCCACATCTCAGACGATGGGCGGGCGGACAGAGACGCTCCTCACTTCCTAGATGTGATGGCGGCTGGGAAGAGGCGCTCCTCACTTCCTAGATGGGATGGCGGCCGGGCGGAGACGCTCCTCACTTTCCAGACTGGGCAGCCAGGCAGAGGGGCTCCTCACATCCCAGACAATGGGCGGCCAGGCAGAGACTCTCCTCACTTCCCAGACGGGGTGGCGGCCGGGCAGAGGCTGCAATCTCAGCACTTTGGGAGGCCAAGGCAGGCGGCTGGGAGGTGTAGGTTGTAGTGAGCCGAGATCACGCCACTGCACTCCAGCCTGGGCACCATTGAGCACTGAGTGAACGAGACTCCGTCTGCAATCCCGGCACCTCGGGAGGCCGAGGTTGGCGGATCACTCGCGGTTAGGGGCTGGAGACCGGCCCGGCCAACACAGCGAAACCCCGTCTCCACCAAAACCAGTCAGGCGTGGCGGCGCGTGCCTGCAATCGCAGGCATTCGGCAGACTGAGGCAGGAGAATCAGGCAGGGAGGCTGCAGTGAGCCGAGATGGCAGCAGCACAGTCCAGCTTCGGCTCCGCATGAGAGGGAGACCGTGGGGAGAGGGAGAGGGAGAGGGAGAGGGAGCCCCCATTTCTTGTTTTTGTCAGGTTTGTCAAAGATCAGATGGTTGTAGATGTGTGGTATTATTTCTGAGGGCTCTGTTCTATTCCATTGGTCTATATCTCTGCTTTGGTACAAGTACCATGCTGTTTTGGTTACTGTAGCCTTGTAGTATAGTTTGAAGTCAGGTAGCGTGATGCCTCCAGCTTTGTTCTTTTGGCTTAGGATTGTCTTGGCAATGCAGGCTCTTTTTTGGTTCCATATGAACTTTAAAGTAGTTTTTTCCAATTCTGTGAAGAAAGTCATTGGTAGCTTGATAAGGATGGCATTGAATCTATAAATTACCTTGGGCAGTATGGCCATTTTCATGGTATTGATTCTTCCTACCCATGAGCATGGAATGTTCTTCCATTTGTTTGTGTCCTCTTTTATTTTGTCGAGGAGTGGTTTGTAGTTCTCCTTGAAGAGGTCCTTCACATCCCTTGTCAGTTGGATTCCTAGGTATTTTATTCTATTTGAAGCAATTGTGAATGGGAGTTCACTCATGATTTGGCTCTCTGTTTGTCTGTTATTGGTGTATAGGAATGCTTGTGATTTTTGCACATTGATTTTGTATCTGAGACTTTGCTGAAGTTGCTTATCAGCTTATGGAGATTTTGGGCTGAGATGATGGGGTTTTCTAAATATACAATCATGTCATCTGCAAACAGGGACAATTTGACTTCCTCTTTTCCTAATTGAATACCTTTTATTTCTTTCTCCTGCCTGATTGCCCTGGCCAGAACTTCCAACACTATGTTGAATAGGAGTGGTAAGAGAGGGCATCCATGTCTTGTGCCAGTTTTCAAAGGGTATGCTTCCAGTTTTTACCCGTTCAGTATGATATTGGCTGTGGGTTTGTCATAAATAGCTCTTATTATTTTGAGATATGCCCCATCAATACCTAGTTTATTGAGAGTTTTTAGCATGAAAGGCTGATGAATTTTGTTGAAGGCCTTTTCTGCCTCTATTGAGATAATCATGTGGTTTTTGTCTTTGGTGCTGTTTATATGCTGGATTACATTTATTGATTTGCATATGTTGAACCAGCCTTGCATCCCAGGGATGAAGCCAACTTGATCATGGTGGATAAGCTTTTTGATGTGCTGCTGGATTCGGTTTGCCAGTATTTTGAGGATTTTTGCATCGATGTTCATCAGGGATATTGGTCTAAAATTCCTTTTTTTGTTGTGTCTCTGCCAGGCTTTGGTATCAGGATGATGCTGGCCTCATAAAATGAGTTAGGGAGGATTCCCTCTTTTTCTATTGATTGGAATGGTTTCAGAAAGAATGGTACCAGCTCCTCTTTGTACCTCTGGTAGAATTTGGCTGTGAATCTGTCTGGTCCTGGACTTTTTCTGGTTGGTAGGCTATTAATTATTGCCTCAATTTCAGAGCCTGTTATTGGTCTATTCAGGGATTCAACTTCTTCCAGGTTTAGTCTTGGGAGGGTGTATATGTCCAGGAATTTATCCATTTCTTCTAGATTTTCTAGTTTATTTGTGTAGGGTGTTTATAGTGTTCTCTGATGGTAGTTTGTATTTCTGTGGGATTGGTGGTGATATCCCCTTTATCATTTTTTATTTGATTCTTCTCTATTTCCTTCTTTATTAGTCTTGCTAGTGGTCTATGAATTTTGTTGATCTTTTCAAAAAACCAGCTCCTGGATTCATTGATTTTTTTGAAGGGTTTTTTATGTCTCTCTCTCCTGCAGTTCTGCTCTGATCTTAGTTATTTCTTGCCTTCTGTTAGCTTTTGAAGCTCTTGCTTCTCTAGTTTTTTTAATTGTGATGTTAGGGTGTCAATTTTAGATCTTTCCTGCTTTCTCTTGTGGGCATTTAGTGATATAAAATTCCCTCTACACACTGCTTTAAATATGTCCCAGAGATTCTGGTATGTTGTGTCTTTGTTCTCATTCATTTCAAAGAACATCTTCATTTCTGCCTTTATTTCATTAAGTACCCAGTAGTCATTCAGAAGAAGGTTGTTCAGTTTCCATGTAATTGAGCAGTTTTGAGTGAATTTCTTAATCCTGAGTTCTAGTTTGATTGCAATGTGGTCTGAGAGACAGTTTGTTATAATTTCTGTTCTTTTACATTTGATGAGGAGTGCTTTACTTCCAACTATATGGTCAACTTTGGAATAAGTGCGATGAGGTGCTGAGAAGAATGTATATTCTGTTGGTTTGGGATGGAGAGTTCTATAGATGTCTATTAGGTCTGCTTGGTGCAGAGCTGAGTTCAATTCCTGGATATCCTTGTTAACTTTCTGTCTCGTGATCTGTCTAATGTTGACAGTGGAATGTTAAAGTCTCCCATTATTATTGTGTGGGAGTCTAAGTCTCTTTGTAGGTCTCTAAGGACTTGCTTTATGAATCTGTGTGCTCCTGTATTGGGTGCGTATGTATTTAGGATAGTTATCTCTTCTTGTTGAATTGATCCCTTTACCATTATGTAATGGCCTTCTTTGTCTCTTCTGATCTTTGTTGGTTTAAAGTCTGTTTTATCAGAGACTAGGATTGCAGCCCCTGCTTTTTTTTGTTTTCCATTTGCTTGGTAGATCTTCCTCCATCCCTTTATTTTGAGCCTATGTGTGTCTCTGCACATGAGATGGGTCTCTTGAACACAGCACACTTATGGGTCTTGACTCTGTCCAATTTGCCAGTCTGTGTCTTTTAATTCGGACATTTAGCCCATTTACATTTAAGGCTAATATTGTTATGTGTGAATTTGATCCTGTCATTATGATGTTATCTGGTTATTTTGCTCGTTAGTTGATGCATTTTCTTCCTAGCATTGATGGTCTTTACAATTTGGCATGTTTTTGCAGTGACTGGTACCGGTTGTTCCTTTCTGTGTTTAGTGCTTCCTTCAGGAGCTCTTGTAAGGCAGGCCTGGTGGTGACAAAATCTCTCAGCATTTGCTTGTCTGTAAAGCATTTTATTTCTCCTTCACTTATGAAGCTTAGTTTAGCTGAATATGAAATTCTGGGTTGAAAATTCTTTTCTTTAAGAATATTGAATATTGGCCCCCACTCTCTTCTGGCTTGTAGAGTTTCTGCCGAGAGATCTGCTGTTAGTCTGATAGGCTTCCCTTTGTGTGTAACCCGAGCTTTCTCTCTGGCTGCCCTTAACATTTTTTCCTTCATTTCAACTTTGGTGAATCTGACAATTATGTGTCTTGGAGTTGCTCTTCTGGAGGAGTATCTTTGTGGCATTCTCTGTATTTCCTGAATTTGAATGTTGGTCAGCCTTGCTAGGTTGGGGAGGTTCTCCTGGATAATATCCTGCAGAGTGTTTTCCAACTTGGTTCCATTCTCCCCATTACTTTCAGGTACACCAATCAGATGTAGATTTGGTCTATTCACATAGTCCCATATTTCTTGGAGGCTTTGTTCATTTCTTTTTCCTCTTTTTTCTCTAAACTTCTCACTTCGTTTCATTCATTTGATCTTCAATCACTGATACCCTTTCTTCCACTTGATGAAATCAGCTGCTGAAGCTTGTGCATGTGTCACGTAGTTCTTGTGCCATGGTTTTCAGCTCCATCAGGTCGTTTAAGGTCTTCTCTATGCTGTTTATTCTAGTTAGCCATTCGTCTAATCTTTTTTCAAGGTTTTTAGCTTCTTTGCGATGGGTTCGAACATCCTCCTTTAGCTTGGAGAAGTTTGTTATTACTGATCGTCTGAAGCCTTCTTCTCTCTACTTGTCAAAGTCATTCTCTGTCCAGCTTTGTTCCGTTGCTGGCGAGGAGCTGCGTTCCTTTGGAGGAGAAAAGGTGCCTAATTTTTAGAATTTTCAGCTTTTCTGCTCTGGTTTCTCCCCATCTTTGTGGTTTTATCTACCTTTGGTCTTTGATGATGGTGACATACAGATGGGGTTTTGGTGTGGATGTCCTTTCTGTTTTTTAGTTTTCCTTCTAACAGTTAGGACCCTCAACTGCAGGTCTGTTGGAGTTTGCTGGAGGTCCACTTGAGACCCTGTTTGCCTAGGTATCACCACCAGTGGAGGCTGCAGAACAGTGAATATTGCAGAATGGCACATGTTGCTGCCTGATTCTTCCTCTGGAAGCTTTGTCTCAGAGGGGCATCCGGCCATATGAGGTGTCAGTTGGCGCCTACTGGGAGGTGCCTCCCAGTTAGGCTACTTGGGGGGACCCACTTGAGGAGGCAGTCTGTCCGTTCTCAGATCTCAAACTCCCTGCTGGGAGAACCAGTACTCTCTTCAAAGCTGTCAGACAGGGACGTTTAAGTCTGCAGAAGTTTCTGCAACCTTTTTTTCAGCTATGTCCTGCCCCCAGAGGTGGAGTCTACAGACACAGGCAGGCCTCCTTGAGCTGCACTGGGCTCCACCCAGTTCGAGCTTCCCAGCCGCTTTGTTTACCTATTCAAGGCTCAGCAATGGCAGGCACTCCTCCCCCAGCCTCACTGCCACCTTGCAGTTCAATCTCAGACTGCTGTGCTGGCAGTGAGTGAGGCTCCGTGGGCGTAGGACCCTCCGAGCCAGGCGCGGGATATAACCTCCTGGTGTGCCATTTGCTAAGACCATTGGAAAAGCGCAGTACGCAGTATTAGGGTGGGAGTGACCTGATTTTCCAGGTACCGTCTCTCACGGCTTCCCTTGGCTAGGAAAGGGAATTCCCTGATCCCTTGCACTTCCTGGGTGAGGCGATGCCTCGCCCTGCTTTGGCTCATGCTCCATGGGCTGCAGCCACTGTCCTGCACCCACTGTCAGACAAGCCCCAGTGAGATGAACCCTGTACCTCAGTTGGAAATGCAGAAATCACCCGTCTTTTGTGTCGCTCACGGTGGGTGCTGTAGACTGGAGCTGTTCCTATTCGGCCATCATAGAACCTCCTCCTAATCATGGTGAATAATTCTTTTAATGTTTTCTTGAATTCAGTTTGCTAATATTTGGTTGAGAATTTTTGCATATGCATTCATCAGGGATATTTTCTGTAATTTTCCTTTCTCCTAGTGTCCTTGTCTGGATTTTGTATCAGGGTAATGCTGGCCTCATAAAGTGAATTTGGAAGTATTCTCGCCACTTTGATTTTTTGGATGAGTGTGAGAAGATGTTAGTTCTGATGTTAGTTCTTCTTCAAATATTTGGTAAAATTCAGTGGTGAAACTCTCTGGTCTTGAAATTTGCTTCTATGAAATGTTTTTATTATTACTAATTTGATCTTCTTACCCTTACATCTTACTTCTTACTTTATTTGTTCACATTTTCTATTTTTTCTTGATTCAGTCTTGGTAGGTTGTATTTGTCTAGGAATTTGTTCATTTCTTCTGGATTATCCCATTTGTTGGCATATGTTTGTTCATAGCAGTTTCTTTTGATTCTTAGTACTTCTGTAGCATCGGTTACAGTGTCTCTTTCATTTCTTATTTATTTGAATTTTTCTTTTTTTCCTGGTTAGTCTAGTGATTTTCTTAATCTGCTGAAATTATGTATCTTTTTATATAACAATTTCTTAGGCCAGGCACAGTGGCTCACGCCTGTAATCCCAGCACTTTGGGAGGCCAAGGCAGGCAGATCACGAGGTCAGGAGATCAAGACCATCCTGGCTAACACGGTGAAACCCCGTCTCTACTAAAAAGACAAAAAATTAGCCAGGAGTGGTGGCACATTCCTGTAGTCCCAGCTACTCGAGAGGCTGAGGCAGGAGAATCGCTTGAACCCTGGAGGTGGAGTTTGCAGTGAGCAGAGATGGCACCACTGCACTCCAGCCTGGGCAACAGAGCGAGACTCCATCTCAAAAAACAAAAACCAAAAAACCATCTCTTAGTCTTGCCTGTTTTTTTCTATTGTTTTTGTAGTCTCTACTTCATTTATTTCTGCTTTGATCTTTGTTAAATACTTGCACTACCTTTGGGCTTACTTCTTCTTTCTCTACTTCCTTGGGGTGTAACATTTGATTGTTTATCTGGATTATTCTTAAATGCAAGCATTTACCATTATATATCTTTTTCTTAAGACTGTTTCTGCTGAATCCCATAAGTTTTGATACATTGTGTTTCCATTTTTGTGTTGAGGTATTTTTTTTAATTTTTTTAAATTTCTTTTGAGATCCTTTGGTTGTTCAGGAGCATGTTGTTTAATATCCACATAGTTGTGTTTCAATATTTCTTCCGTGATTGATTTCTATTTTATTGTTGTTGTGGTCTGAAAAGATGCTTGGTATGGTTTCAATTTTCTTAAATTTGGTAAAGTTTGTTTTGTGGACTAGCATATTTTCACTGAAGAATTTTCTATGTGTGCTTGAGAAGAATGTGTATTCTGCTGCTATTAGGTGGAATGTTCTGTATGTCTGTTAGGCCCATTTAGTGTAAAGTGTAATTCAAGTCAGTTGTTTCATTATTGATTTTCTGTCTAAATGATCTGTTCATTGTTGAAAATGCAATACTAGTATAGTATTGCCGTTGATCTCTCCCTTCAGATCATTTAATAATTGCTTTATGTATTTAGGTGCTCAGATGTCAGGTTTGTATGTATTTACAACTTATATATCCTCTTGGTGAATGAATTCATTTATCATTATGTAATGACCTCTGTCTTTTTAACTAATTAATTAATTATTATTACCAGATAAGGAGAGTGTCTTTTTTAAAAACTAGTTTTTGACTTAATGTTTATTCTGTCTACATATAGCTATCCTTACTCTCTTTCATTTCCATTTTGTGTGGAATACCTTTTTCCATTCATTCTCTCTCAATCTATGTACGTCCATACTAGCACTGTGAATCTCTTACATGCATATAGTTGAATCTTGTTTTTTCAATCCATTCAGCCACTGTATGCCTTTTTATTGGATAATTTAATCCATTTACACTCAAGGTAGTTATTGACAGTTAACAACTTGCTACTATCATTTTAGTATTGTTTTCTAATTGTTTTGTAGGTCTTTTGGTTCTTTCTTCTTTTCTTGGTGTCTTCCTTTGTGGTTTGATGGTTTTCTGTTGTGGTATGCTTTGAATACTTTCTTTTTATATGTCATGCAACTATTACAGTTTCTTGCTTTGCGATTACCATGCAGCTTACACAAAATATCTTATCCTTATAGCAAGCAACCTTAGGGTAATAACAACTTAACTTTAATCACATGCAAAATCTCTACATTTTCATTCCGTTCACACACCTTTTATGATTTTGATATCAAAATTTACTTTTTTTGGTAATTTTTATCCCTTAAAATTTTTTTGTAGGTACAATTATTTTTAGTAGTTTTGTCTCTTAACTTTCATGGTAGGAATAAAATTGCTTTATACATCACCTTTATAGTGTGAGAGAATTCTGAGTATGGCTCTATTACTTATAGCAATGGGTTTTTTACTTTTTTTTTTTTTTTTTTTTTTTTTTTTTTTTTTTTTTTTTTAGTTAATGGCTGTTCGTTTTAGCTTAAAGAACTCCCATTAGTAATTCCTGTAAAGTAAGCCTAGTGGTGAAGAATTCTCTCGTTTTTTGTTTGTCTGGGGAAGTTTTAATTTTTCCCTTATTTTTGAAGGACAGATTTGTCAGGCGAAGTATTCTTGATTAGCAGCCTTTTTCCTTCAGCACTTTGAATATATCATTCTACTCTTTTCTGGTCTGCAGGGTTTCTGCTGAAAAATATACTGAAATCCATATTGGGGCGCTCTTGAATGTAATATGTCTCTCATCTGTTGCTGCTTTAAGTATTCTTTCTTTTCCTTTAAGTTTTGATAATTTGATTATGATATGTCTTATTATGATTCTCCTCTTTGGGTAGAATTTGATGGTGATCTCCAAGTTTCCTATACCTGAATGATATCCCCTTTCATCAGATTTGGGAAACTTTCATCCATTATTTTCTTAAATATGCTTTGTAAATTTTTTCTCTCTTCTTCCTTCAGGAACTCCTATTATGTCAAGATTTGTTAAGTTTATGGTGTCCCATAATTTCCACCAGTCTGCTTCACTGTTTTTCTTTATTTTTTCCCCCGTTTCTTTCTTTGATTGGATAATTTCAAACGTTCTCTTGTCAGGCTCACCAATCCTTTTTTTTTTTGTGAGATAAAATCTCACTGCCTCCCAGGTTCAAGTGCAGTGGTGTGATCTCAGCTCACTGCAACCTCTGCTCCTGAGTTCAAGCCATTCTCCCACCTCAGCGTCCCAAGTATCTGGGACTACAGGCTCCTGCCACCATGCCCAGCTAATTTTTGTATTTTTAGTTAGCATTACCCAACCAGACAAAGACACATCAAAAACAGAAAACTCCTGGGCAACATCTCTGTTGAATATTGATGGAAAAATCTCCAACAAAATACTAGCAAACTGAATTCACCAACATGTTAGAAATATCATTGATAACCAAGTGGGATTTATCCCTGGGATGCAAGGATAATTCAACATACATAAATCAATCAGTGTGGTACATCACATCAACAGTATGAAGGACAAAAACCAGATGATATTTCAATTGATGCTGAAAAAGCATTTGACAAAATTCAACATCCTTTCATGACAAAACCCTAAAAAAACTGGGTATCTAAGGAACACTCCTCAACATAATAAAAGCTATGTATGACAGACCCACAGCTAATATCATATTGAATGGGGAAAAACTGAAAGCCTTTCCTCTAAGTACAGAAACGTGACAAGGATGCTCACTTTCACCAGCATAATTCAACATAGTACCGGAAGTCCTAACTAGAGCAATCAGACAAGAGAAAGAAATAAAGGACATCCAGATTGGAAAGGAAGAAGTCAAATTATCTTTGTTTGCAGATTATACAATCCTATATTTGGAAAATCTAAAGACTCCATCAAAAACCTGTTAGGACTGATAAAAAAATTCCGTGAAGTTACAGGATAAAAAAAAATCAACACACAATAATCAGTAGCATTGCTATATGTCAACAATGAACAATCTGAAAAAGAAACCGAGAAAGAAATCCTATTTACAATAGTCACAGAAAACATTAAATACCTAGGAATTAACAAAAGAAGTGAAACATTTCTACAATAAAAACTATAAAACACCAATGAAAGAAATTGAAGAAGACACCAAAAACCAGAAAGATATTTCATGTTCATGGATTGCAGGAATCAATATTTTTAAAATGTCCATGCTACCAAAACAATCTAAAGATTCAATGCAATTTGTATCAAAATATCAATGATGTTCTTCACAGAAATAAAAAAATCCTAAAATTTATACAGAACAACAAAAGATCCAGAATATCCAAAGCTATCATGCACAAAAAGAACAAAACTGGAGCAATCACATTACCTGACTTCAAATTATAATATAGAGCTATAGTCACCAAAACAGCAAGGTACTGGTATAAAAACAGACACATACACCAATGGAACAGAATAGAGAACCCAGAGACAAATCCACATACCTACAGCAACCTTATTATTAATAAAGGTGTCAAGAACCATGCAATGGGGAAAAGACAGTCTTTCAATACATGGTCTTGTGGAAACGATATCCATATGCAGAAAAATTAAAGTAGACGCCCATCTCTTGCCATATACAAAAATCAAATAAAAATGGATTAAAGACCTAAATCTAATACCTGAAACTGTAAAACTGCTACAAGAAAACATTGGGGAAACTCTCCAGGACATTGTATTGAGGAAATACTTCTTGAGTAATAACCCACAAGCATAGGCAATCAAAACAAAAAAAAATGGAGAAATGGGATTATATCAAGTTAAAAATCTTCTGGACAGCAAAGGACACAATCAGCAAAGTGAAGAGACAACCCACAGAATGGGAGAAAATATTTGCAAACTACCCATCTGACAAGGTATTAATAACCAGAATACACAAAGAAGTCAAACAACTTTAAAGGAAAAACATAATAATCTAAAAATGGATAAAACATCTGAATAGCCATTTCTCAAAAATAAGACATGCAAATGGGAAACAGACATACGAAAGGTGCTCAACATCGTTGATCACCAGAGAAATGCAAATCAAAACTACAATGAGATATCATCCCATTCTGTTTAAACAACTTTTATCCAAAAGTTAGACAATAACAAATGCTGGTGAGGATATTGGGAAAAGGGAACCCTTGTACACTGTTCATGGGAATGTACAACCACTATGGAGTTTGGTGGTCCCTCAAAAAACTAAAAGTAGAGCTACTATATGATCCATTTTATCCTCATACCTATGTTCATAAATTGTTGATTATTCTCAACTAATCATAAAGACATTGGAATATTATATTTATTATTTAGCACATGAGAATAATAGGAACTGCCTTAAGTCTCCTAATCCAAGCATAACTGGGTCAACTCCTAGGAATATATCCAAAAGAAAGTAAATCAGTATATTGAATAGATACCTGCACTCTCGTATTTATTGAAGCACCGTTCACAATAGCCAAGATTTGGAAGCTACCTAAGTGTCCATCAACAGATGAATGGCTAAAGAAAATGTGATGCCTATACGCAATGGAGTACTATTCAGCCATACAAAGAATGAGATCCTGTCACTTGCAACAACATGGGTGGAACTGGAGGTCACTATGTTAAGTGAAATAAGCCAGGCATGGAAAGACAAACTTCACATATTCCCATTTGTTTGTGGAAACTAAAAATTAAAACAATTGAACTCATGGAGATAGAGAGTAGAAGAATGGTTACCAGAAGCTGGGAAGGGTAGTGGGGCAGGAGGTGGGTGTGGAGGAAATGAAGATAGTTAATGATACAAAAAATAGAAAGAATGAATAAGACCCACTATTTGATAGCGTATCAGGATGAATATAGAAAAAAATAATGTGGCCGGGTGTGGTGGCTCACGCCTGTAATCCCAGCACTTTGGGAGGCTGAGGTGGGTGGATCACTTGAGGTCAGGAGTTCAAGCCTGACAAACATGGTGAAACCCTGTCTCTACAAAAAAAAAAAAAAAAAAAAAAAAGCCAGGCATGGTGGTGGTGGACACCTGAAATCCCAGCTACTTGGGAGGCTGAGGCAGGAGAATTACTTGAACCCAGAGGCGGAGGCTGCAGTGAGCTGAGATTGCACCACTTCACTCCATCCTGGGTGACAGAGCAAGACTCCATCTAAAAAAAAATTAATTTTATATTTAAAAATAAAAAAACCAATATAATTGGATTGTTTGCAACACAAAGGGTAATTGCTTAAGGTGATGAATATTACATTTAACCTGATGTGATTATTATAAGTTGCATTTCTGTATCAAAATATCTCAGGTACCCCATAACTATATACACCTACTGTGTACTCCCCAAAATAAAAATAACAAAAAAGAAAATGAAATAAGTGAAATTGAAGGGGTGCATAGAGTGCAAAACAGGAGACATGAGGCAGAACCTACACTTACTCACAGTTTGGTGAGATTAAAGAACATGAGATGAAGGGAAAATTTCAAATGCTTTCAGAGAGAAGGAATAGGCATTTACATAGAAACACAAATCAGATTCAATTCAGAATTGTCAACAGCAACACTGGATACAAAAATACTACAATATAATTTTTCAGCATAATGAAGGAAAATAACTTTGAAAATACACAAACCCTAAGGAAAGGTGGCTTTTTTCAGTGATTTTAGAAAAGAAAAAGAAATGGTGTTCTGATTAAATAGTTTGCAGATGATATAGCATTTATATGGGAAAATAAGGATAATCCATATAGAAAGGTTGCTGGTTGTGATGGTTAATACTGAGTATCAACTTGATTGGATTGAAGGGTGCAAAGTATTGATCCTGGTTGTGTCTGAGGGTGTTGCCAAAAGAGATTAACATTTGAATCAGTGGGCTGGGAAAGGCAGACCCACCCTTATTCTGGGTAGGCACCATCTAATCAGCTGCCAGCACAGCTAGAATGTAAAGCAAGCAGAAAAATGTGAAGAGTAGACTGGCTTAGCCTCCCAGCCTACATCTTTCTCCTGTGCTGGATGCTTCCTGCCCTCACATATCAGACTCCAAGTTCTTTAGTTTTGGGACTCAGACTGGCTCTCCTTGCTCCTCAGCTTGCAGACAGCCTATTGTGGGACCTTGTGATCATGTGAGTTAATACTTAATAAACTCCCCTTTAAATATATATGTGTATATATATATATATATATATATATATATATATATATATATATATATATATATATATATATGTACTCATTGGTTCTGTCCCTCTAGAGAACCCTGACAAATACACTGGGTATAAAATCAACTTACAATATTTTTTGAAATTTTACTTTAGTTTAAATTCTGGGATACATGTGCAGGACGTGCAGGTTTTTTACATAGGTAAGCATCTGCCATGGTGGTTTACTGCACCTACCAACCCATCACCTGGGCTTAAGCCCAGCATGCATTAGGCATTTTTCCCAATGATCTCCCTCCCCAAGACCCCCAATCCCTGACAGGTACCAGTGTGTGTTGTTCCCCTCCCTGAGCCCATATGTTCTCATTGTTCAGCTCCCACTTATAAGTGACAGCATGCAGTGTTTGGTTTTCTGTTCCTGTGTTAGTTTGCTGAGGATAATGGCTTCCAGCTACATTCATGTCCTTGAAAAGGACATGATCTCATTCCTTTTTATGGCTGCATAGTATTTCATAGTGTGTATGTTCCACATTTTCTTTATCCAGTCTATCATTGATGGGCATTTGGGTTTATTCCATGTCTTTGCTATTGTGAATAGTGCTGCAATGAACATATGCGTGCATGTATCTTTATAATAGAATGACTTATATTCCTTTGGGTATATAGCCAGTAACGGGATTGCTGTGTCAAATGGTATTTTTGGTTCTAGATATTTGAGGAATTGCCACACTGTCTTCCACAATGGTTGAACTAATTTACATTTCCACCAACAGTGTAAAAGTGTTCCTATTTCTTTGCAACCTCTTCAGCATTTGTTGTTTCTTGACTTTTTAGTAATTGCCATTCTGACTGGCATGATATGGTATCTCATTGTAGTTTTGGTTAGCATTTCTCTAACGATCAGTGATGTTGGCTCTCTGCTTCTCTGTTGTTGGTATATAGGAATGCTTGTGATTTTTGCACATTGGTTTTGTATCTTGAGACTGCTGAAATTGCTTTTCAGCTTAAGAAGCTTTTAGGCTGAAACAATGGAGTTTTCTAGATATAGAATCATGTCATCTGCAAAGGCAATTTGACTTCCTCTCTTCCTATTTGAATACTCTTTATTTCTCTTGCCTGATTGTCCTGGCCAGAACTTCCAATACTATGTTGAATACGAGTGGTAAGAGAGGGTATCCTTGTCTTTTGCCAGTTTTCAAGGGGAATGCTTCCAGCTTTTGCCCATTCAGTATGATATTGGCTGTGAGTTTGTCATAAATGGCTTTTATTATTTTGAGGTATGTTCCTTCAATACCTAGTTTATTGAGAGTTTTTAACATGAAGCGATGTTGAGTTTTATTGAAGGCCTTTTCCGCATCTATTGAGATAATAATGTGGTTTTTATCTTTAGTTCTGTTTATGTGATGAATTACTTTTATTTATTTGTGTATGTTGAACCAGCATTGCATCCTGAGGATAAAACCTACTTGATCATTGTGGATAAGCTTTTTGATGTGCTGCTGGATTCAGTTTGCCAGTATTTGAGGATTTTGGTATCAATGTTTATCAGGGATATTGGCCTAAAGTTTTCTTTTTTTGTCGTATCTCTGCCAGGTTTCAGTATCAGGATGGTGCTGGCCTCATAAAATGAGTTAAGGAGGACTCGCTCCTTTTTAATTGTTTGGAATAGTTTCAGAAGAAATGGTAACAGCTCCTCTTTTTACCTCTGGTAGAATTCAGCTGTAAATCCATCTGGTCCTGGGGTTTTTTTGGTTGGTAGTCTATTAATTACTGCCTCAATTTCAGAGCTTGTTATTCGTCTATTCAGGGATTCAGCTTCTTCCTGGTTCAGTCTTGGGAGAGTGTATGTGTCCAGGAATTTATGCATTTCTTCTAGATTTTCTAGTGTTTTTTGCATAGAGGTGTTTATAGTATTCTCTGATGATTGTTTATATTTCTGTGGGGTCAGTGGTGATATTCCCTTTAACATTTTTTATTGTGTCTATTTGATTCTTCTCTCTTTTCTTATTAGTCTAGCTATCAGTCTATTTTATTATTATTATTATTCTTTTTTTGCAAAACCAGCTCCTGGACTTGTTGACTTTTGAAAAGTTTTTATGTCTCTATCTTCTTAAATTCTACTCTAAGCTTGGTTATTTCTTGTCTTCTGCTAGCTTTGGGGTTTCTTTGCTCTTGGTTCTCTAGTTTTTTTAGTCGTGATGTTAAGATGTTGATTTGAGATCTTTCTATCTTTTTGATGTCGGCATTTAGTGCTATAAATTCCCCCCATAACACTGCTTTAGCTGTGTCCCAGAGGTTCTGGTACATTGTGTCTTTTTTCTCATTAGTTTCAAAGAACTTCTTGATTTCTGCCTTAATTTCATTATTTACCCAGGAGTCATTCAGGAGCAGATTGTTCAATTTCCATGTAGTTGTGTGGTTTTGAGTGAATTTCTTAATCTTGAGTTCTAATTTGATTGTGCTGTGGTCTGAGAGACTGTTTATTATTATTTCAGTTCTTTTGCATTTGCTGAGGAGTGTTTTACTGCCAGTTATGTGATCAATTTTAGAGTAAGTGTCATGGGGTGTCTTAGAAAAATGTATATTCTGTTTTTTTTTTTTTGGTGTGTGTGTGTGTGTGTGTGTGTGTGTGTCTGTGTGTGTAGAGAGAGTTCTGTAGGTATCTATTAGGATGACTTGATCCAGAGCTGAGTTCAAGTCCTGAATACTTTGTTAATTTTCTGTGTCAATGATCTGTCTACTATTGACAGTGGGTTGTTAAAGTCTCCCACAATTATTGTGTGGGAGTCTAAGTCTCTTTGTATGTCTCGAAGAACTTCTTGTATGAATCTGGGTGCTCCTGTATTGAGTGCATATATATTTAGGATAGTTAGCTCTTCTTCTTGAATTGAACCTTTTACCATTATGTAATGCACTTCTTTGTCCTTCTTGATCTTTGTTGGTTTAAAGTCTGTTTTGTCAGAAACTAAGGGATATAATTTGGCTGTGTCCCCACCCAAACATCATCTTGAATTGTAGTTTCCATAATTCCCATCTGTTGTGGGAGGGATCCAGTGGGAGGTAATTGAATCATGGGGGTGGTTATCCCCATGCTGGTGTTCTTGTGATAATGAGTAAGATCTGATGGTTTTATAAGGGGTTTTTCCCTCTTCGCTCTTTCTTTTTTCTCCTGCCACCATGTGAAGAAGGACATGTCTCTTCCCCTTCTGCCATGATTGTAAGTTTCCTGAGGGCTCCTCAGTCATGCTGAACTGTGGGTCAATTAAACTTCTTTTCTAATAAATTACCCAGTCTCAGGTATGCCTTTATTAGCAGCACGAGAATGGACTATTACAGTAAATTTGCAACCCCTGCTTTTTTTGTTGTTTTCTATTTGCTTGGTAAATTTTCTTCCATCCCTTTATTTTGAATCTGTGTGTGTCTTTGCATGTGAGATGGGTCTCTGGAATACAGCACACCAATGAGTCTTGACTCTTTATCCAGTTTGCCATTTTGTGTCTTTTAATTGGGGGCATTTAGCCTACTTACATTTAAGGTTAAAAATTGTTATGAGTGAATTTGATTCTGTCATCATTATGCTAGCTGGTTATTTTGCAGACTTGTTTATGTAGTTACTTCATAGTGTCATTTGTCTGCATTTTTGTAGTGGGTGGTAATGGTTTTTCCTTTCCATATTTAGTACTTCCTTCAGGAGCTCTTGCAAAGCAGGCCTAGTGGTGACAAATTCCCTCAGTATTTGGTTGTCTGAACAGGATTGTATTTCTCCTTTGCTTATGAAGCTTAGTTTAGCTGGATATAAAATTCTCAGTTGAAAATTTTTTTTTTTTAAAGAATGTTGAATATTGGCCCCCAATCTCTTCTGGCTTATAGGGTTTCTGCTGAGAGGTCTGTTGTTAGTCTGGTGGGCTTCCCTTTGTAGGTGACCTGGCTTTTCTCTCTGCTGCCCTTAAAATCTTTTTCTTCATTTTGACCTTGGCGAATCTGATGATCATGTGTTTTGGGGTTGATCTTCTCATGGAGTATCTTACTGGGCATCTCTGGATTTCCTGATAGAATATTGGCCTGCCTTGCTAGGTTGGGGAAGTTCTCTCTGGATGATATCCTGAAGTGTGTTTTCCAACTTGGCCCTGTTCTCCCCATCTCTTTTTGGTACCCCAGTCAGTCATAGGTTTTGTCTTTTTACATAATCTCATAGTTCTTAGAAGTTTTGTTCATTCTTTTTATTCTTTTTTCTCTAATCTTATCTGCCTTTCTTATTTCAGCAAGATAGTCTTCAAGCTCTGATGTTCTTCTGCTTGGTCTGTTCATCTATTGATACTTGTGTTTGCATTGTGAAGTTCTTGTGTTGTGTTTTTCAGCTCCATCAGGTCATTTATGTTCCTCTATAAACTGGCTATTCTGGTTAACAGCTCCTGTAATGTTTTATCATGGTTCTTAGCTTCTTTACATTGGATTAAAACATACTCCTTTAGCTCAGTGAAGTTTGTTATTACCCACCTTCTTAAGCCTACTTCCATCAATTTATCCATCTCAGCCTCAGCCAGGTCTGTGCTCTTGCTGGAGAGGTGTTGGAATCATTTGGAGGAGAAGAGGCTCTCTGGCTTTTTGAATTTTCTGTGTTTTTGCATTGATTGTCATCTTCATGGGTTTATCTACCTTCAGTCTTTGAGGCTGCTGACTTTTGGCTGGGGTTTCTGTGGGGTCTTTTTCATTGATTTTGTTGTCGTTGTTGCTTTCTGTTTTTTTTTCTTTTAGAAGTCAGGCTCCCCTTCCCCAGGGCTGCTGCAGTTTGCTGGGAGCCCACTGCAGACCCTATTCACCTGGGTCCCGCCTGCACCTGGAGGTATCACCAGTGGAGGCTGCAGAACAGCAAAGATGGCTGCCTGTTCCTTCCTCTGGGAGCTCCTTCCCAGAGGGGCAACAACCTGATGCCAGCTGGAATGCTCCTGTATGAGGTGTCTGGAGGGAGGCCCCTGTTGGGAGGTCTCACCCCGTCTGGAATAACAGGATTAGGGCCCTGCTTAAATCAGCAGTCTGGCTGCCTCTTGGCAAAACAGGTGTGCTGCACTGGGGGAAAACTTCCTTACCCAGGCTGCCCTAACTCTTCAGAGCTAGCAGGTAGAAAAGACTAAGATGGCTGATCTGTGGAGACCACAGTGCCCCTCCCACTAGGGGCTCATCCCAGAGAGATCAGAGTTCTGTCTATAACCCCCTGGCTGGAGATGCTGAAATTACCATAGGGAGGCCCTGCCTGGTGAGGAAGGATGGGTCAGGGTCCCACTTAAAAAAGCAGCCTGGCCATGATCTGTCACAGCCACCGTACTGTGCTGTGGGGAACTCCTCCCAGTCCAAACCACCCTGTCTCGCTGGCACTTGCAGGGGAAAATGGCTGACTGGAGCTGCAGTGATGGTGGTCACCCCTCCCTGCCAGGAACTCAGTAGTCTTAGGCAGTTTCCAGCCTGCTGGCCTAACTGGCAGGGATTCCAAGCCAGTGGGTCTTAGCTTGTGGGGTTCTGTGAGAGTGGAGCCTGTTGAGCGAGCCCCTTGTCTCTCTGGCTTCAGCCCTTTTCCTACAGGAGTGGATAGATCTCCTGCCTCACTGGATTTCCTGGAGCTAAAATATGCAAAACTCCTGCATCTCAGTGCCTGCCCAAGTGGCTGCTGACCTGAACGGTTGCTGTGAGTCTGCACAGCTCTGTGCTTTGGACCCAAGGCCCTGGTGACATGGGCTCACTAGGGGATCTCCTAATCTGTGGGTTGCAAAGATCTGTGGGAAAAGCATGGTTTCCTGGGTGGGGTAGCACAATCACTCACTGCCTCCCTTGGCTGGGGGAAGGAGCTCCCTTTGCCCCATGCAGCTCCTGGGTGGGCCCTCACTCCACCCTGCTTTTGCTCACTCTCTGTGGGTCGTGCCAACTGCCTAGCCAGTCCTAATGAGAGAACCTGGGTACCTCGGCTGAAGATGTAGAATTCACTCACTCTTTCGTTCTTCTTGGTGGGAGCCGCAGACTGGAGCTGTTTCTACTAGGCCATCTTGGCACCTCCCCTACAACTTATAAAAATTAATAGCACTTCTCTGCATCAGTAATAATGAAGCATAAGATATAATGAAAAGCTAAGTTACTATTCACAACAACACATATAGAAAAGTTTCTAGAAATTAATTCAACCAAAAATACTCAAAAACTTTATGGAGAAAATCTGAAGATTAATAAATGGTTTTGATTATAATACGAAAAAATGGAGAATTGTTTCATGTTCTTGAATGAAATGTCAACTCACCTCAATAAATTTTCAATTGCACTTTTGTTGCATTTAATAAATGTATTTAAAATTTATGTGGAAGAATAAATGCACACAAATATCAAAATCAACCTTGAATAAGAAGAGTGAAGAAGAATGTATCTATTAGAGTCCAGTTAAGAAACATTAACCTTTCTCGAAGTCATAATATCAAAAAGACACCTGTATACATATGTTTAGTTTATTGCAGCACAATTACAAAGTTATGGAACCAACCTAAGTGCCCATCAACCAATGAATGGCTAAAGAAAATGTGGTATATATACACCATGGAATACTACTCAGGCATAAAAAGGAATCAAATAATGTGTTTTGTAGTAACTTAGATAGAGCAGGAGGGCATTATTCTAAGTGAAGTAACTCAGGAGTGGAAAACCAAATACCGTTATGTTCTTACTTGTAAGTGGGAGCTAAGCTATGGGGACACAAAGGCATACATAATGGTATAATGCACTTTGGAGATTCCGAAGAGGGGAGGGTGAGAGGTGACGAGGGATAAAACTATATATTGGGCCTGGCACGTTGGCTTATGGCTGTAATTCCAGCACTTTGGGAGGCTGAGGTGGGCAGATCACCTGAGGTCAGGAGTTCAAGACCAGCCTGGGCAACATGGTGAAACCTCATCTCTACTAAAAATACAAAAATTAGCCAGATGTGGTGGCACACGCCTGTATTCCCAGCTACTTGGGAGGCTGAGGCAAGAGAATCACTTGAACCCAGGAGGTGGAGGTTGCGGTGAGCCAAGATCATGCCATTGCACTCCAGCATGGGCGACAGAGACTCCATCTCAAACAAACAAACAAGCAAAAACAAAACAAAAAAAACCCCCAAAACTATATATTGGATGCAGCGTACACTACTCAGTTGACAGTTATGCTAAAATCTCAGACTTCACCAATATACGATTCATCCATGTAACCGAAAACCACTTGGACCCCAAGAACTATGGAAAAAAAAAAAAAAAACATTCACATTTCTAGGTTTTCAAGCAAGGGGAAGTAAATACAACAAAATGGTTACAAAAGTGTTGAGAGGTTGAAGGAGCCAAAAAGGGAACAATGCTATTCCCCAGGGAACAGTACCTGTGAGAAGCTGTTATCACCCCTAGGGCTGCAGGAGCAAAGGGAACTTGGTATTATCTAGAGTCCATAAGTGCTGGGGGGTAGCTGGGGCGAGGGAGAGCCTGCTGCTGAAACTGCCTGTGTAATATTGTCATCACCACTTTTCAGGAAGCCAGGAGCCTATATTTTTGCAGAAGCAGAAGTTGCTGATGCTGTTGGATTTGCTGCCACAGCTGCCATGAATATGGTGCTATTGTGTTAGCTGGCAGTCTCCTGCAGTTGCTTGTTGCTGCCACAGCCAGAACCACAGGCTCATTTTGAATTTCCTGCAATTCAGAGAAGAGGAATAATGGGCAGGAATGGAACTGAGAGCCAACAGACAAAGAAATGGCACAATGAGGGAAATTTCCCTAGCAGATTTAAAGACATTCTACAAAACTATAGTAAAAAAAATAGCATAGTATTCATTCGAAAACAAATTGTCTTAGTGTGTTTGGGCTGCTATCAGAAAAATACCATATACTGGGTAATTTATAAACAATATACATTTATTGCTTAGAATTCTAAGGGCTGGGAAACTTAAGATTAAAGTACAAACAGATTACATGTTTGGTGAGGGCTCACCCTCTGCTTTCCAGATGATGCCTTCTTGTTGTGTCCTCACATGGTGGCAGGGGCAAACAAGCTCTCTCTGGCCTCTTTCATAAGGACAGCAATCCTATTCATTAGGGCCCCATCCTTATGACATAATCATCTCTGAAGGGCCCTACCTCTTAATGCTATTGCACTGGGGATTAGGTTTCTGCATATGAATTTTGGTGGGACACAAACATTCAGACCATAGCATGAATAGACAATGGAATAGAATGGAAAGTGGTTTTTTGTTTGTTTGTTTGTTTGTTTGTTTGTTTTTGAGATAGAGTCTTGCTCTGTCGCCCAGGCTGGAGTGCAGTGGCGCGATCTTGGCTCACTGCAAGCTCTGCCTCCCGGTTCATGCCATTCTCCTGCCTCAGCCTCCCAAGTAGCTGGGACTACAGGCGCCTGCCACCATGCCTGGGTAATTTTTTGTATTTTTAGTAGAGACGGGGTTTCACTGTGTTAGCCAGGATGGTATCGATCTCCTGACCTCATGATCCACCTGCCTCTGCCTCCCAACCTGCTGGGATTACAGGCGTGAGCCACCGCGCCCGACCTAGAATGGAAAGTTTTATATACACGCACACACATGGCCACACACAAAACATATTTGTATGTATATGATACTTTGGTATAATACATACAAAATTGATACTGGAACAACACAGGGTTGAACTCTGTGAGTCTCCTTATATGTGGATTCTTCTGCCTCTGCCACCCATGAGATGGCAAGACCAACCCCTCCTTTTCCACTTCCTCTTCAGCCTAGTCAATGTAAAGACAATGAGGATGAAGACCTTTATGAAGATGACTTCCACTTAATGAATAGTAAGTGTACTTTGTTTCTTACGATTTTCTTAATATTTTCTTTTCTCTAGATTACTTTATTGTAAGAATATAGTATATAGTACTTATAATGTACAAAATAAGTATTAATTGGCTGTTTATGTTATCGGTAAGGCTTCCAGTCAATAGCAGGCTGTTAGTAAAGTTTTTGGGTAGTCAAAAGTTATATGTGGATTTTTGACTGTGCAGGGGTTAGCACTCCTAACCCGCATGTTGTTCAAGGGTAAACTGTATATTTTGGTCTTTCTGTCCATGTCCTGGCACAGAGCTCCTAAAACCCTTGTAATTTTCTAAGTGATAAGAGCAATAGGAGCATCTTGTGTTGTAATATTTCGTATTTTGTCCTTGGTTCATGAAGCATTTGCATGTCTTACAACAAATCTTGTAACCATGCCTGACTTTATATTACTGAGGTGATTTTTGGAAAGCCTTTAAATAATCACAGAATAAGGGCTGGTTGCCAAGGGAATCAACCATGTGATTAGAGGGTTAGAACTTTCAACCCTCCCTCTCGACCTCTGGAGAAGGGAGGACTGGAGGCTGAATTAATCACCAGTGGCCAATCATTTATTAATAATCAATCATGTCTATGCAATGAAACCGCCATTAAAAATTACTAATTAAAAGGGTTTTTGGAGCTACTGCATGATGAACAAGAACACATCTGTGTGCTGGAAGGGTGGTGCATTCCAAACTCCACAAGGACAGAAGCTTCTGTGCTCAGGACCCTTCCAGACCTTGCCCTATGTACCCCTTCATCTGGCTGTGCATCTGTATCCTTTAATATATCCTCTGCAATAAATCTGTAATCGTAAATTATCTCCTCAGTTTTGTGAGCTGTTCTAGCAAATTATTGCACTTGAGGAGGGGAATGTGGGAATTTCCAGTTTGGACCTAAGTTGTGCATAACCTGAGGACCCACAATTTGTGATTGGCATCTGCAGTTGGGGGGCAGTTTGTGGGACCGAGCCCTTTGTCTGTGGGGTCTGAATTAACTCTGGACAATTAGTGTCAGAATTGAGTTAAATTTTAGAGCACTCAATCAGTGTGCACTGGGTGATTGGTTAATTTGTTGGTGTGGAAAACCCCACATATTTCGTGTCAGAAGTGTTGTGTGTGAGACAGTATAGTAGAGAAAACAGTGATTTTTTCCTTTATAATTAAGATAAAAATTGTATCACAAGTGAACGGAGAAAGGATAGACTTTGTAGTCAATGGTGTTAAAAAATCTGACTCATTCTATGGAGAAAAATAATACTGGATCTTTACTTAAGGCAGTATTACAAAGGTGGCTTCACATAGGTTAAAGACTGAATATAAAAACAATAACAAATCAAAACAAAGTCCCCAGAGACCCTCACAGAGGATTCTTCAGAGAGGTGGGAGAACTACAAATGTACAGTCATAGGAGCTAGAGAGGAGAGTTTTAAGAAGGGGACTGATATGGTTTGGCTGTGTCCCCACCCAAATTTCATCTTCAATTCCCACGTGTTGTGGGAGGGACCGGTGGGAGGTAATTGAATCATGGGGGCAGGTTTTTCCTGTGCTATTCTCGTGATAGTGAGTAAGTCTCACAAGATCTGATGGTTATTATAAGGGAGAGTTTTCCTGCACAATCTCTCTTCTCTTGTCTGTCACTATGTGAGACATGCCTTTTACCTTCTGCCATGATTGTGAGGCTTCCCCAGCCACGTGGAACTGTAAGTCCGATAAACCCCTTTCTTTCGTAAATTGCCCAGTCGTGGGTATGTCCTTATCAGCAGCATGAAAACAGACTAATACAAGGACATTAACTGCTAAAAGAATTTCAGTGAGTACACAAGCTAATGAGGAACTGATAAATTGAGCTATTAGGACATCATGTTTGATTGCTTCAGAACATAGCAAGGCACCATTTACCACAGATACACCTAAAGGATTATCTGCAGCATGTCATGAAGTTTAAAATCCACAAATTGATCTCCACATTTATTCATAGCATGTGCTCTGTTATTCCTCTCTTCCTGCAGGTCACTGTAAGCCCTGAGCGGTGGATACTGTTGTCACCTAGACTGGCCCCTGGGTACTCAGGCTTACCAATGATTTGAATTCCTAGAAGTTTATTTGGATTGTATTAGTTTCCCATTGCTGCTATAATAAATTATTGCAAACTTAGTGGCTTAAAACAATACACACTTTGTGGCTGAAAACCACACCCGCTTAGAGTTCTGGAGGCCAGACATCCAAAATGAGTCTTACAGGGCTTAAATCAAGGTGTCAGCAGGGCTGGTTTCTGGAGGCTCTGAGGGGAGAACCTATTTCCTTGACTTTTTCAGCTTCTAGTGGCCTCCTAGTTTTAGCTTATGGCCTATTCCTCCATCTTCAAAGCACATGGCTCCAATCTCTGCTTCCATTATCACATCATCTTTTCCTCTTCTTTGTCATATCTCCCTTTACTTGCATCTTATTGCATTTTGCATTTTGATTCCACTTAGGGCCCCCCCAGATAATGCAAGATAACCTCCCCTTCTCAAGATCCTTAATCACATTTTCAAAGTCCCTTTTGCCATGTAAGGTAACATTCACAGGTTCCAGAGATTAGGATGTAGAAATATTTGGGGGTCCATTATTTAGCCTACAAGGGATAGAAATCAGAAATCAGGAGTAGAAGACAAAAGAATAAGCATAGCTCATGGAGGATTTTGTTTCAATGCTCATGATTTTAGGAATCTAGTGGTGGAGGTGGGGTGTGGGGAGCCCCTTCATTGCAATGAGGACAGCCCCTGCAGCTCTCTCTGGGATCTTAGGCCAGTGTGGAATTTGGTGTGGGAAATAAAACAGTTCATGTTGGTTGGTCTTGATTCTGGATCTTGATCAGATGATCCTCTGCAAGTTCCTAAGCTCCATTAGAAGACATTACAGAAGTTTCTGTCACAGCACAGTGTCACTCTCAACAGGCCTCTTTTGGAGGACTCCTCTTCCCGGCACTTATACTTACACATATGTGTTGAGTACATATGTTTGTCTCCTGAAAATGAAGAAGCCTGTTATAAATGCTGGAGGAGATTGCCTTACTAGTGACTTACTAAAACTCACCACCAAGAGGAATAGCACTTAACACTGGGTCTCCTTCCCGGCTCCTGGGTTCATGTTCCCAATCGCCACCGTAACTGGCTCTGGATACTAAACCCTACAGTGTGAAGTTGGAAATTATCCCTTCTTGCCCCCTCTTTTATTCCTTGCCTTACCTCCTAGCAGAGCTAAATGATATCGAGTTCTTTATTCCAGGCACTAGCAAGAGTGATGGTTCTTTGCAGGCAATTTTGGAGTCTTCATGAGCCCCACTTACCCCTGAAATAGGCTGTTGTTGAACATAACTCATTTTCTTTTGCAATGCAAGTGCCTCGGCCTGCCATACACTTCCATCCTTCTGTGTATATGCAGGTATTACACTTCAGACCCATAACTGCAGGGTGGAGAGAATAGAATATTCAGGCTGGATTGTGGGACAATGGAAAAGTGAGTTTTCAGCATCAGTAAGAGGTTGCATATTGACGATACTGTCCACTCACTCCATTAGCTGGTATTTGTGGAATTCCTGATTAATTTAGCTTTGTAAGTTAAGCTAGGAGGTGGATAAAAAAGATAAGACACAGTCTCTGTGACCTGAATAGGGTCCATTTATATTTGAAGGCAAGATAAACATGTGAAATAATAAAAGAACAGCAAAGATAATATATAGTCAACCAGATAAACCCTGTGATGCCAATTAAGAGTATAGCAACAGGCAGATTACTGTGGGCTGGAAAAGCAGGGGAATACTTTAGCTAAAGACTTGAGCTGGCTCTTGAGATGTAGGTTAAACTTGGGGAGGTGGGGGCAGGGGATGGGCAGAGAAGGTGTTCCAGATAGGTAGTCATAGTGAGGGAGAACACAGAGGTAGGAATGAAAACGGCATGTTTAGAGTGGACTGTCTGAGATTACACCCTCTGATAGCTCCATCTGGCTTGGTCTGGCCTTTCTCTTTTTTCAGGGAATAACTGCAACCAGGCAGACAGAGAGGTGATTTGGGAGTCCCTGTGACCAGGAGGTAAGAGGAGAGGAGATTTAGGGTAGGGAGACGACATTGGAGCCTATGGGTAATTTAGATTTAAGGACTAAGTGATGGTGATGATGGGGAAAGTAGATTATTTCAATCTTCATCTCAGACGTTCCAAGGTTATAGAATCCGAATTTATATGGAGCCCAGGAGGACTTGAGTGCTATTGATTTATGTCCAATTTTGGGAATGGTCTTGTGGCATCTCTTCATTCTAAATTCCATTCTCACTATTCCATCAAGACTATCTTGTTGCTAACGACCTCTTAATGATAAATCCAATTGCCTTTGCATAACCCTAAAGTTTATTCATTTTTTCGTTCACTCAGCAATGTTGAATTGAAGTGGTGAGAGTGAACATCCTTCTCTTTTCCTCTTATTTAGAGGGAAAGGATGATGTTAGTTGCTGGGTTTTGAGCATGTTCCACATTCTGGACATTTTTTTAGGTGCTGGGAATGCAAAGATAAACGTGTTTATATACATGCTGGGGAGACAGGCATTAAACAACCCCTCCAAATTATGTACAGTTGTATTATAATATCAAGAAATAAACTTGCAATGAGAGCATTTAAGAGGGAAGAACTAACGTATTTTAGAGAGCCAAGGAAGGTTTCTGTGGGGAGTGGGATGTAAGGTGGGGCCTGATGATAAATAAGAGTCAGCCAGGTAAGTGGGTGGTGTGGTATGGGCACAGTGAAGAACATTTCAGGCAGAGGGAACAGCAGTGAAAAGAAGCTTGTCTGCTGAGGGACAAAAATGCTAATGTAACCGGGGCACAGAATGGAGTGGGTTGTGCTATGAGACATGGCTGGTCAGGTGAGCAGAGATTCAACTTCCTGAGCCCTCCTAGGCCAAAGACATGAGTATGGTTTTTGATCCATGAGCAATGGGAATTTATCGAAAAATTTTAAGCAAGGAAGTGATCTGATCCTATTTACATTTATCTAGCAGGTCAACGTGGGACTTAAAAGGGGCAAACAGAAAATAATTTTATTCTTCTGCCCACTACCCATCTGAGTATTCTTTCTAAAGCTAGTTCTCCTAGTCCTGCAGGTAATTTCAGGCAAGGCTCCTAACTTGTCTATGTACTTTTAGAAAAAAAAAAAAAAAAGTCTTGCCATCACTTTCGGGCATAAGAATAATCTGGGTTCAGTAATTTATGCATTGAGTGCCATGCAATAATAATAAAATAGCTCTATTAAAAGCCCACGTTTCTCACCAACAACCCGCTCTCCCTGTATGCATGCCCATGCACACCCACCCACCCACACACACGTATGCACAGACACATAGCTCAGGCTTGCTTAGGTGTTTGTAATGGGCAGGAGGGGGTGGCTTTAACTTTTTCTCTATTTCTCTTCTTGGTTTCCTCCTACTCACCTCTGGCTTATGAGTGATAGTTTCTGACCCATTTCAGTTGGTGAGAAGGAGGGGGACAGGTAAAGGACAGGAAAGATGTCATCGGACTGGCTCTGGTGCCGTCATCTTTTGTCTATGGTAGTTACTTAAAACCCAATCTCTTGGACTTTGTATTTAATGAAAGCTGACTCATTTTCTTGAGCCAGGAGAACTCATTTTCTTGAGTTCCTTGAGTCAGGAGAACATTTGCGGGTTCTTCAGGATTTCCCCCACAAAAAATATTCAAGTCCACTGCTGTATCGTGAGTGGTGTATTTCCTGCAGCTGGTGGTTATATTTTCTCTCAGCTGTAAGAAGGTAGTGGCCCACACCTTGCTAGAATACCTTTTTCCTCCAGACAGCGCTCTTGGATAGAACTTTAAACAGCTCAAGCCTGACTTGCTTGATATGGCATGGCCCAGATCAGATCCAGGGGAATGTATGCACATCCTCCCTGCTTGTATGTAATGCAACTCAGCTGTCTTTCAGTTCCACCATTTCAGGGCTGTACCCTCCGGCTCCCTCGCACCTTTGGGTTCCTCAAGCTCACTGTGCCTTCCAAACACCAGAGGACACTATCAATTTCTCCCTGAAGCAACTTTCATGAGGCTTCTCTCTTTCAGAGGAGTTGGGAGCAGGCTGCGCAGTACACTGATAATGCTCTTCGAATAATTGTCTCTTTGATCTTTAACCTGAGTATTTCCAATTTCAACATTCTAAAAATGCATTATTTAAAAATAGGTAATACATTGATGTGACTAAATAGTAAGTAATAGAAAAAGAATGTTGTGTAAAGTTGATCTCCCACTCTTGCCAGCTAGTTATCCAGTTTTCATCTGCCAAATAAAGGAAACCAGTTTTATTCATTTCTTTTATATCTTTTAGATTGATTTTCAGTATATTCAAGCAAATATAAATATGCACATGTATCTTTTTACCCCCTTTTCATAATTGGTAGTATACTATGCATACTCTGCACTTTGATTTTTTGAATAATGTATACTAAGTGTATAGTATTCCACTGTAGTGCTGTACCATGCTTTAATTAACCAGTCTCTTATGAGAATTTAAGTTATTTGCACTTTTTGATATTATCTGCTGCAATAAATAATGCTGAACATATTTCATTTGTGTGGGAGTATATCTATAAGATAATTTCATGCAAGCAGAATTGCTGGATAAAAAGTAAACACTTTTGTAATTTTGATAGGTATTGCTGAATTGCCCACCAGAGGAGATGTAACTATTCTGTTGCTATCAATGCTTGGAAAATTCTTGTCTCACCACAACTTTAATACTCAAATATTTTATCAAACTCCTGGATGTTGACAATCTGATAGGTCAAAAATGGTGTATCAGTGTTCTTTTAATTTGCATTTTTCTTAGTATGAGTGAGATTGAGCACTTTTTATATGTTTAATAGCCATTTTCATTTTCTTTTGTGTGAACTATCTACATACTTTGCCCATTTTTCTATTAGGTTGTTGGCCTTTTCCTTTTTGATTTTTTTAAAGGAGGCATTACATATCAGGGATATTAGCCATTTGTTTGATGTGAGTTGCATTTTTAATTTTTGCCATGAGGAATATTTTGATATTCATGTGTCAAATTTGTCAGTTTTTCTTTTAAGAGCTCTGGATTTTGAGTCATAGTTAGAAAGGTCTTTCTCATTTCTAAGCTTACAAACAAATTATGTCACATTTTCTTATAATTCTTTTATGGTTTATTATTTCTTACTAAGTGTCAAAAGGTAGCAAAATAGAAATATAAGGTAGAAATATAATCATATTTGAAGCACATTTAATAGGTAGAAAGCATAGGAATCATTCACTAATTTTTAGTGAGTGTTAAGGGAGAGGGAGATTTCAAGGGTGACTTCCAAGTGTAGGAGGTGTTTGTTGATGAAAGACTGAAGCTCAGAATAGAAATCTGGCTAGGATATAAAACTGGGCATTTTCAGCATATAGATTGTAATTGAAGCCATGGAAGTGGGTAAGTTGATATAGAGGAGGGTCTGAGTGGATAGTATAAAGCCTTAAGGTATCCCAGTGTTTAATGATCAGGTAGAATAAAGAATCCTACAAAATACACTGAGAAGTAGCCAGAGGAAAGGAAAACTAGGAGAGTGTAGGAGATAATAAAGGAGAAAAGTATATTAAGAAAGAAAGGGTCCAAAATGAGATAAGTATGGATGAAAAGTCAATTAATATGAAGTTGGAAAATTGTCCTGTTTCCCTGCAATCAGTAGTACATTTTCTTCCGGATTAGTGTGTTATATATGATCTCTCTGACATCCTGAAACTCAGATTGTACTGAGTCTTTGGGTCTCAGCTGGAGCATGTGAGTGAGACTTGGAGAGTAGAGGTTTAGAGAACAGCACCCCTAAGTTGCCTCCCTCCACCCCCATTGTTCAAACTTACCCTCTTTGAGGTAGAGAAAAGATAAGCTCACAAGGAGCAGTGTGTTCATTTTCCTCATTGGATGCTTGTTTGGGTGACAGACGGTGTGCTGAGTGAGGTATTGGAAAGGGCAGCCACTAGCTTGCTTTATAAAGCTTAGATGTTCGATCACAGCCAGTAAATAGAAAGGAGGGAGGAGTCCCTGATAAAGGCATGAGGCAGAACCGTCCTTTCCCCACTCCCTTCTCTTAAGGAGCCATAAATCTGTACTAATGTGGAAAGTGCAGGCTGGTGAGCAGTGTCAGGGAATGCTTCTGGCTAAAGTTGAATTAGATTTCCACCCCTGACTCTCCATCCTCCCTCTGCCTTCCCTGCCCCATATCTGTCTTCTCCTCACTTTTTTTTTTTAAGAGACAGGGTCTCACTCTGTTGCCCAGGCTGGAGTGCAGGGGCTCATTGCAGCCTCAAACTTTTTGGTTTACACGATCCTCCTGCTTCAACCTCCAGTGTAGCTGGGACTACAGTCGCTACTCACCCTTTTTTCTCTATGTGTCTGCGTGTGTGTGTGTGTGTGATTGTTACGGTTTGATTGTCCCCTCCAAATCTCATGTTGAAATGTAATCCATAAAGTTGGAGGTGGGGCATGGTGGGAGCTGTTTGAGTCATGGGGGCAGATCCCTCATGAATTGCTTGGTGCCATCCTCATTGTAATGAGTGAGTTCTTGCTCTGGTAGTTCAAGCGAGAGCTGGTTGTTTAAAAGAGTGTGGAACCTCCCCTTCCCTTCTCTCTGTTGTTCCCTTCTCTCTCTTGCTCTCATTCTTGCCATGTAATACACCAACTCCTTTTTTGCCTTCCACCATGATTGCAAGCTCCCTGAGGCCCTCACCAGGAGCAGATGCCAGCACCATGCCTCCTGTACAGCCTGCAGAACTGTGAGCTAATTAAATCTCTCTTCTTTACAAATTACCTAGTCTCTGGTATATCTTTATAGCGATGCAAAAATGCACTAACAGAAAATCGATACTGAGAAGTGGGGTGTTGCTATAAAGATACCTGAAAATGTTGAAGAAGCTTGGGAACTGGGTAATGGGCAGAGGTTGGAAGAATTTAGAGGGCTTAGAAGACAGGAAAATGGGGGAATGTTGGAATTTCTTAGAAACTTGTTACGTGGTTGTGACCAAAATACTGATAGAAATATGGATAGCAAAGGCCAGGCTGAGGAGTTCTCAGATAAAAATGAGGAAGCTCTTTGGAACTGGAGCAAAGGTCACCATTGCTATGCCTTAGCAAAGAGCTTGGCTGCATTGTGTCCACGGCCTGGGAATTTGTGGAAGACTGAACTTAAGAATGATGACCTAGGGTATCTGGCAGAAGACATTTCTAAGCAGTACAGTGTTCAGGATGTGATATGGCTGCTTCTAACAGCCCACAATTATGTATGGGAGGAAAGAAATAACTTAAAGTTGGAACTTACATTTAAAAGATAAGTAGAGGCTGGGCACAGTGGCTCAAGCCTGTAATCCCAGCACTTTGGGAGGCCAAGGAGGGCGGATCATGAGGTCAAGAGATTGAGACCATTCTGGCCAACATAGTGAAACCCCATCTCTACTAAAAATACAAAAATTAGCTGGGTGTGGTGCACACCTGTAGTCCCAGCTACTCGGGAGGCTGAGGCAGGATAATCACTTGAACCCAGGAGTTGGAGGTTGCAGTGAGCTGAGATCACACCACTGCACTCCAGCCTGGTGACAGAGTGAGACTCTGTCAAAAAACAAAACAAAACAAAACAAAAAAATGATAAGTAGAGCATAAAAATTTGGAAAATTCTTATGTGGCAGAGAAGGAATGAATGTTTTCAGGAGAGGAATTCCAGTGGCCTATGGAGGAACTACTTGCTAGATATATTTGCATGACTAAAAGGGAGCCAAGAGCTGTTATCCAATAATAGCTATTATTATGTAATAATATATTATTGGATAACAGCTCTCGGCTAATAATATCCAAGACAATGGGAAAAAGGCCATGAAGACATTTCAGAAATCTTCAAGGCAGCCCCTCTTATCACAAGCTCAGAGGCCTAGGAGGAAAGAATGTTTTCAGGGGCCAGGCCCAGGGCCCTTCTGCCCTGTGCAGCCTTGGGACACTGCTTTCACATCCTGGCCACTCCAGCTCCAGCTTCATCTCAAAGGGGCTCTGGTACAGCTTGGGCCATTGCTCTGAAAGGTTCAAGCTATAAGCTTTGGCAGCTTCCACATGGTGCTAAGCCTGCAGGTGTGCAGAATGCAAGAGTGAAGGAGGCTTGGCAGCTTCCACCTCAATTACAGAGGATGTATGGAAAAGTCTGGGTGCTCAGGAAGAAGCCTGCTTCAAGGGTACAGCCCCCACAGAGAGGATCTACGAGGACAGTGCCAAGGGAAAATGTGGTATTGGAGCCCCCACAAGAGTCTCGACTGGAGAGCAGCCTAGTGGAGCTGTGGAAAGGGGCCACCACCCTCCAGACCCCAGAATGGTAGAGCCACTGGCAGCTTGCACCTTGAGCCTGGAAAAGCCACAGCTACTCAACTCCAATCTGTGAGAATAGCCATAGAGGCTGCACCTTGCAAAACCACAGGGGCAGATCTTCCCAAGGCCTCAAACCCACCTCTCACATCAGTATGCCCAGGATATGGGACATGGAGCCAAAGGAAATTATTCTGGAACTTTTAAATTTAATGACTGCCTTGCTGGATTTCAGACTTGGATGGGCCTCTTGTCCTTTTCTTTTGGCTGGTTTTTCCCTTTTGGAATGGGAATGTTTACTCAATGCCTGTACCACCATTGTATCTTGGAAGTAAATAGCTTGTGTTTGATTTTATAAACTCATAGATTGAAGGAAATTGCTTTGAGAATCAGATGAAACTTTGGACTTTACATTTTTGAGTGATGCTGGAAAAATTAAGACTTTGGGAAACTGTTGGGAATAGATGATTGTATTTTGCAATGTGAGAAGGACATGAGATTTGAGGGGCCAGGGACAGAATGATATTGTTTGGATATTTGTCCCCTACAAATCTCATGTTGAAGTGTGATTCCCAATGTTAGAGGTTAGGTCTGGTAGGAGGCATTAGGTCATGGGAGAGGATCCCTCATGAATGGCTTGATGTTGACCTTGTGGAAATAAGTGAATTCTTACTCTATGAGTTCATGTGAGACCCGGTTGTTTAAGAGAGCCTGGAACCTCCCCTCCCTTTCTCCAGCTCCCTCTCTTGCCCTGTGATGTGCTGGCTCCCCCTTTGCCTTCTTCCATGATTGTAAGCTTTCTGAGGCTTCTCCAGAAGTGGATGCTGGCACTATGTTTCATTACAGCCTGCAGAACCATGAGCCAAAATAAAACCTCTTTTCTTTATAAATTAACTAGCCTCAAGTATTTCTTTATAGTAATGCAAAATGGCCTAATACAGCAATACTATCAGATTTCTGGTTCCCTGGAAATTTCTTATACATACTAAGTGAAAGAGTGTTTATTCGTCATTAGGACAATGACTTATAAAATGGGATGACATATGAATCTCAGAATTCAAAGGTTTCCAGAGAGTTTTATGTAATATGAGGTGTACTGATACAGCTTACTCCAATACTGAAAAAAATTTCCCCAGTTTAAGGCTTGGGCAAGGGTTGTTTTTTCTTTTTCTTTTTCTTTGAGATGGAGTTTTGCTCTTTCGCCCAGGCTGGAGTGAAGTGGTGCAATCTTGACTCACTGCAACCTCCACCCACCGGGTTCAGGAGATTTTCTTGCCTCAGCCTCCTGAGTGGCTGAGATTATAGGTGCCTGCCACCATGCCCAGCTAATTTTTGTATTTTTAATACAGACAGGGTTTTGCCACATTGGCCAGGCTTGTCTCAAACTCCTGACCCCAGGTGATCCACCCACCTCGGCCTCCCAAAGTGCTAATATTATAGGCATGAGCCACCACACCCAGCCAAGTGTTGTTTTTTCTCCTAAGCACCACACCACAGTTCTCCTAGGCTTCTAACTTCAGCACTGTCATCTTCACCCTTTGGAAACCTTGAATATTTCCTATGTCTGGGTGTTGGGAATATCTAGATAGGCTCTTGGAGGTTCCCAGCAAATCTCTTGGAGATTAGAAGTTTAGGGATGCAGGAAGAGATGCAAGAAGGGCTTCTCCAGAGACTTTTTGGGTGAGGTCCTTCTTGGGATCTCCACACATTTTCTGGATATTTTCTTAACATTAGCTCTTCTAGTATTAGAGCCAGAACTGTGTCTCAACTATTCTCAGATATGTCTCAAATAATGTCCTTGCTCTTTACTCTTTAGGGAAACAGTCCATTTGTAACCTCATCCCATATCCTTCAGTTTTATTTAGAAAAAAACTTCTAGAAGATTTCTTGATTTTTGCCCCTTAAACATCTCAATCTTCTTGGTAAAATGTAACCCTTTCAACTGCCATCTCCAAGGTCACTCTTCCCCCCTCCTCATTCCAGTTGTAGCCATTGTCTCATTGTTCTCCTTGCCCAGGTGCCCTTGTCTGTGCATGGCACCAGCTGGATGAAGCCTTTGACATCTACCCTAGCTAACAGGTCTGGATTTCCTTTCAAAATAACCATCATTAAGATCTTCCCAGTTTCCACTTCAGCCATGTCCTTCTTCTTGGGTATTTGGTGCTTGGCACTTTCTAGGATCTTAATATGGATTGCCCACCTTTCCTCCTTTCATATCCTTTATTTTACAGAAACCCTGTGAGATACGTACAATTGTCTCATTTTTACAGATGAGATAATAAGCTCAGAATGGTTCAGTAACTTACTCAAGGCCACACAGCTAGCAGGTAGCAGAGAGTTTGAACCCATGACAGTGTATAGCAAACTTACACTTGAGATAAAAGGAGATATCCTTTCTAAGAGTCATCACTGAGGCAGATAAGTGTGCTTTTTGCTGTATTTCCCAACCCTTGGAGTCCTTTGTTATTGATTTCCTGGAACTGCACCATAGTAAACGAGAAGTTCAATTCTATAATTTTTGGCTTAAGTACTATGTATTAGTTTGCTATTGCTCCTATAAATAAATCAGAAATTTAGTGGTTTAAAACAACACAAATTTATTCTCCTAAAGTATTGGAGGCCAGAAGTCTGATGGGGCTAAAAGCAAAGTATCAGCAGAGTTGGTTCTTTCTGTAGGCTCTGAAGAGAGAATCTGTTTCCTTGACTTTTTCAGCTTCTAGTGGCCTCCTGTATTCCTTGGCTTATTGCCCATTCCTCCATCTTCAAAGCATATCACTCCAGTCTCTGCTTTCATCATCACATTGCCTGTTTTTCTTCTATAATCAAATTCTCTGCTTCCTTCTTATAAGGACATTTGTGATTGCATTTAGGGCCACTGAGATAATGCAAGCCTCCCCAACTCAAGATTCTTAAATTAATCAGAACTTCAGAGCACTTTCTATGTATAAGGTAACATTCACAGGTTTCAGAAATTAAGATGTAAAAATCCTTGGGGGTCATTATTTAGCCTAATACATATTCTCAGAGGCACAATCATTGCACCATCCCCTTCATCCCTTCTGTTTACCCATAAGCAACCACTTCTTATGGGTAAGATATGTCTTTCTTTGCCTGGCTTTCTTGCCCATCTACATTCCTATTATCCCTTTATTTGGGCCATAGCAAACACCTGCTCTTCTAACAGTCTGTTGGATTGTTTGATAAATCTATGCTTTGATATTTTGTGTTCTCTTGGCACCCTCCCCAACTCCTTCATTTAGCTAACTCCTCACTAGCTTTCAAAGTCCTGCTCTTCCACTCCCTCTTCCAGGAAGCCTTACCTGATCAGGTAGTTTAATTTGAATGCCTGTCATTTAAGCCTCTGTGTCCAGCTGTGGTTGATGTATTTGTGGTCTTTTAAACTAGATTCCAAGTTCTGTGAGGTCATCAATTAGTGTCTTAGACTAATGGAGAGTCTAGCACTTAGTATGTGATCAATGATGGTTCCTTGAATAACAAAGTTGGTAAATTAATAAGTGGAAATTATAGGGACAGAGACTTCAGCTCAACTTTGGGGAGATTTTTATAATAACTTGAACAAAAGATACAATGGAGGCCTTTGGGTAGTAAGTTTTCAGTAGCTGGAGGATTAGAGTAAGCATTGTTCTGGGAATGCTGTGGGGAACTCAGGTAGGGTGGCTTGGTTTTGGGGATTGTAAGTGGCTATGGTATTTTATGATTCTGTGATATTAGGTAAATAGCCCAAGAATGATCATATGGGGAGAACAGCCAGCATCTGCCACAGGGAGCTGCACATGATAAAGCTCTCAGGATGTTTGTTTTGCACCTCTGTGCCTACTGGGCATGGTTGCTCAGCTCTGTCCACTTATAGATAACTCCTGGAAACAGAGGTGGGCAGAGTGGTTGACTGAGAGATGAAATGATGCTGGGGAGAGGATGCTTATTGATGTACTTGAAGACATAGCAATGGAAACTATTCAAAATGAAGCAAAGAAAAAACCAGGAAAAATGAACGGCGCATTGGTGAACTGCAGAACAATTTCAAATGGAATAATACACATATAATTAGAAAGAAAGGGAAGAACAGAAAAAAATATTTGAAGAGATAATGGCCAAAATTCTTCCAAATTTGAGGAAAACAATAAGCCCACAGATTTAAGAAGTTTAGAAAACCCCAAGCACAAGATACATGAAGAAAACCATAACAAGGCACATCGTAACCTAGTTACTTGAAACAGTGATGAAAAGAAAAATGTTAATATCATCCAGAGGGAAAGGCACATTACATACAGTGGAATGAAGATGACAACAAATTTCTTGTTGAGAACAATGCTAGTCAGAAGACAGAAAAGCAACATCTTCAAAGTATTGAAAAAAAAAAGTGACCTGTAAGCCTAGAATTCTTTACCCAGAGAAAATATCTTTAAAAAAATGAAGGTAAAATAAAGACTTTTTCTAATATGAAATCCAAAGGAAATTCATCATCAGTAGACCTGTTCTATAAGAAATGTTAAAGGATGTCTTTCAAGAAGAAAGGAAATGATATCAGGCTGAAATCTGGATCTGTGCAAAAGAATGAATAGCATCAGAAACAGTAACTACATGGATAAATATAACAACTATTTCTTAGTTTTAAATCTCTGACAGAATGTTAACTTTTCAAAACAAAAAATAATGAGGAATTATAAAATTTCTTAATATGTTTAAGTAAAATATGACAACAATAGCACAAGGCCCGGAGAAGAGAAATGGAAGTTGAATGTTGTAATGTTCTTTTACTATATTTGTGATGATTAATATAACTTGAAGCTTACTTAAAAAATATATCCAGAATTTGTTTTACTCAGATATGGTAAGGCATGCAGATATAAAAATTACTATCATGAAGAAAGATTTTGCTCGTAGTTACCAAGAAGCAGGAGGCACAGAACACCATGCAGGGGGTGCACATAGAGGGGCACATAGAGAAGCACCAGGATTGGTCAGGAAACGAAGCGAGGGGAAAACATAGACGGGAGTCTTTATTGTTTCTGTGGGAAAAGCAATTCAGGGCAGGGAAGTAGGCTTGGAATTGGCTAGTTTGCATCATTTAGCAGGTTCTGAAGTGTAAGGGCTGTCTCTAGCTGTCTGGTACCTGGCCCTTTGGTGATTAGGGCAAAGAAATGGTGAATCAGAGTATAAGAGGTTGATAAAGGAGGTGGTTGGGGTTATCAGCTTTGGATTGGTTGGTTTTCGTATGAAAGGTGTAACTCATAGACAAGTTGTTTGCTATCTCTAGACATTGGTTTGCTCTGACGGGACAATCTGACTAGGATCAGTTAGGCCCACAGATGACAAAGCATCAGTAAACACAGAAAATAAAAGCATAATTAATACAAAGGCAGGCCGTGGTAAGTCAAAGAAAAAGCCCTGTGTTTTATAAAACTTAAAGCAACCACTGAAATATAACAACAAAGAGTTATACCTAATAATCCAATGAAGGAAATAAAATGGAATCATTAGAAATAATCAATACAAAAGAAAATATTAAAAGAAGAAAAAGGGAACAAAAACAAAAGTACAAATAGAAAATGAACAGCTAGATGATAGATTTAAATCCAACAATAGCAATAATCACATTAAATATAAATAGTCTAAACACTCCAATTAAAAGGCAGAGTTTGTGCGATTGGATAAAAACACAAGAACCAACAGTATAGTGCTTATAAGAAACACACTTTAGGTACCATGTCGTTAAGCAGATCTCTAGAGCTTATTCATCTTGCTGGACTTATTGCCTGTTGATTACCAGCTCTCTGTATGTCCTTCCACTCCATTTACTTTATTTGTTGAAATTATTTCCCTTCAAATTCTTTTTTATTTTTAATTGCGGCAAAATATATATAACAAAATTTACTAACTTAAAAAAAAGAAACACATTTTAAATATAAATAGATGGATTCAAGAGTATTTACTGCAATGATGAATAAAAAGAAGGGTTAAATATTTATTAAACAACCACCCCTCAAAACTTCAAGTGTTGGAATAAAGGAAGGTATATAAACCAGCCATTGGTATTCTAATATTTATTGTTAATCAATTCAAAACTTTGCTTAACCCAAAGCATTTATCTGGGATATGCCACATATAATTTGTGTGGAAAAATTATAGCACCTCCTTCTTTTTAAGAATCAGTTACATTTTACCAAAAGGTTAAAAAATACTTCATGTAACTCTCTGTGTAGCAATGTTGCATAGTTGTTAAGTGCCTCAACTTTAGGAACAGACAGGCTTGATTGAAGTCCTAATTTATCACTGAATATTGCTATTCAGCCTTAGGCAAATCTTTCTCTTTTTTTTCAGAACAAAAGATAGAAGTTTTAATACAGAAAATTTCAAACATACGAAGAAGTGAAGAGATATGATGAACCACAATATACCCATTACCAAGATTCAACAATTATCAAGAGTTGGGCATATATGCTCTGATTTCCTTCCTTTTCTTTCCTTCCTTTCCCTTCTCATCTTTTCTTTTTCCCTTCCTTTCTTCTAAAGTTTTTAAAAGCAAAGCCTCAGACATCATTTGATTTTACTCCTACATACTTCAGAATACATCTCAAAAAAATTACATGTTTCTTACATCACCACAATGCTAACATTATCCCTTACAAATTAGCAATAATTCCACTTAATATTCATTCTGTTATGGACTGAATTGTGTCCCTCCAAAATTCATGTGCTGAAGCCCTTACCCCCAACATGACTGTACTTGGTGGTATGGCTTTTAAGCAGGTAATCAAGGTCAAATGATGTCATAAGGGTGGGGCCCTAATCTGATAGGGCTTCTGTCTTTTTTTTTTTTTTTTTTTTTTTTTTACTTTAAGTTCTGGGATACATATGCAGAATGTGCAGGTTTTTTACATAGGTATACATGTGCCATGGTGGTTTGCTGCACCCATCAACCCGTCATCTACGTTTTAAGCCATTAGGAAAAATACCTAATGCTCTCCCTCCCCTTGTGCCCCAGCGCATGACAGGACCCAGTATGTGATGCTCCTCTCACTGTGTCCATGTGTTCTCATTGTTCACCTCCCACTTATGAGTGAGAACATGTGGTGTTTGGTTTTCTGTTCCTGTGTTAGTTTGCTGAGAATGACGGTTTCCAGCTTCATCCATGCCCCTGCAAAGGACATGAACTCATTCTTTTTTATAGCTGCATAGTATTCCATGGTGTATATGCGCCACATTTTCATTATCCAGTCTATCATTGATGGGCATTTGGATTGGTTCCAAGTCTTTGCTATTGTAAATAGTGCAGTAGTAAACATAAGTATGGATGTATCTTTACAGTAGAATGATTTATAATCCTTTGGGTATATACCCAGTAATGGGATTGCTTGGTCAAGTGGTATTTCTGGTACTAGATCCTTGAGGAATCGCCACACTGTCTTCCACAATGATTGAACTAATTTACACTCTCACCAACAGTGTAAGAGTGTTCCTATTCCTCCACAGCCTCGCCAGCATCTGTTGTTTCCTGACTTTTAAATAATCGGCATTCTAACTGGTGTGAGATGGTACCTCATCGTGGTTTTGATTTGCATTTCTCTAATGACCAGTGATGATGAGCTTTTTTTCATATGTTTGTTGGCTGCATAAATGTCTTCTTTTGAGAAGTGTCTGTTCATATCTTTTGCCCACTTTCTGATGGTTTTTTTTTTCCTGTAAATTTGTTTAAGTTCCTTGTAGATTCTGGATATTAACCCTTTTTCAGATGGATAGATTGCAAAAATTTTCTCCCATTCTGTAGGTTGCCTGTTCACTCTGATGATAGTTTCTTTTGCTGTGCAGAAGCTCTTTAGTTTAATTAGATCCTATTTGTCAATTTTGGCTTTTGTTGCAATTGCTTTTGGTGGTTTAGTCATGAAGTCTTTGCCCATGCCTGTGTCCTGAATGGTATTGCCTAAGTTTTCTTCTAGGGTTTTTATGGCTTTAGGTTTTATGTTTAACTCATTAATCCATCTTGAGTTAATTTTTGTATGAGGTGTAAAGAAGGGGTCCAGTTTCAGTTTTCTGCATATGACTAGCTTGTTCTCCCAGCATCATTTATTCAATAGGGAATCCTTTCCCCATTGCTTGTTTTTGTCAGGTTTGTTGAAGATCAGATGGTTGTAGATGTGTGGTCTTGTTTCTGAGTTCTCTAATCTGCTCCATTGGTCTGTGTGTCTGTTTTTGTACCAGTACCATGCTATTTTGGATACTGTAGCCTTGTAGTATAGTTTGAAGTCAGTAGCATGATGCCTCCAGCTTTACTCTTTTTGCTTAGGATTGTTTTGGCTTTACAGGCTCTTTTTTGGTTCCATATGAACTTTAAAGTAGTTTTTTCAAATTCTGTGAAGAAAGTCAATGGTAGCTTGATGGGAATAGCATGGAATCTATAAATTACTTTGGGCAGTGTGGCCATTTTCACGATATTGATTTTTCCTATCCATGAGCATGGAATATTTTTCCATTTGTTTGTGTCCTCTCTTATTCCCTTGAGCAATGAATGGTTTATAGTTCTCCTTGAAGAGGTCCTTCACATCCCTTGTAAGTTGGATTCCTAGGTATTTTAGTCTCTTTGTAGCAACTGTGAGTGGGAGTTCACTCATGATTTGGCTGTCTGCTTGTCTATTATTGGTGTATAGGAATGCTTGTGATTTTTGCACATTGATCTTATATCCTCAGACTTTGCTGAGGTTGCTTATCAGCTTAAGGAGTTTTTGGGCTGAGACGATGGGGTTTTCTATATATACAATCATGTTATCTGCAAACAGAGACAATTTGACTTCCTCTCTTCCTATTTGAATATTCCTTATTTCTTTCTCTTGCCTGATTGCCCTGCCCAGAACTTCCAATACTATGTTGAATAGGAGTGGTGAGAGAGGGCATCCTTGTCTTGTGCCAGTTTTCAAAGGAAATGCTTCCAACTTTTGCCCATTCAGTATGATATTGGCTATGGGTTTTTCATAAATAGCTTTCATTATTTTGAGATATGTTCCATCAGTACCTAGTTTATTGAGTGTTTTTAGCATGAAGAGGTGTCGAATTTTATGGAACACCTTTTCTGCATCTGTCGAGATAATCATGTGGTTTTTATCATTGGTTCTGTTTATGTGATGGATTACGTTTATTGATTTATGAATGTTGAAGCAGCCTTGCATCCCAGGGATGAAGCTGACTTGATTGTGGTGGATAAGCTTTTTGATGTGCTGCTGGATTCAGTTTAACAGTATTTATTGAGGGTTTTCACATTGATGTTTATCAGGGATGTTGGCCTGAAATTTTCTTTTTTTGTTGTGTCTCTGCCAGGTTTTGGTATCAGGATGATGTGGGCCTCATAAAATGAGTTAGAGAGAAGTCCCTCTTTTTCCATTATTTGGAATAGTTTCAGAAGGAATGGTACCAGCTCCTCTTTGCACCTCTGGTAGAAGTTGGCTGTGAATTTGTCTGGTCCTGGGCTTTTTTTGTTTGGTAGGCTACTAATTACTGCCTCAATTTCAGAACTTGTTATTGGTCTATTCAGGGATTTGACTTCTTCCTGGTTTAGTCTTGGGAGGGTGTATGTGTCCAGGAATTTATCCATTTCTTCTAGATTTTCTAGTTTATTTGCCTAGAGGTTTTTATGGTATTCTCTGATGATAGTTTGTATTTCAGTGGGATCAGTGGTGATATCCCCTTTATCAGTTTTTATTGTGTCTATTTGATTCTTCTCTCTTTTCTTCTTTATTAATCTAGCTAGTGGTCTATCTATTTTGTTAATCTTTTCAAAAACCCAGCTCCTGGATTCATTGATTTTTTTATGGGTTTTTCATGTCTCTATCTCCTTCAGTTCTGCTCTGATCATAGTTACGTCTTGTTTTCTGCTAGCTTTTCAATTTGTTTGCTCTTGCTTCTTTAGTTCTTTTAATTGTGATGTTGGGTGTTGATTTAAGATCTTTCCAGCTTTCTGTTGTCAGCGTTTAATGCTATAAATTTTCCTCTTAACACTGCTTTAGCCATGTCCCAGTGATTCTGGTATGTTCTCTCTTTGTTCTCATTGGTTTCAAAGAACTTCTTGAGTTCTGCCTTAATTTTGTTATTTATCCAGTAGTCATTCAGGAGCAAGTTGTTCAGTTTCCATGTAGTTGTGTGGTTTTGAGTGAGTTTCTTAATCCTGAATTCTAATTTGATTGCACTTTGGTCTGAGAGACTGTTTGTTATGATATCTATTCTTTTACATTTACTGAAGGGTGTTTTACTTCTAATTATTTGGTCAATTTTAGAATATGTGCTATGTGGTGCTGAGAAGAATGTATATTCTGTTGATCTGGGGTGGAGAGTTCTGTAGATGTCTATTAGGTCCTCTTGGTCCAGAGCTGAGTTCAAGTCCTGAATATCCTTGTTAATTTTCTGTCTCATTGATCTCTCTAATATTGACAATGGGGTGTTAAAGTCTCCCACTATTATGATGTGGGAGTCTTAGTCTCTTTGTAGGTCTCTAAGAACTTGTTTTATGAATCTGGGTGCTTATGTATTGGGTGCATATATATTTATGATAGTTAGCTCTTTTTGCTGCATTGATCCCTTTACTATTATGTAACGTCCTTCTTTGTCTGTCTTGATCTTTGTTGGTTTAAAGTCTGTTTTATCAGAGACTAGGATAGCAACCTCTACCTTTTTTTTTGCTTTCCATTTGCTTGGTAAATATTCCTCCATCCCTTTATTTTGAGCCTATGTGTGTCTTTGTACGTGAGATGATTCTTCTGAATGCAGCACACTGATGGGTCTTGACTCTTTATCCAATTTGCCAGTCTGTGTCTTTTAATTGGGAAATTTAGCCCATTTACATTTAAGGTTAATATTGTTACGTGTGAATTTAATCCTGTCATCATGATGCTAGCTGGTTATTTTGCACATTAGTTAATGCAGTTTTTTTATAGTGTCATTGGTCTTTATATTTTGGTGTGTTTTTGCAGTGGCTGTTACCAGTTTCTCCTTTCCATACTTAGTGCTTCCTTCAGGAGCTCTTGTAAGGCAGGCCTGGTGGTGATAAAAATCCCTCAGCATTTGCTTGTCTGGAAAGGATTTAATTTCTCCTTCATGTATGAAGCTTAGTTTGGCTAGATATGAAATTCTACATTGAAAATTCTTTTCTTTAAGAATGTTGAATATTGGCCCCCACTCTCTTCTGGCTTGTAGGGTTTCTGCAGAGAGATCCACTGTTAGTCTGATGGGCTTCCTTTTGTAGGTAACCTGACTTTTCTCTCTAGCTGCCCTTAACATTTTTTCCTTTGTTTCAACCTTGGAGAATCTGATGATTACGTGTGTTGGCGTTGTATCTTAGTGGTGTTCTCTGTATTTCCTGAATTTGAATGTTGGCCTGTCTTGCTAGGTTGGGGAAATTCTGCTAGATAATATCTTGGAGTGTGGTTTCCAACTTGATTCCATTCTCCCTGTCACTTTAAGGTACACCAATCAATCACAGGTTTGGTCTTTTCACATAGTCCTATATTTCTGGGAGGCTTTGTTCATTTCTTTTCATTCTTTTTTCTCTAATCTTGTCTACATGCATTATTTCAGTAAGTTGATTCTCAGTGTCTGATATGCATTCTTCCACTTGATTAATTTGGCTATTGATACTTGTGTATGCTTCACAAAGTTCACGTGCTGTGTTTTTCAGCTCCATCAGGTCATTTATGTTCCTCTCTAAACTGGTTATTCTAGTTAGCAGTTCCTGTAACCTTTTATCAAGGCTCTTAGCTTCCTTGCATTGGGTTAGAATATGCTCCTTTAGCTCAGAGTTTGTTATTACCCACCTTCTGAAGCCTACTTCTATCAATTTGTCAATCTCATTCTCCATCCAGTTTTGTGCCCTTGCTGGAGAGGAGTTGTGATCATTTGGAGGAGAAGAGGCATTCTAGTTTTTGGAATTTTCAGCATTTTGGGGCTGGTTTTTCCTCATCTTTGTGGATTTATCTATCTTTGATCTTTGAGGCTGATGACCTTTGGATGGGGTTTTTATATCGGGGTCCTTTATGTGGATGTTGATGTTATTCCTTTCTGTTTGTTAGTTTTTCTTCTAACAGTCAAGCTCCTCTTCTGCAGGTCTGCTGCAGTTTGCTGGAGGTCTGCTCCACACCATGTTTGACTGGGTATTACCAGTGGAGGCTGCAAGACAGCAAAGATTGCTGCCTGCTCCTTCCCCTGGAAGCTTTGTCCCAGAGGAGCACCAGCCTGATGCCAGCCAGAGCTCTCCTGTATGAGGTGTGTGTTGATCCCTGTTGGGAGCTTTCTCCCAGTCAGGAGGCACCGGGGTCAGGGACCCACTTGGGTAGGTAGTCTGTCAGCAGAGCGTGAGTGCTGTTCTGGGAGAATCCTCCTTGTCAGGATCAGCTGCTCTCTTCAGAGCTGACAGGCATGAAAGTTTAAGTCCACTGAAGCTGCTCCCACCACCTCCCCTTCCTCCAGGGAAGATAGACGTTTTATCTGTAAGCTTCTGACTGGGGCTGCTGCCTTTCTTTCAGAGATGACTTGCCCAATGAGGAGGAATCTAGAGAAGCAGTCTGGCTACGATGCTTTGCCACGCTGTGGTGAATTCCGTCCAGTCTGAACCTCTCAGCCTTCTTAGTACTGTCAGAGGAAAATCGCCTAGTAAAGCCTCAGTAATGGCAGACACCTCTCCCCATACCAAGCTCAATCATCCCAGGTCAACTTCAGACTGGTGTGCTGGCAGTGAGAATTTCAAGCCAGTGGTTCTTAGCTTGCTGGGCTCTGTGGGTGTGGTACCTGCTGAGCAAGACCACTTGGCTCCCTGGCTTCAACCCTCTTTCCAGGGGAGTGAATGGTTCTGTCTTGCTGGGGTTCCAGACACCACTGGGGTATGAAAAAGACTCCTGCAGCTGGCTCGGTGTCTGCCCAAACAGTCACCCCGTTTTGTGTCTCAAACCCAGGGCCTTGGTGGTGTAGGCACATGAGGGAATCTCCTGATCTGCAGATTGCAAAAACTGTGGGAAAAGCATAGTATCTGAGCTGGGTAGCACAGTCCCTCACAGCTCTCCTTGGCTAAGGGAGGGAGGTCCCCTGGCTCCTTGCACTTCCTGGGTGAAGTGATGCCCTACCCTGCTTCTGCTCACCCTCCATGAGCTGCACCCACTGCCTAACCAGTCCCAATGAGATGAACTGGCTACCCCAGCTGAAAATGCTGAAATCATCCACCTTCTGTGTTGGTCTCACTGGGAGCTGCAGACCGGAGCTGTTCCTATTCGGCCATCTTGCCACATTCCCCCAGGGCTGCTTGACAAATATTTCTAAGCCTCATTTTCCTTATATGAGAAATGAGAATGATAATAGTAACTACCTCATAAGATTGTTATGAGGATGAATTGAGATAATGCATGGAATTTCTTGGCATAGAGTAACTACTCAACCAATATTTGATATTATCTAGTCATTAAATCAACAAAAATGATGCTGACATTTCTGTGAGAGAATTCTGTAGAAGAAAAAAGTTAACAATTCAAGGAATTGAAAGAAATCTTTGGTACTTCAGTGGTTGGTGTTATTATGTATCCTACACGAACACAAAATTTGGCCTACTTTCATTTTCGAATTTCCATATAACTCAAGCTAGTAAAAATTCCCAGCATGAGACTCCTTCCACTAGAGAAAAGAAGGAAAAGTAAACGGGATTTTGTCTTTCACCTTTGGTACCAACTCAGCCACAGGTGGGTAGAGCATCAGGTGGGTTCTTGGGGTCCCTGATTCCAGGACTTGGCTCATGGATGGCATTGCTGGACCTGCCTTGGGCCAGAGAGGAGCCCAGTGTCCTAAATGGTGAGTCCCAGGCCAGGCAGCATTCACCACGAGCTGACTGAAGAGCTCTTGGACCTTAAGGGAACATGTATGGTAGCTGGCAGTACTCACTGCGGGCCTGTAGTGTTAGTGGCAATAGGATAAGGCTCCTCTGCTTTTGGAAAGGGGAGAGAAGAGTGGGAAGCACTGCATCTTGTGGTCTGAGTGACAGGTCAGCTACAGGACAATAGAATACCAGATAGACTTCTAAAATTTTTTGACTCTAGTCTCTGGCTCCTGGATGTCACCTTTGCACCCATGTGTGGCCTAGGGGAACTTGCCACCCTGAAGGGAAAAACACAGGCCTGGCTGGTTTTGCCACCTGCTGATTGTAGAGGCCCAGGTCCTTGAGTGAACATAGGCTTGACACGGAGTGGTTACAGCAGGCCTTGGACAAGACCCTGTGCTGTGCTAACTTCAGGACTGACTCAGCTCAGTCTTGTGTCAAGGGCCACAAGGGTGCTTGTGTCACTCCATCCCCAGCTCTAGGTGGCTCAGAACACACACAGAGAGACTTTGTATGTTTAGGAGAAAGTAAGGGAAGAGAACAAGAGTCTCTGCCTGGTAATAAAGAGAATTCTGGGTCTCATCCAAGACCGTCAAGGCAGAACCTCTACGAGTCTGCAAAAACCAAAGTGGTACTGTGCTTGGGATGCCTCCTAAAGCAGATACAGCTTAGATAACAATATCCAAGTCCTTTCTAATATCTGGAAAGCTTTCGCAAGAAGGACAGGTGCAAACTAGCCCAGACTGAGAAGACTACAATAAATACCTAACTCTTCAATGCCCAGACACAAATGAACATCTACAAGCATTAAGGCCATCCAAGAAAACATGACCTCCTCAAATGAGCTAAGTAAGAAACTAAGGACCAATCCTGGAGAAACAGAGTTATGCGACCTTTCATACAGAGAATTTAAAATAGCTTTTTTGAAGAAACTCAAAGAAATTCAAGACAGCACAAAGAAGAAATTCAGAATTCTATCAGACAAATTTAACAAAGGAATTGAAATAATTAAACAGAATCAAGTAGAAATACTGGAGCTGAAAAATGCAACTGGTATACTGTAGAATGTATCAGAGTCTCTTAATAGCAGAATTGATCAAGCAGAAGAAAATTAGTGAGCTGAAGACAGACAGGCTATTTGAAAGTACACAGTAAGAGGAGACAAAAGAAAAAAGAATAAAAAACAAGGAAACATGCCTAAAGGATCTAGAAAATAGCCTCAAAAGGGCAAATCTAAGAATTATTGGGCTTAAAGAAGAGGTACAGGAAGAGATAGGGGTAGAAAGTTTATTCAAAGGGAAAATAACAGAGAATTTCCCAAACCTAGAGAAAGATGTAAATATCCAAGTCCAAGAAGATTATAGAACACCGAACAGATTTAACCCAAAGAAGACTACCTCAGGGCATTTCATAATCAAACTCCCAAAGGTTAAGGGTAAAGAAAGAATCCAAAAAGCAGCAAGAAAATAAAGTAAATAACATATAATGGGGATCCAATGCATTTGGCAGCAGACTTTACAGTGGAAACCTTATAGGTCATGAGTGAGTGGCATGGGATATTTAAAGTGCTGAGGGGAATAAAAACCTTTTACCCTAGAATAGTATATCTGGTGAGTATATCCCTCAAACATAATGGAGAAATAAAGATTTTCCCAAATGAACAAAAGCTGAGGGATTTTATTAACACCAGACCTGTCCTACAAGAAACACTAAAAGCAATTCTTCAATCAGAAAGTAAAAGATGTTAATAAGCAATATGTAATCACCCAAAGGCATAAAACTCACTGGTAACAGTAAGTACACAGAAAAACACAGAATATTATAATGTGGATTGTGGTGTATAAACTATTTTTAAGTAGAAAGACAAAAATATGAACAAGTCAAAAATAATAACTACAACAAATTTTCAAGACATAAACAGTACAATAAGATATAAATAGAAACAAGAAAAAGTTAAAAAGTGGGGGTAATGAAGTTAAGATATAGAGTTTTACTTAGATTTCTTTTTGCCTGTTTATTTCTTTGCTTATGAAAACAGTGTTAAATTGTTTCGGCTTAAAATAATGGGGTATAAAATAGTATTTGCAAGCTGCATGGTAAGCACAAACCAAGAAACATACAATGGATACACAAAAGATAAAAAGCAAGAAACTAAGTCATGTAACCAGAGAAATCACCTTCACTAAAAGGAAGACAGGAAGAAAAGAAGAAAGAGAAGACCATAAAACAAATAAAACTGCAGGAGTAAGTCCTTACTTATCAATAATAACATTGAATGTAAATAGACTACATTCTCCAATCAAAAGACATAGAGTGGCAGAATGGATTAAAAAAATAAGACCCGATGATCTGTTGCCCACAAGAAACACATTTCACTTGTAAAGACACACAAAGATGGAAAATAAAAGCATGGAAAAAGCTATTCCATGCCAATGGAAACCAAAAAAGAGCAGGAGTAGCTATACTTGTATCAGATAAAATAGATTTTAAGACAACAACAGCAAGAAAAGACAAAGAATGTCACTCACTATATGATGATAAAGGGGTCAATTCAGCAAGAGGATATAATGACTGTAAATACATATGCAACCAACACTGGAACACCCAAATATATAAAGCAAATAATATTAGAGCTAAAGGGAGAGAGAGGCCCCAATACAATAGACTTCAACACTCCACTTTCAGCATTGGACAGATCTCCCAGACAGAAAATCAACACAGAAACATCAAACTTAATCTGCGCTATAGACCATATGACCTAAGAATATTTAGGGAACATTTCATCCAGTGGTTGCAGAATACACATTCTTTTCCTCAGCACATGGACCATTCTCAAGGATAGACTATATGGTAGGTTACAAAACAAGTCTTACACCATTTTTAAAAAAATTGAAATAATACCAAACATCTTCTCTGACCACAAAGGAATAAAAACAAAAATAAGAGGAATGTTGGAAAATATACAAATACATAATAATTAAACAATATGCTCCTGAATGACCAGTAGGTCAATGAAAAAATTAAGAAGAAAATTGAAACTTTTCTGACACAAATGAAATGGAAACACAACACAAAACATAGCACAACCTGTGGGATACAGTGAAAGCAGTACTAAGAGGGAAATGTCTAGCTATAAGTGCCTATGTCAAAAAAGAAGGAAAACTTCAAATAAACAACCTAAAAATGCATCTTAAAGAACTAGAAAAGCAAGAGCAAACCAAACCCCAAATTAGTAGAATAAAAAAGATCAGAGCAGGAATAAATAAATTTGAAATAAAGAAAACAATACAAAAGGTCAATGAAACAAACAGTTGGTTTTGGGGAAAGATAAAATTGACAAATCTTTAACCAGACTAACAAAGAAAAAAAAAGGAGAAGACTTAAATAATCAAAATCAGAGATAAAAAGGACACATTACCATTGATATCACAGAAATTTCAAAGATCATTAATGGCTACTATGAGCAACTGTATGCCAACAAATTGGAAAATCTAGAGGAAATGGATAAATTCCTAGACACGTGCAACCTACCAAGATTGAACCATGAAGAAATCCAAAACCTGAACAGACCAATAACAAATAAAAAGATCAAAGCAGTAAAAAAATACATCTACTGGGAAAGAAAAGCCCAGGACCTGATTGGCTTCACTGCTGAATTTTACCAAACATTTAAAGAAGAGCTAACACCAATCCATTCAAATGATTCCCAAAAATAGAGGAGGATGGAATACTTCCAAACTCATTCTGGGAGGCCAGTAATTACCCTGATAGCAGAACCAGACAAAGACATATCAAGAAAAAAAAAAAAAAAACTACAGGCCAATAACTCTGATGAATATCGATGCAAAAGTTTTCAACAAAATACTGGAAAAAACAAACAACACATTGAAAACATCATTCATTATGACCAAGAGGGATTTATTCCTGGGATGCAGGGATAGTTCAACATATGGAAATCAACCAGTGTGGTACATCATATCAGCAGAATGAAGGACAAAAACCACAGTCATTTCAATTGATGCTGAAAGTGCATTTGATAAAATTCAATATTCCTTTATAATAAAAACCTTCAAAAAACTGTGTATAGAATGAATATACCTCGACATAATAAAAGCTGTAGACAGACCCACAGCTAGTATTACAGTGAATGGGGAAGAACTGAAAGCCTTTTTTCTAAGAACTGGAACATGACAAAGATGCCCACTTTCACCGCTGTTATCCCACATAGTAGTGAAAGTCCTAGCTAGCACAATCAAAGAAGAGAAAGAAATAAAGGACATTCAAATTAGAAAGAAATAAGTCAAATTATTCTTGTTTGCAGATGAGATGATCTTATATTTAGAAAATCTTAAAGACTCCACCAAAGAACTATTAGAACTGTCAAATTCAATAAAGTTGCAGGATAAAGAATCAACATACTAAAGTCAGTAGCACTTCTATATGCCAAAAGTGAACAATTTAAAAAAGAAATAAAGAACATAATCCCATTTACAATAGCCACAAATAAAACTAAATACCTGAGACCTAACCAAAGTAGTGAAAAATCTCTATAATAAAAACTATAAAACATTGTTGAAATAAATTGAAGAGGATACAAATAAAAGGTAAGATATTCCATTTTGATGGATTGTAAGAATCAATATTGTTAAAGTGTCTGTATTACCCAAAGCAATCTACAAATTCCCTGAATCTACAGATTCAATTAAATCCCTATCGAAATATGAATGACATTCTTCAGAGAAACAGAGAAAACAATCCTAAAATTTATACAGGACCACAAAAGACCAAGAGTAGACAAAGCTATGCTAAGTGAAAGGTACAAAACTGGAGAAATTATATTACCTGACTTCAAATTATACTACAGAGCTATAGTCACCAAAGCAGCATGGTACTGGCATAAAAATAGACACATAGATCAATGAAGCAGAATAGAGAGCCCAGAAACAAATCCACACACCTACAGCAAACTCATTTTCGACAAAGTTGTCAAGAGTATACACTGGGGAAAAGGCAATCTCTTCAATAAATGGTGCTGGGAAAACTGGATATCCATATGCAGAAGAATGAAACTGACCCCAGTCTCTCCCCACATACGAAAATCAAATCAAAATGGATTAAAGACTTAAATCTAATACCTCAACCTATGAAACTACTACAAGAAAATATCAGGGAAAGTCTACATGACACTGGTCTGGGCAAAAATTTCTTGAACAATCCCCACAAGCACAGGCAAGCAAAGCAAAAATAAACAAATGGCATCACATCAAGTAAAAAGCTTCTGGACAATAAAGGAAACAGTCACCAAAGTGAAAAGACAACTACAGAATGGGAGAAAATATTTGTAAACTACCCGTCTGACAAAGGATTAATAACCAGAATATATAAAGAGCTCAAACAATTATATAGGAAAAATCCTAATAATCCTATCAATAAATGGGCAAAAGATTTGAATAGACATTTCTCAAAAGAAGACAGAAATGGTAAACGGGCATATAAAAAGTTGCTCAACATCATTGATCATCAGAGAAATGCAAATCAAAACTAGAATAAGATATCATGTCACCCCAATTAAAATGGCTTATATGCAAAAGACAGGCAATAACAAATGCTGGCAAGGATGTGGAGAAAAGGGAACTCTCATATGCTGTTGGTGGGAATGTAAATTACTACAACCACTATAAAGAACAGTTTGGAGTTTCCTCAAAAACTAAAAATACGGTTACCATATGATCCAGGAATCCCACTGCTGGGTGTATACCAAAAAGAAAGGAAATCAGTATATTAAAGAGATATCTGCAGTCCCATGTTTGTTGCAGCACTATTCATAATAGCCAAGCACTGGAAGCAACCTAAATGTCCATCCACAGATGAATGAATAAAGAAAATATGATACTTATACACAATGGAGTAATATTTATCCATAAAAAAAATGAGATCCTGTCATTTGCAACAACATGGATAGAACTGGAGATCATTATGTTAAGCGAAACAAGCCAGGCACAGAAAGACAAACATTACATGTTCTCACTTATTTGTGGGATCTAAAAATCAAAACAATTGAACTCATGGAGATAGAGAGTAGAAGGATGGTTACCAGAGGCTTGGAAAGATAGGTTGTTGGGGAGGAGGTTGGAATGGTTAATGGGTATAAAAACTAGTTAGAAAGAATGAATAAGACGTAGTGTTTGATAGCACAACAGAGTGACTATAGTCAATAATTATTTAAATTTATATTTAAAAATAACTAAAAGTATAATTGGATTGCTTGTAACACAAAAGATTAATGCTTGAGGGGATACATACTCCGTTTTCATGATGTGGTTATTACTCATTGCATGTCTGTATCAAAACATCTCATGTATCCATAAATATATACATCTGCTATGTATCCACAAATAAATAAAAAATTTCCCAGCAATGTTGTGTCTGGAAATAACACTAAACATTCTCCTCGGAAAAAAACTTAATTCTGACACTGCAAGTAACCAAGCCATCTTTGTTTAGATGTAGTTTAGTGCCATGCCTTTTTATATTCTTTTATTAGATTTTGAAGCATGAAAAGAAAAACCTATCCTTATTTTCAAAACATGAAATATACAAAGGAGCAAAAAGAACCCAAAACATAAAACATCTATGAATCCATCATAAGAGGAGACTCCTGGTCAAATTTCCCTTTATAGATATTAAGTCTTCTTAATATTACTATCATAATTTTTCTATTTATTGATAAAAATAGAAATAACTAATTGTAATTTTAACTATTTATCTCAAGCATATAACTTCAAGATCTATGTGTATTTTTCTCAGAAATATAAGGTTCAGGTTATTACAGCAAACAGAATACTTGATACCTGTAAACTTCATGTGAAACGTTTACTGTTTAATATTCCTTTTATTAAAAAATCAAATGATGTAAGGGAGTTATAATTACAGCTTTAAGAGATGTGATAAAAGAAATTATAACACTACCACTTTTGAAGCAGATATCCAGTTATAGGTAAAATCCTGTGTGCCTTGCCCCTACAAATGAAGAAGATTCACATTTTCTAGGACATACGAAAATGAAAACAACTGCACAACTGAGAGATGAAACTTACATGGTGATTGCTTTGTGTAGAAAGTTTTAAAAATTAGTAAAATATTTATGAATAATCTCTAAATTTCATTTCATTAAGAATGCATGGTTCAGTGTTTATTTCTATAAAAATTTAAAGAAAAATATGAGAAAAATCTGCATGAATTTTAATACATAAAAATAATGTTCTGTGGGGTTTGAAATGTATATAAAATTAAAATACATGACAATAATATAATATTACTTGGAAAAATAAATGGAGTTAAGATATTTTGGGGTCCTCTTATTATCCAAGATACAGTAAAAGTACTAACTTATATGAGAGTTACCATTGGAAAAGTAACAAGAGTAACCATTGGAAAAATAGTAAAATATTTGATAATTCCAAAGCAAAGAGAAGGGGGATACTGGGATAACAAAAAAAAAGATACTTAATCCAAAAAAAGACAAGAAGGAAGAGAACAGTAAACACCAAATAAGTATGATAAATAGATAATAAGTACTAATATGTTATATTTAAACTTGAATATATCAGTAATAAGCTAAATATTCCAATTTAAATATGAGACAGACTAAAACTTTAAAAACAGCATATACTGTTTACATAAGACACAGTATAAGGATACCAAAGTTGAATGTAAGTGGACTGCAAAAATACAGTATATAAACACTATCATAAAACCTTGTAGTTACATTCATAGCAAAACTGTAGACATTAAAGGCTGAAAGCATTACCAGAGATGAATATATGGGTAATTCATGATGATAAAAAGATCAATTTATCAAAAATATATAACAGTTCTAAACTTCCATGCACCTAATAACATAGCCTCAAAATATAAAAAGCAAAAATTGGCAGAACTAAAAGGAGAAATAGACAATTTATCTTTTGAAGATTTTTACATGCTCTCTCAGTAATAGATAAAATAAGCAATAAAAAAGTAAGGATACAGATGCTTTGAAGACCATATCTTAGAAAGTTGACCAAACTGACTTATTTAAAATATGAATCTAGCAACTGTAGAACATATTTTTTTCTAAGTGCACATTGAATACTCACAAAAACAGACCACATTTTGGGACATAAAGAAAATCTCAATAAATTTCAAAGACCTCAAATCACATAGACATGTGTTCTCAGACCAGAGTGCAATTAAATTATTAATAACAAAGGTAACTCCAGAACCATGAGCTGAATACATTTCTGTTCACTATAAATTACCCAGTTCTGTTGCAGCGATAGAAAATGAATTAAGACAGCATGTGAGGGATGCCCAGTCCTCAAAAATATTCAAATATCACCTCGTATTCTACGTACTCATTGATAAAAGCTGATTGTTTTTAATCGATTGGCACAGCCCTGTAACAAAAAATGTTAAGGAGAGATAAGAGTTTGAGATCATCACTGTAGTTTTCTTAACAAAAATAATGTTATGAAATAACAATAATTAATCCCAGAATTATTATTGGTTGACTTTTGCTTTACGTTCTAAAAATGATTTTAGCCATCCTATGTATTAGACTCTACAGACACTATGATATGTATTTTTTTAGCTTATAATTATATACACACATATGTAATATTATCCCAGGATTGGTCTCATCCCTATTGATATCCAGGATTATGACTGCTCATTAGTTTGTGTAATGTTGTATTTATATAAGTAGAATTAAATATTTAAATCTACAAATAAATTTAAAAATATTTTCAATATATGTATGATGAGATTTCTCCCAAATTTTATAATATTTGGATGAATACTGTACTTTAACATCTTGAGAAATAGAAAGTAGATTCTTTCATGCAGGGTTGATTAATTAGTTTAAATGGACAGAATGAAGATGCTGGCAGTAGGTTCTAAAAATGCAATGATTCATGGTATTTACTGGCTCTGAGCCCAGCCCAGCACCAGAGTTCCCTAGGAAGTGCAGTCCTTGTGTCCCTAGACTGCCTTTCAGTTTTGCCTAGGACCCCAAAGCACTTTGGCTTGCAGTGACAAGGCTTGCGGAGAAACTCAAGTTCTAGCTTCTGGGATGGTTGATTACCCTCTGGCTATGGCTGGTCCAAATTGTTCCCTCTGTACACAAGTGCTGGCTAAGCCCAGCATGGCTTTACTCTCCTCTGTGACAGGACAGCACTGAGTTCAATGCGAAGTCACCCAGTTGCTGCGATCTCACTCCCCCAAGTGCACAGGGTCTCTGTGCTACATGGCTACTGCCAGAGGATGGGAGAATGGTAGTTTCAGCAATTCAAGGCTGTCTCTTCTACCCTCTTTAATGCCTCTTTCAGTGATATAAAGTTAAAACCAGGTACTGTGATTGTTCGAACAACCTGATTTTTGTTCTTGTGATGATGCTTTTCTGTGTGCACGTAGTTGTTAAAATTTGGTGATCCTACTAGAGGGACAAATGCTGTAGGCTTCTTTTCTACCATCTTGCTCTGCCCTTCTCTGTGTATAATTTAAATGATCCATAATTAATTGAAAATTTTATTTTTACTTTTCTTAATTTTTTTTTCTCTTGGCCGGGCCTGGTGGCTCATGCCTGTAATCCCAGCACTTTGGGAGGCCAAGACGGGTGAATTGCTTGAGCTCAGGAGTTAAAGACCAACCTGAACAATATGATGAAGCCCCATCCCTACAAAAAATACAAAAATTAACTGGGCATGATGGCATGCACTGTAGTCCCAGCTACTTGAGAGGCTGAGGTGGAAGGATAGCTTGAGCCCAGGAGATTGAGTCTGCAGTGAGTTGTGATTGTACTACTGTACTCCAGCCTGGGTGACAGTGAGACACCATCGCAAAAATCTGTGTGTGTGTGTGTGTGTGTGTGGATTTATGGATACAAGTGCAGTTGTGTCACATGAAATATATTAGTCTGGGCTTTTAGTGTACTATTTGCTTATATATTGTGTTTTTAATGCCAGGTTACCCTGCCTCCTGGCCCTCAGTCAGGGGAAACAACTCCCAATTGCTGTGAACAGCAACTGAAAAGAGGCTGTGAGTCATGAAGGCTGAAGTTGACTGCCTTAGAATTCTTGGGTTGATTTTAAAAGGCTTTGCTTAGAGCTATCAACATAGTACTCTGAACTTTCAATTAGGACATATTGGAGGCAGCAGTATAGTTTATGAAGCTCTGTAAACCCTTTTACAAAAACATGTAACACTAGGATAGCAAAGGGAACATGCCATAGACAAAATCAGGGAACCAGGGTTCCCCAAGCCCTTGGATATCTCAGATATATGGAAATATGTCACTAAAATTCCTTTCACAAAATAGAGCTTGATCCTTAGGAAGAAAGGAACTGTTAGTAGAAACAAAATTGAGCTTGGTATAAAGACTGAGATTATCAGAGAATATAATGTTTCTTTTTTTGTTTTTTTTTTTTTGTTTTTTTTTTTGAGATGCCCAGGCTGGAGTGCAGTGGCGCGATCTTGGCTCACTGCAAGCTCCACCTCCCAGGTTCATGCCATTCTCCTGCCTCAGCCTCCCGAGTAGCTGGGACTACAGGCGCCCACCACCATGCCTGGCTAATTTTTTGTATTTTTGGTAGAGATGTGGTTTCACTGTGTTAGCCAGGATGGTCTCGGTCTCCTGACCTTGTGATCCACCCACCTCAGCCTCCCAAAGTGCTGGGATTACAGGCATGAGCCACCGCACCTGGCCGAGAATATAATGTTTCTGTATGTACATGTATTATCTAGCTTTGAACATGGAGTGGACATAGAGCAGTAACACCGCAATAGCAATGGGCACACCTAGCACCTGTATTTTCGTTTCTAAATATCCTTTCCCATTAAGAAGAAGTAGGTAGGGCTCCTTGCAGGGAAAATACAAAATGAGCCTGGAATATTTAGGCCAGGGCTGAAATAAGGAAGTGTTCAAAGAATGGTGGAAATGCTGAAAGGATATTGAATCAAGCTTAAAGGGACTCTCACTGGCCAAAATTGAGCATCAAAATAAATGTTATAATGATCAATATGACTCATTGAACAAAATAGGAATGATTATACTTATGTAATCAAATAGGTAAATAAGGAGAGGAGAAAACTTTTCCTTACAGTAGATTGCCAACTAATAAATTAGATTCCATCTAATAAACACTGAAGGAGTATTGAAATTGGAAAATCACCATCTGACAAAAATGCTAAGAAATAATTCATTAATTCAGGCAAAAATGCTAAGATTATCACTAACTTATTAGTGTTAACAGATGATAAAACTTGTAAGTGATAAAACTTGTTGGTGAAAATGGAAAGATACTGGGACATTCACAAAGTCTGAGAACCTCACCAGAAAATAGTTAGCAATTACAAAGGGAAAATGAGTAATTTTACAGAAGATAAATAATTTTAATTGTAATTAATTAACATCACTAGTAAAGAGATAAAATTATGTGCCCCTAGATAGAATGCACTGAGAACACAGCACCACTTCGGCGAAATTTTTGTCAAAGACCTATTATCTGTATGTAATCATGCAGACATGTTGTGCAGGCCCAGTTTGAGGGGAATTATGTAAAATACCAGCTTATAATTTTAAAAGTATTAAAGCCATGAAAATAAGACTGTGAACCTATTCCAGATTAGAGGAGACTAAAGAGACATTGCAAATAAATGCAATATCATGATCCTAGATTGAATTATTTTGCTATGAAAAATATTACTGGGAAATTGATAAAACTTGGATGGGGTCTGTGGATTACATGATAGTAATTTGTCAATACTAATTTTGTGATTGTGATGATTGTATTGTGGTTATAAGAAAAAATATCTCTGTTTTTAGGGAACACATAGGAAAGAGTTCAGAAATAATGAGGCATTGTATTATTAACTTGTATCATTAGCAAGTAGTTCAGAAAAAAGACATTCTTTGTAGTATTAGAAACAGTAACTCTTCAATCAAACTATAATCAATCTAAAGTATATGATTTAGCTTAGAGTTTGGCTGTGTTAAATACAATTTGAGAAAAATATATAGAAAAGCTTAGAATGGAGATGGCTAGAAAACCAAAAAAAAAAACACTGTAAGAGATATGTTTGAAAATACTTGTAGAAAACGTTTCAGAAATGAATACTGTGACTTCTGGCTCTTGGTTATAATGTGGAGAGTTGTTGGAAACAATGCGTGCCTTTGAAATAACCAGAAAGGTGGATAAAATAATAGTCAAATATTTATTATTATTATGTTTTTGAGACAGACTCTCGCTCTGTCACCCAGGCTGGAGTGCAGTGGCAAAATCTCGGCTCACTGCAACCTTTGCCTCCTGTGTTCAAATGATTCTTCTGCCTCAGCCTCCTGAGTAACTGAGATTACAGACACACGCCACCACGCCCAGCTAATTTTTTGTATAAATAGTCAAATATTTTAAAATGATATGAGAGGTGTGTGGATTCAGAATAAAAAGAAACTCAAATTCCAGAAAGGAAGACCCCCTTCTAAGGTGAGCAGAGATGAACAGGAACTTTAAAGATATCTGCCAAGACTTTTCACAGTTAATAGAAGAACAGATTTGCCATAGACAGAGAGACTTTTTGAACTTAAACCAACCAAAGCTTCAAAATAGTCCTGACCCTGCTCAAATCTGATGTGATCTTGGTGACGAATTCCTCCATGTATCTGCTTCACAAAGAAAGGAGTGTGCTCTCTCTAGGGGAAGATAATGCTTTCTACAATGTTGGGAATATAATAAGAATTTATGTGACATATGAAGAAGCAGGAAAAAATAGGTAATAGAAGCAGACCAGATGTTGAAATTATAACATGATGACTTTAAAATAACTATTAAGATATATTAAATGAGAGAAAAAAATGGGCAAAATGAAAATATAAATAATTTTAACAGAGAAATAGAATGTATTAAAAAGAACCTAATGGAAAAGTGACTAGCAAGATGACCATATAGGACACTCAAATGATCACCACTTGCAAAAGCATCAATTTAAACAACTATCCATCCATGAAAACACCTTGACAAGAGCTAAGGAATTCAGGTGAGAGATTATAGAACCTTAGTGGAGTACACAAATAAGAAAAGATGGATTGAAGAGAGTAGGAAGAATAGTCTCGCATTACCCATATCACCCCTCCCCCAAGCCCAGGCAGTACAACATGGAGAAAGATACCCTCTGCATGGGGTAAAGAGAGTGAAATAAACACCCAGTGTCACCGCAGACCTTGTATGAGCCACTCCCCCTACCCCCGTCAACCCCAGTATCAGGCTCTCCTCCATGGCTTCAGGCTCTGGGCCAGCCCCCATGGACCTATGCTCCAGGTTTGCACCCACAGAGCCAACCATCAGTCTGTCCCCCAACATCCAGACTATAGACTTTCCCTTGTGGCCTCAGGACTCAGGCTACTCCCTGCAGACCCAGACTCCAGGCTACCACCTGCAACCCCATGCTCCAGGTTTGCCCCAATGCCATATTAGCCCCTGTGGACTCAGGCTCTATGCAAGCTCCCACAGGCTCAGGCTCCAGGTCCACTCCAATGCCAGGCTGACTCCTATAGCCCTAGCTTTCAGTGGCACCAAGTTCCAGGCCTGCTTCAGTGGATCCAGGGTATAAGGCCACTTGAGACCTCAGCACTGGACTGGTCCACATGAACCTAGTCTCCAGGATCACCCTTCCAGACCAGATTTCAACATGATACCTTCAGATCAGAACCTAGATCCACCACTATGGGCTTAGGCTTATTGCCCACTCCAGTGCTAGAATGGCCTCCATGAACCTAGGCTCCAGTCCCATGCTTGTAGACCCAGGCACCGGGCATGCCCCAGTGGACCCTGGCATAAGGCCAGCAGACTCAGGACAAGGCCAATTCCTGTGGACCCAGGCACCTGGCTCACCTCATTGTTAGGCCAGCCCTCTTGGACTCAGGCACTAAGATCTTCCACTTGATAACCCAGGCACCAACCCGGCACCAAGATCTTCCACTTGCTAACCTAGGCACCAGCCAGCTCTCCTGAGGACTCATGTAATAAGCCTGCTCATAGACCCTGCCAGGCAGCATACCGAGAATCCTTATATGTGTTAACTGGTAAAGGGCTTTACTGGCCAAAGCCAGTCTGTAAAGACTGGAAGAAGTGCATAGTTCTTCAAATGTACAAACACCAACATAAGGCCACAAGAATCATGAAAGATAATAATAACACCAGCAAAGGGAAAAAAAGAAGTGTCAGTATATGACCCTAAAGTAATGGAGATCTATGAACTGTCTGAAAAATAATTTAAAATCATTATCTTTAAAAAACTGAGTTACAAGAGAACACAGAACTAAACAAAATCAGGAAAACCCAATACATGAACAAGATGAGAATTTCAACTGAGATAAAAACCTTTAAAAAGAACCAAACACAAATTCTAGAACTGAAGAATACAATGACTGAAATAAAAAGTTGAATTGAGAGCTTCAATAGCAGACTCAATCAAGCTGAATAAATAATTGGTAATCTTGAAGACAGGTCATTTGAAATTACCTAATCAGAAAAACAAAAAGAAAAAGGAATTAAAAAGAATGCAGAAAGCCTACAGAACATATAGGACACTGGCAAGGAAATTAATTCACATGTTATGGGAGTCCTAGAAAGCAGAGCACGAGAAAAAGATGGAAAGCCTTTTTTTTTTTTTTAAAGAAATAATGATAGAAAGCTTCACAAATCTGGAGAAGTAAACATCAGATCCACAAATCCCAAAGAACAAAGGTTTAAATACAAAAAACCTTCTATGACCACATTGTAATCAAATTCTCAAGTAAAAGACAGAAAATTTTGAAAGCATTTGGAGAAAATAAACTCATCATATAGAAGGGATCCTTTGTAAGACTATTAGTGATAGTCTCAGTGGAAAACTTGCAGGCCAGGAGAGAGTGGGATGATATATTTAAAATGCTGAAAGAAAAAAATACTTGTCAACCAAAGATACTATACTCAGCAAAACTGTCCTTCAGAAATGAAGGGGAGATAAAGACTTTCCCAGAAACAGAAGCTGTGGGAGTTTATCACCAGTAGACCTGCCCTAGAAAAAGTGCTAAAGAGAATGCCTTAAATTGAAAGAGAAGGATTCTAACATCATAAAAACATATGAGAGTATAAATCTCACTATAAAAGTAAGAATATAGTCAAATTCAGAATACTTTAATACTGTATTGGTAGTGCATAAATCAGTTTTAACTCTAGTAAAAAGTTAAAAGACAATGACATTAAAAACAACTGTAAGTACAATAATTTGTTAATTAGTAAACAATATATAAAAGATGTAAATTGTGCATCAATAAAATATAATGTGAGGGAAGAAGAAGGTAAAGTGTAGAGTTTTTGTATGCAGCTAGTTCAGATTTCATCTGATTAAAATAGGCGGTTCTAATGATAATATGTTTTATGTAAGCCTTGTGGTAACCAGGAAGAAAAAGTCTGTAGTAGATACACACACACACACACACAGAGACAAAGATAAAGGGATCAAGGCATATCACTACAAAAAATCATCACATCATGAAGAAAGATAGGAAGATAGTACAATATGATATTTGGATATATATATAAATTGTGAAATGGTTAAATCAAATTAACATATCTGCCTCATATACTTGTTATGTTTTGTCATTAGAACATTTAAGGTCTACTTTTAGCAGTTCGTAAGTATAAACTACATTGTCATTAGCAATAGTTACTATGCTGTACAATAGATCTCTGGAATTTATTCGTCTTGTCTGACTGAAATGTTGTAACTCTTTGATGTTTCCTGAAGCCAAGATTCCCCACACAGATTGTGATTGCACAGTCCAAAGACAGAGTGCAGTCTCTGTGCAAAAAAAGGACTGCAGAATTTGTGCATGGGATTTCTCTCAGATCTCCCAGTATTTGTCTGCACTGTTTCATTTGCTGCAGTCTTTTATCTTTAAATAAAGACCTTATTAAGTATGCTGTATGAATTTATATGTTCCAAAGAGAATAAGTGTGTTCTATGAAGTCTGGTGGCTCTTTCAAATATCTGAACTTGAGAAACCTTTGCAATGCCTCAAACAAATACTTGATAACTTCCAAAAATAGAATTAACATAAGCAATATTCACTTACTACAGTGCAATAAACTAGATGCTGAAAACCAATCCAAAAAAGCACTGCAAGCTGGAAATGTAGCAACATACTATTTAGCAACTCTTACATCAACAGAAAAATTTAAGACAAAAATGCAGAATTTTTTAATAGCAAGTATAGGGAAACATAAAATATCAGAAATTATAAAATATAGCTAAGGCATTTTTCAGAGAAAAATTCATAGTATTAAATATACGTAAAAAGAAAAAAGAAATAACAAATACACCCAACTTAAAATAGTAGACAAAAAAAACACAAAATAAAAATCAGAAAGAAGAAAAGGTGTAGCAAAATAGAAACTAAAATATATAAAAAGCAAGAAAGAAACTAAATCATATCACCAGAGAAAGTCACCTTCACTAGAGGAAGACAGAAAGGAAATAAAGAATAAAGAGAAGACCAAAAAAAAGCCAGAAAAAAAATAACAAAATGGCAGGAATAAGTCCTTACTTATCAGTAATAACATTGAATGTAAATGGACTAAACTCTCTGATCAAAAGACATAGACTGGCTGAGTGGATGAAAATACAAGACTCATTGATCTGTTGCCTGCAAGAAACATACTTCACCTACAGAGACACACATAGACTGAAAATGAAGAGATGAAAAAAGATATTCCATGCCAATGAAAACCAAAAAAAAGCAGGAGTTGCTGTACTTATATAAGACAAGATAGATTTCAAGACAAAAACTAGAAGAGGCAAAGAAGAAGTGATATTATTATATCACTACATAATGATAAAGAGATCAAGTCTGCAAGAGGCTATAATAATTTTAAATATGTATACACCGAACACTGGAGCACTCAGATATATAAAGGAAATATTATTAGAGTTAAAAAGAGAGATAGACTTCAATACAATAGTAACTGCAGACTTTAACACCCCACTTTCAGCACTGGACAGATCTCCCAGATAGAAAATCAACAAAGAAACATAAGACTTAATATGCACTACAGACCAACGAATCTAGTAAATATTAACAGAACACTTCATCCAAGAGTTGCAGAATACACATTGATCTTCTCAGCACATGGATCATTCTCATCATATGTTAGGTTCCAAAACAAGCCATAAAACATTTTTAAAAAATGAAATAATGGCAAGCATCTTCTCTGACCATAATGGAATAAAACTAGAAATCAGTAAGAAGAGGAACATTGGAAACTATACAAATACATGGAAATTAAACAATATGCTCCTGAATTGCACCTAAATGACCAGTGGGTCAATGAAGAAATTAAGAAGAAAATTGAAAAATTTCTTGAGACAAATAGAATGGAAATACAATATACCAAAACCTATGGGATATAGCAAAAGCAGTACTAAGACAGAAGTTTATAGCTTTAAGTGTCTACCTTTAAAAAACCTTCAAATGAACAAACTAACAATGCATCTTAAAAGAATTAGAAAGACAAGAGCAAACCAAACCCAAAATTAGCAGAAGAGAAATAATAAAGACCAGAGTAGAAATAAATGAAATTGAAATTAAAAAATACAAAGGATTCATGAAACAAAAAGTTGGTTTTTTTGAAAAGTTAAACAAAATTGACAAGCCTTTAGTCAGACTAAGAAAAAAGAGAGAAGATTCAAATAAATAAAATTGGAAATGAAAAAGAAGACATTAGAACTGACACTGCAGAGAATGAAAGGATCATCAGTGGCTAATAGGAGGAACTATATACCAATAAATTGGAAACTCTAGAAGAAATGGACAAATTCCTAGATACATACAACCAACCAAATTGAATCAGAAGAAATCCAAAACCTGAACAGACCAATAAGTAATGAAATCAACATTTTTACTACTGAATTCTACCAAACATTTAAAGAACTAATACCAATCCTACTCAAACTATTCCAAAAAATAGTGGAGGAGGGAATACATCCAAACTCATTCTATGAGGCCAGTATTATCCTGATACCAAACCAGAGAAAGACATATCAGAAAAACAAAACTACTGGCTCACATATCTGATGAATATTTATAAAAAAAAACTTCAAGAAAATGCTAGCAAACTGAATTCAACAACACATTAAAATATCATTGATCATGACTGATATGGTTTGGCTGTGTCTCCACCGAAATCTTATCTTGAATTGTAGTTCCCATAATCACCACGTGTTGTGGGAGGTACCCAGTGGGAGGTAACTGAATCATGGGGGCAGTTACCTCCATGCTGTTCTCATGATAGTGAGTTATCCTGAGGTCTGATGGTTTTATAAGGGGCTTTTTCCCCGCTTCAGTCTGCACTTTTCCTTGTTGCCATCACACAAAGAAGGAGAAGAAGAACCTGTTTGCTTCCCCTTCTGCCATGATTGTAAGTTTCCTGAGGCTGATCAGCCCTGCAGAACTGTGAGTCAATTAAATCTCTTTCCTTTGTAAATTACCCAGTCTCAGGTATGTCTTTATTAGCAGCATGAGAACAGACTAACATAGTAAATTGGTGCCAGGTAGTGAGGCATTGCTGTAAAGATACCCAAAAATGTGGAAGCGACTTTGGAATTGGGTAACAGGCAGAGTTTAGAACAGTTTGGAGGGCTCAGAAGAAGGCAGGAAAATGTGGTAAAGTTTGGAACTTCCTAGAGACTTGGAGGGCTCAGAAGGCAGGAAGATGTGGGAAAGTTTGGAACTTCCTAGAGACTTGTTAAATGGCTTTGATCAAAATGCTGATAGGGATATGGACAATAAAGTCCAGGCTGAAGTAGTCTCAGATGGAGATGAGAAACTTGTGGGAACTGGAGTAAAAGTCACTCTTGCTATACAAAGAGACTGGCAGCATTGTGCCTCTGCCCTAGAGATCTGTGGAACTTGGAAGTTCAGAGAGATGATTTAGGGCATCTGGCTGAAGAAATTCCTAAGTGGCAAAGCATTCAAGAGGAAGCAGAGCATAAAAGTTTGGAAAATTGGCAACCTGATGATGTGATTAAAAAAAAATCCTGGGGAGAAATTCAATCTGGCTGCATAAATTTGCATAAGTAATGAGAAACCAAAAGGTAATCTCCAAGACAAAGGGAAAAATGTCTCTAGGGCATGTAAGAACCCTTCATGGCAGCCCCTCCCATCACAGGCCCAGAGGCTTAGGCGGGAAAAGTAGTTTCCTGGGGCGGGTCTAAGGACCCCTGCTGTGTGCACTGCATCCCAGCTGCTCCAGTTGTGGCTAAAGGGGACAAGTTACAGCTCGGGCCATGGCTTCAGAGGGTTCAAGCCCTAAGCCTTGGTAGCTTCCACGTGGTGTTGGTCTGGCAGGTGCACAGAAGACAAGAATTGAGGTTTGGGATCCTCTGCCTAGATTTCAGAGAAGATACGGAAATGCATGATGTCCAGGCAGAGGTGTATTTCAGGGGTGGAACCCTCATGGAGAACCTCTGCTAGGGCAGTGCAGAGGGGAAATATGGAGTTGGAGCCACAACACAGAGTCCCTACTGGGGCACTGCCTAATAGAGCTGTGAGAAGAAGGCCACCATCCTCCACACTCCAGAATGGTAGATCCACTGACAACTTGCACCGGTGCCTGGAAAAGCCATAGACACTCAACACCAGCTTGTGAAAGCAGCTGGGAGGGGGGCTGTACCCTGCAAAGCCACAGGGTCAGAGCTGCCTAAGGCCTTGGGAGACATGGAGTCAAAGGAGATTGTTTTGGAACTTTAAGGTTTAATGCCTGCCCTATTGGCTTTCAGACTTGCATGGGTCCTGTAGCCACTGTGTTTGGCCAGTTTCTCCCAAATAATAGTGGTTTTGAGGAAACTCAAAGAAATTCAAGATAACAGAGAGAAGAAATTCAAAATTCTATTAGACATCTTTAACAAAGAGACAGAAATAATTTAAAAATCAATTAGAAGTTCTAGAGTTGAAAAATGCAATGGACATTTTAAAGAATGCATCAGAGTCTCTTAATAGCAGAATTGATCAAACAGAAGAAAGAATTAGTAATCTTGAAGACAAGCTATTTGAAAATTCACAGTCAGAGGGGACAAAAGAAGAAAAGAATAAAAAAGAAGGATTTCTCCATGATCTCCTATACCTTCTTTAAAGTCAGAATAGGTATCTTAGTTATTGACAGTTTTCAGGTTTTTTTCTCCCTTGGTGATGATATGTTATTCCATCAGTGAAAAAGTATTTTTCTCTAAGGAGTAAGAAAGATACCCTGGTAATACATTATCATTAATCATTAAACAGTAACAGTCTTGGCACTTTTCTTAAAACCACCCATCTATTATAACCAGAAAGATTATCTTAGATTGTCCTTCACATTATACTTTACTTACTGCCTTGTAAGAATAAGAGTTGCTGACTGTGTTTATTTGCTATCCTCCATATTCTCCATTGCACCATTGGCGTATAATGTTAAAAAGAATTTCATTGAATATTATTTGAAGTATTACAAAAGGCAGCTTGCTTTTTAATCTATGCATCTTTGGGGGTTTTGAAAAAGAAACTGAATTATTTGATGTAAAAAGGAGCTGTTAAAAGAGGTGGAAACTCTGCCCCTGTGTATATATGTTTTTTAGCAATAAAGCAGCATGGGCTGAGAATGCAAAAAAAAAAAAAAAAAAAAAAATGAAGCATGCCTATAAGATGTAGAAGACAACCTCAAAAGGGCAAATCTAAGAGTTATTGACCTTAAAGAGGAGGTAGAAAAAGAGACAGTGATAGAAAGTTTATTCAAATGGATAATATCAGAGAACTTCCCAAACCTAGAGAAAGATATTAATATTGAAGTACAAGAAGGTGATAGAACACTAAGTGGATTTAACCCAAATTCCCAAAGGCCAAGGATAAAGCATGGATCTTAAAAGCAGCAAGAGAAAAGAAAGAAATCACATACAATGGAGCTCCAATATGTCTGGATGCAGATTTTTTAGTGATGACTTTACAGACCAGGACAGAGTCCTGGAGCATGAAATATATAAAGCAAATGTTATTAGAGCTAAAGAGAAATATCTCAATAAAATCATAGCTGAATACTTCAACATCCCTCTTTCAGCATTGGACAGATCATCAAAACAGAAAATCAACAAAGAAACATCAGACTTTATCTGCACTATAGAACAAATGTACCTAGTAGATATTTACAAAACATATCATCCAACAGGTGCAGAATACACATTCTTCTCCTCAGCACATGAATCATTCTCAAGGATATGTCCTATTGTAGGTCACAAAACAAGTCTTAAAACATTCAAAAAAGTTGAAATAATGCCAAACATCGTCGCTGAGCAAAAAGGAATAAAACTAGAAATCAATAACAGGAGGAATTTTGAAAACTATACAAACACATGGAAATTAAACAATATACTCCCAAATGACCAGTGGATCAATGAAAAAATTGAGAAATTGAGAAATGTCTTGAAACAAATGATAATAGAAAGATAACATACCAAAACCTATGGAATACAGTGAAAGCAGTACTAAGAGGTGAACTTACAGCTATAAGTGTCTGCATCAAAAAAGAAAAAAACTTCAAATAAATGACCTAATGATGCATCTTAAAGAACTAGAAAAGCAAGAGCAAACCAAACTCAAAATTAGTAGATGAAAAGAAATAATGATCAGAGCAGAAATAAATGAATTTGAAATGATAGAAAACAATACAAGAGATCAATGAAACCAAAAGTTGGTTTCTTAAAAAAGATAAACAAAATTGACAAACCTTTATCCAGACTAAGAAAAAAAGAGGGAAGACCCAAATACTTAAAACTAGAGATGAAAAAGGAGACATTACAACTGATACCAGAGAAATTCCAAGGATCATTAGTAGGTACTATGAGCAATTATATGCCAATAAACTGGAAAATCTAGAGAAAATGAATGAATTCCTAAGCACATACAACCTGCAAAGATTCAAACATGAAGAAATTCAAAACCTGAAGAGACCAGTAAAAAGTAACAAGACCAAAACAGTAATTAAGAGTCACTCAGTTAAAAAAAGCCCAGGACCTGATGGTGGTACTGCTGAGATCTACTAAACATTTAAAGAATAACTAATGTCAATTCTACTCAAACTATTCTGAGAAATAGGAGAAGGGAATGCTTTCAAACTTATTCTATGAAGCCAGTATTACCCGATACCAGAACCAGACAAAGACACATCAAAAAAAGAAAACTGCGGGTAAATATCACTGATGAATATTGGTGCAAATATCCCAAACAAAATACCAGCAAACCTAAGTCAACAATACATTAAAAGGATCATTCATCATGACCAAGTGGGATTTATCCTAGAGAGGCAAGGATGGTTCAACATATGCAAATCAATCAGTGTGATACACCATATCCACAGAATGAAGGACAAAAAAATATGATATTTTCAACTGATGCTAAAAAGCATCTAATAAAGTTCAACATCCCTTCATGTTCAAAGCCCTCAAAAAACTGTGTACAGAATGAAAATAACATAATAAAAACCATATATGACAGACCCACAGCTAATATCATAAAAAATAAAAAATAAAACAGAAGGTCTTTCCTCTTAGATCTAGAATGCCCATTTTCACCTCTGTTATTCAACACAGTACTGGAATTTCTAGCTAGCGCAGTCAGACAAGAGAAGAAAATAAAGGGCATCCAAATTGGAAAGGAAGAATTCAAATTGTCCTTGTTTGCAGATGATATGATCTTATAGTAAGAAAAACCTAAAGACTCCACTGAAAAATAGAACTGATAAACACACTCAATAAAGTTGCAGAATACAAAATCCACATTCAAAAATTAGTAACATTTATGTATGCCAATAGCAAACATTCTGAGAAAGGAACCAAGAAAGAAATCCAATTTATAATAGCCACAGAAAAAAATTAAATACTTAGGTATGAACTTAACCAAAGAAGTGAAATATCTCTACAACAAAAACTATAAAACACTGATGAAAGAAATTGAAGAAGATATTAAAAAATTAAATTATATTTCATGTTCATGAATTATAAGAATCAATAGTGTTAAAATGTCCATACTACCCAAAACATTCTACAGATTCAATGCAATTTTTATCAAAATACCAATGACATTCTTTACCAAAATAGAAAAACAATACTAAAATTTACATGGAATCACAGAAGACCCAGAATATCCAAAGGTATTCTGAACAAAAAGAACAAAACTGGAGGAATCACATTACCTGACTTCAAATTATAGTACAGAGCTATACTCACCAAAACAGCATGGTACTGGCATAAAAACAGACACATAGACCTATAACAGAATAGAACAGAATACATAGAACACATAGAACAGAATAGAGAATTCAGAAACAAATCCACACACATACAGCAAACTTATTTTTGACAAAGGTGCCAAGAACATACACTGGGGAAAAGACAGACTCTTCAACAAATGGCGCTGGGAAAACTGGATATCCATATGCAAAAGAATGAAACTTGACCACTACCTCTCACCATATACACAAATCAAATCAAAATGGATTAAAAACTTTAACCATTAAAAGAATGTAAGAAAACTTTTAGGAAACTCTCCAGGACATTGTTCCGGGCAAAAATGTCTTAAGCAATACCACATAAGCACAGATAATCAAAGGAAAAATGGACAAATGGGATAACATCAATGTAAACTTCTGCATAGCAAAGGAAACAGTTAACAAAGTGAAGTGACAACCCACAGAATAGGAGAAAATATTTGCAAATTACCCACCTGACAAGAGAATAATGACCAGGATATATACAGAGCTCAAACAACTTTATAGGAAGAAATCTAATAATCCAGTCAAAAATGGGCAAAAGATTTGAATAGACATTTCTCAGAAGAAGACATGCAAATGGAAAACAGACATATGAAAGTGTTCTGAACATCATTGATCATCAGAGAAATGCAAACCAAAACTACAATGAGATACCTTATCCCAGTTAAAATGGCTTATATCCAAAAGACAGACAATCACAAATGCTGGCATGGGTGTGGAGAAAAGGGAACCCTCACACACTGTTGATGGGAATGTAAATTAGTACAACCACTATGGAGAACAGTTTGGAGGTTTCTCAAGAAACTAAAAATAGAGCCACCGTATGATCCAGCAGTCCCACTGCTGGGTATATACTTAAAAGAGAGAAAATCAGCACATTGAAGAGATATCTGCACTCTGTTGCAGCACTCTTCCCAATAGCCAAAATTTGGAAGCAAGCTAATTTTCCACCAATAGATAAATGGATAGAGAAAATGCGGTACATATACACAAGCGAGTACTATTTAGCCATAAAAAAAGTGAGATCCATTCATTTGCAACAATGACAACAATGAATGGAACTGGAGGTCATTATGTTAAGTCAAATAAGTCAGGCACAGAAAGACAAACATCACATGTTCTCACTTATTTGTGGGATCTAAAAATCAAAACAGTTGAATTCATCATGAACATAGAGATTAGAAGGATGGTGACTAGAGGTTTGGAATGATAGTGGGGGACTGGAGGGGAGGTTGTGATGGTTATTGGGTACAAAAAAATAAAAAGAATGAATGATATTTAGTATTTGATAGCACAACAGGCAACTATAGTTAATAATAACTTAATTTTGCATTTAAAAATAACTGAAAGAATATAATTGGCAGGGCGCAGTGGCTCACGCCTGTAATCCCAGCACTTTGGGAGGCCGAGGTGGGCGGATCACAAGGTCAGGAGATCGAGACCATCCTGGCTAACATGGTGAAACCCCGTCTCTACTAAAAATAGAAAAATTAGCCAGGCGTGATGGCAGACGCCTGTAGTCCCAGCTACTCGGGAGGCTGAGGCAGAAGAATGGCGTGAACCCGGGAGGCGGAGCTTGCAGTGAGCCCAGATCGCGCCACTGCACTCTAGCCTCGCGATAGAGACAGACTCCGCCCATCTCAAAGAAAAAAAAAAAGAATATAATTAAATGGTTTTTTAAATTGTTTGTAACACAAAGGATAAATGACATTCTCCATGATGTGATTATTGTGCTTTGCATGCCTTTGTCAGAATATCTCAGGTACCCCATAAATACGTACACCAACTATGTACCTACAAAAATTAAAAATTTAAAAATTAAAACAGTATTATGGTGGGTAAAAGAAACCAGGTTTAAGTGAATAGTTTCTGTGTGATTTCATTTATAATAAGTTCCAGAACAGTTACAATTATTTCATGAATATAGAAGTGCAATGCTAATTGCCAATCCCAAGCAAGGACTCCCACTTCCTGGAGAATAACAGTAATCAGCACTCTGCCCATCACCAGAAACAGGAGTCCCACTATATCTTGGGCTACTATTTAGGTCCATCACGCTTTAGTTACCTATTTGTCTGAGTTCAATGAGACAGAACACACCAACACACAACAAGTTATGTGAAGTCGGTTTATTACTTAAAGATGGGCAGCAAGGGACAGACAAATCTCTTTGACCCAGGCCCCCAAGTCTCAAGAAAGCTGTACAGGGTAGATGGTATCTTGACTATGTTTGACTCCCTTTGATGACGGATCCTGAAAGGCAGCCCACCCTAGGTTATATGCCTCAGGTGCCATCTGACGCATGGGGCAAAGCTTCGAAGGACCTCCTGCCTCTCTACAGGGAGAGGTTGTGTGGCAATGGGGAGGTGATAATGGAGGTGGGAGGTGATAGTAAAGGTGAATGGCAAAGGGGGAAAGGAAGAGAGAAGGTTTAGGAAAGGAAGGGGAAGAAATGAGAGTTCTGATGTACCTTGAATGTACATCTCGATAGGAGTAGCAGTGGCTGTGTGAGAGCTCGGTGAATGTCACAGAGGCCGGGAAGATCCTTGTTTGCTATCTCCTAATAACAGTGTAAGGATGTAGTTTGTAAATGCCAAGAAAATCACAATGGTTGAGTTTGAAGTGGGCACTGCCTGCTGGTAGAAATAACTTGGTGTCCGTAGAGAAAAATCTTCAGTATCCATCATCCATTTAATTGCTATTTCTGCTTAGTCATTCTCCGGATACATGGGAATTTTAGATAAAAATATTGTGAATTTTTAGCTGAAGGCTTTCTAGTGTACCTGAACTAGTTAAGCAAATTAAGATTCTAGAATGTTCCTGCTTTAAATTTTACTGTACAGGAACTCTTGGGGCAGGTTTCTTGGAATATGGCCATGCCAATAATCCCAATAATAGAAGAAATCCATTGTTCAGAACCACTATTCTCTGACTGAGGGAGAAGCCAAGCTGAAGACACCAGAAAGGATCACACTAGTTTAGTCTTCTTAGGTTAATGCGAGGGCAGGGGTATTGTCAGGACAGACACGGAAGGGAAGCAAGGGCCAGCAGAGTGTGAAGGATGAGCAACATTGGGGACATTCCAAAGCGAGACCTCAGGAGGGCAAATATCTTAGAGTTTAAAGTTACAGTAATTGTAGTTGCAGCATGTATGAACATAAGTCCGATTCCTGAGATCAAATGTCATGTCTCTGCAGAATTTCTGACACACCATGTATGATATCTGGAGAGTATTGCCTAAAATAGGAAAGAACCACAGAAAATAAGCATTTGATTTAAGCTCTCCAAGGTGAGTCAAACCCAGCACTAGTTCTGTTGGTGAAAATTTAATTAGGGTAGGTTGAGGAATGGCTTCCCAGCTTATACTCCCTAAAAGCACCCAGGCAGGGAGATACAGAGGCCACTGATCAGCTGCAGGGCTTGTTTGCCTGAGGTCCCTGAAAATCCTCAACTCTATGTAGCTGCTTCATTTTTCTCTCTTGCTAGAAGATTAGCAACTAGTGATTTAGTGTCTTCAAAGTCAAAATCTGTTTAGTCATTAACCAGACTGTCTTCATCCTCTCCTTCCACCACTCTTCTCAGCCTTTGGTAACCACCACTCTAGTCTCTACCTCCATGACATTAACTTATTCTTTAGCTCCTATACATGATTAAGAACATGGGATATTTGTCTTTCTGGGCCTGGCTTATTTCATTTAATATAATGACCTCCAGGCTCACCTCTGTTTCTGCAAAGGACAGAATTTCATTTATTTTTATGGTTGAATAATATTCTATTGTGTGTATATACCATATTTTCTTTATTGTATATTTCAAAATAGCTAGAAGAGAACATATAGAATGTTCTCAATACAAAGAAATGATAAATGTTTGAGGTGATGAATATCCAGTTACCCTGATTTGATCATTACACATTGAAGGCTTGTATGAAAAATCACATATACTCATAAATATGAACAATTGTTATGTGTCGATTATCAAAAAAAAATCTGTTTGGTCAGTTTTCTTGGAAATATAGAATCCCCAAGTTCTCCCTCCTGTCTCATTGACCCAAATTATCTTCTGTCTGTATGCACAGGGACCTGTGCTACCACCTGTGCTCAGGGGCATTCTGCATTGGTTCTTCTCTTGAGATGTGAAATTGCTGAAGCACTATCCTAAGAATTCTAAGAATCTTACAACACCTTCCCTGACCCTCTAACTTACGCTGGTAAATCCTTAAGAGCATGCATGCCTCGCCCTTCTGAGCAGTACAGACACCAAAGCCTCTTCTACAGCGGTCTGTCCGTGTGCGAAGGTGGCATGTTATGCACTGAAGTGATGTCACTGCTGGAGAGAGCATAGAGATGGTGTGAGACTAGGCAAAAGCAGGGACTTGGGATGGAGTTAGAAATATTCAGATGGAGGTGGGGAATGAATAGTGGAGGGGGCAGGCAGATGAAGAGCTACTGGTTGGGGTATTTAGGCGGTAAACAGTTGGAGCTCTTATCAACTCCTCATTTCAGAGTAATAAAAAGAAAATGTCACCAAAGGATTCTGACCCCACCTTCAGCCCTTTTAACCTGGATAACTTTAAGCAAAAAGTTAGCCTCCATGTCATTGACTTCTCTAGCTTAAAAATGGTGCTATGAATGCTAGCCTGGCCTACTAGAGATATGGGTGTGATAAGGAGGGTGAGGGCTTTAAAACATTTCACCAAAGCTATTGTTACTATTGTTAGGTGATATATTCTGTTCTTTTGAGCTTCAATCTGAATCTACATAAAGGCATCATCAATAATAGTACCATAAGTGACACTTTTATGAGGTTCTGCGGGGTGAGCTATTCAAAATACAGGTTTAATTTAAAAAAATTTCCCTAGTGCACCTGAATGAGAAAGGAAAGTAGCAATGATTGAGCATCCCATTTGGGCCATGTTCTCTCAAGTTGCATCCGATTTAATCCTCGCAAAAGCCTTGTAAGCAGGCACCATTGTCCCCATTTCTTGAATGAGCAACCAAAGGTACAGAGATTTTGAGACCGTGACTACAAACCATGAAAAAAATCTGTCTGATTCCAGAGCATTCAGTACTTCCTCTCATAGAATTACTTGTTGTAATATAAAGTCTCTGAAAAGGGTATCAAAAGCCATTGTTCACTCCTAAAATAAACTGAAAATTATTCATTATAGACTGACCAGCTCCATCAACAAATGGGATATAGGTTTACAAATAAAAAGGATGTCCTAAGGAAAATCTTGCCAGGGCTTGGGATTATGGGGAATGGTAGGGACAGAGGGAGAAAATGAGTTAAAAGGGCAGGACAGAGGCCTGCCCATCTGGAGGAGAATGGCAGGAGGCTGAAAAGGATGGAAGAGTTGTCAGGGAAGGCAGAGGAGCATTCTGGAGGCTGGCTTCCCCTGGCTCATAAAAGTGGCCAAAGCTCAGCCCTGCATGGATGCATGCTACACATGTAGTTTCCCTGGAGCTCCCTAGATCCTGTCTCTCAAGTATACCCCTCAGGTCCAGGACTCACCCACAATGAGGCAGTAAAGGAGGAAGAGGAACAAGAAGTGTTTGTTCATCCTGACCCGGAAATCCCTTGTGCAGGAAAAAGAAGCTAGGGGCTGCAAGCACAGGTCTTTAGGCTCCAGAGAGAAAACTTTCTTCTTCGTCAGAGGCTAGTGATTATTCATGCCTAGGGAGAGCCTGTCACACAAGGTTTCCTCTTGGAGCTCAAGTTCATTGGCTGTCCTCCTCAAGGCAGAGAAAAAAGAAAATTAATAAATGTTGAGGTTTGCATGGAGCTAACCTTTTTAAAAACATATACTTTTGATATTATTATTCTTATCCCAATTTCAAGAGGAGGAAACTGAGGCTTGTTGAGGTTCCAGAAGCTTACCCCAGGTCACATATCCAGTGAGATAGTGCTGTTACTCAAAGTATGACTTCCTAATTCTAGAGTCCACGTTTCACCACCGTGATTCAATGCCTCTCTGAGATTTATTCATACATTCAACAAATATTTGTTGAGAAATTGTATATACAACACAGTTACATGAGTAAGACCAAGCAATGAATAAGGCAGACAAGCTCACCTGGCTCCTCACATTATGGGTAAGAAACCAGAGAGTGAGAGAGGAAAAGATATATAGTCTGTGACCAAGCTTGACCTTCCACTAGAACGTTTGATTCTCAGTCGAGAACTCTTCTACTTACAAGAAATCTGTCCTTCAAGGCCAGCGACTGTTTACTTTGTAGAGCCATTAAATCCTCTCTAGAATTATTCCATGACTTGATCTTTAGCAAATTTATATTTTGAATCTGGCTAGTTTTTTGTTCATGATTTAGATGTCTATCTTTATGAAAGCTAACTCAGTTAAGATTCACTATGGGTAAAGTACTAGAAAACCATGACCACTCCTGGCATTCTAAGTCTCCTAAACCACCAGCCCAATGGCTGATGGTGCTTGGTTAGAGATACTAGAAGTATTCCATATTAAACTGATTTAACAACATGTTCTTTAGTTGTAGGAATGATATGATCATTGAAATATATTGAGTCTGACATTTTTTAGACATCAGATGAAGATTGGGTAAAATATGATCTTATGTTAAGTGTCACAAAATTTACAATGTTTCTTCTCTATGAACAAACAGAATACGGAGCCCACCTTTGCCTAAGAAGAGAGCAAGAAGTCTTAGACACTTACACATGAGGGAGCTGGTTCCTTTGAAATAATAGATTCCAGAATGGAGAGTAAGGTTGTGAGGCCTTTGGATCTAGTTTTCTACTCTGCCATATTTTAGAAGAGGGTGTTGAACACTGGATAGCATTTTTGAGAACATTCCCAGGCTTATCAAGAAGACAAACTTCTGAGCCTTTGCAGCCTGGACTTACCAAGTTATTAGGGTATTTCATTTGTCACTTGTTTCCTCTGCTTTATCCTCTATTTAAAAATTACCTGCTGGGTATAATGTTCACTCTTCAGGTGATGGGTGCACTAGATGCCCAAACTTTACCATTTGACTATCTGTCCACATAATAAGCCTATGTATGCACTCCCTGAATCTATAAAAATAAATATAAAACATAAGAAAATAGAGAGAGGGAGCAGCACTAGAATCAGAGCAAAAGAAGCAGACATTCTAGGTTAAACTGTGGTGGAGTTTTTTTCTTCTTCCTTCAAGGTTCTCCTTGGCAGATGCCTTCTGAAAGGCCAATTGTGTTTTGAATCTCCATTGTACTGATTATTTCCAGTTAAGATTGTAGAATTTTGCAACTCTACCCAAATGTTGGAGTCCTCTGACCTACTTCTCAGCCTCCCACAGTACCTCATCCATCACATTTTCTCTTGAAAATAATTTCTTTCTTCATTTATCATGGGGTAGGAGAGAAGAAGGTGTTAGAAACTATTAATAGAGGTAGTGTGGCATAATGGAAATAGCATTTTCCTGAGAGTCTGGAGACCTGTGCCTGATCACTAGATAACTCATTATGTCTTCAGCAAATCGTTTATCTGTAATATCAGATTTTAATCATTTTAAGGGCCCTTTAGAACTTTAACATTCTGTGGTTCCACGACATACGTCATGAAAATGGGTAGCAGGTTCTGTTATTCTGAAGTTCCTAGCACTCTGCTTGGCACATGATACCACTACCTGTGATGCCACTGTCATTGGCCACAGCACCCAAATTGATGTGCCCCCATGCCTAGAAAGCCCTCCACTCTGAATAGATGCTCTTTGTTCTGCTCTGAGGAGGAGGAACGAGAACATCGTGTCTTCATGTTCATGGTCTTTCTTGGCTCTCTTGGCTCCAGGGTGGGTGACTGAGATCTTGGTGATAGCACAGATGAGCAGTCCCGTGAACTTGTCTTTCTAAGTGCTGCCTTTTATTTTAGGGAAATGGACTTTGGCATAGAGTCAGGGATCAGGCTGCTTTGTTCCTGGGTTCCCAGGGGCAGCATTGGTTTTTCAGAGTGTATACGAGGAACAGAGCAGGAGATAATGGCCCTTTAAAAATATCTAGTGGAGGAGTGCCTACTTGCAGGGCCCAGGAAAAACACCTAGAGTATACATCCAGCCCTTCCTACCTCCAGTTGCTGGTGGAGAGTGAGGTGAAGGAAAAAGAAACAAAACCAACATGTATTGAATGCTTACTATGTGCCATGCACAAGGCTGGGCCCTTCTATGTAGATTGTCTCATGGAGCCCTGGTGACAACATGGTGGTGAAGTGTATATCAAGGAGCAAAGCTGGGGTTCAAGCCTAGATCAGTGTCACAAAAATTCACGTTTCATTCACCACATTGCTCTTAATATGATGCTTCAGATGAAAAATCACAATGAATAATAAAAAGTTGCAAAAAGCTCTTTCAGAACATTTATGGACTGATTTTATACTTTCAAGTATCAGATTTTTGTTAGCTCCTTACCTCCATTCCTGAGCAAGGTTTACCATTATGGGTTTAGTGTCCTCTTAGTTTCATGGAGTCCATGAACTCTAATAGATAAATGTATATTTTTATTTTTTATTAACTTCTAATTGATGTGAATAATTTCTTTTTCTACTGAATATTGTCAACCAACTATGAGTATTAGCAGTGCCTGAGACTTTGTTACCAACAGAAATAAGTGAAAGATCAGGAATTAAATGATTTCATTTGCATCTTTGAACTTGTTAGGACACAGAGATCATCCTGGTTTTATTTCTGTGAAAACATTCTTGTGAATAGAAGTGTGAGGCCAGATAAAATGAAAGAGCATCTTATTTCTGCATGTGCTAGAAATGCATCTCAGGATGTGGGTTATTTTCCTGATAAGAAAGCTCGATTTGAAAAAAAAAATGGCACATTTTGAAATACAGTTTTCCTGTTTTACAAAACCCTTTTCTTGTGGCTTCTTATACATTTTACTAGCTTGCTAAATGAAAGATGCTCCACGTGATCAGCAAATTCTAGTAATCTATCTTAGAAATGGTTTGTGGACTGCAACAAAGGGACAATTTATTATTCACTTTCCTTCTCAAATAGAATAGTTGATTTTTTAAATTGTACTTTAAGTTCTAGGGTACATGTGCACAACATGCAGATTTGTTACATATGTATACATGTGCCATGTATACATGTTGGTGTGCTGCACCCATTAACTCGTCATTTACATTAGGTATATCTCCTAATGCTCTCCCTCCCCCCTCTCCCCACCCCACAACAGGCCCTGGTGTGTGATGTTCCCCACTCTGTGTCCAAGTGTTCTCATTGTTCAATTCCCACCTATGAGTGAGAACATACGGTGTTTGATTTTCTGTCCTTGCGATAGTTTGCTGAGAATGATGGTTTCCAGCTTCATCCACGTCCCTACAAAGGACATGAACTCATCCTTTTTTATGGCTGCATAGTATTCCATGGTGTATATGTGCCACATTTTCTTAATCCAGTCTATCATTGTTGGACATTTGGGTTGGTTCCAAGTCTTTGCTATTGTAAATAGTGCCGCAGTAAACATACGTGTGCATGTGTCTTTATAGCAGCATGATTTATAATCCTTTGGGTATATACCCAGTAATGGGATGGCTGGGTCAAATGGTATTTCTAGTTCTAGATCCTTGAGGAATCTCCACATTGTCTTCCACAATGGTTGAACTAGTTTACAGTCCCACCAACAGTGTAAAAGTGTTCCTATTTCTCCACATCCTCTCCAGCACCTGTTGTTTCCTGACTTTTTAATGATTGCCATTCTAACTGGGGTGAGATGGTATCTCATTGTGTTTTTGATTTGCATTTCTCTGATGGCCAGTGATGATGAGCATTTTTTCATGTGTCTGTTGGCTGCATAAATGTCTTCTTTTGAGAAGTGTCTGTTCATATCCTTCACCCACTTTTTGATGGGGTTGTTTGTTTTTTTCTTGTAAATTTGTTTGAGTTCTTTGTAGATTCTTTGTCAGATGAGTAGATTGCAAAAATTTTCTCCCATTCTGTAGGTTGCCTGTTCACTCTGATGATAGTTTCTTTTGCTGTGCAGAAGCTCTTTAGTTTAATTAGATCCCATTTGTCAATTTTGGCTTTTGTTTTCATTGCTTTTGGTGTTTTAGTCATGAAGTCCTTGCCCATGCCTATGTCCTGAATGGTATTGCCTCGGTTTTCTTCTAGGGCTTTTATAGTTTTAGGTCTAACATTTAAGTCTTCAATCCATCTTGAATTAATTTTTGTATAAGGTGTAAGGAAGGGATCCAGTTTCAGCTTTCTACATATGGCTAGCCAGTTTTCCCAGCACCATTTATTAAATAGGGAATCCTTTCTCCATTTCTTGTTTTTGTCAGGTTTGTCAAAGATTAGATGGTTGTAGATGTGTGATATTATTTCTGAGGGCTCTGTTTTGTTCCATTGGTTTATATCTCTGTTTTGGTACCAGCACCATGCTGTTTTGGTTACTGTAGCCTTGTAATATAGTTTGAAGTCAGGTAGTGTGATGCCTCCAGCTTTGTTCTTTTGGCTTAGGATTGTCTTGGCAATGAGGGCTCTTTTTTGGTTCCATATGAACTTTAAAGTAGTTTTTTCCAATTCTGTGAAGAAAGTCATTGGTAGCTTGATAGGGATGGCATTGAATCTATAAATTACCTTGGGCAGTATGGCCATTTTCACGATATTGATTCTTCCTACCCATGAGCATGGAATGTTCTTCCATTTGTTTGTGTCCTCTTTTATTTTGTTGAGCAGTGGTTTGTAGTTCTCCTTGAAGGGGTCCTTCACATCCCTTGTCAGTTGGATTCCTAGGTATTTTATTCTCTTTGAAGCAATTGTGAATGGGAGTTCACTCATGATTTGGCTCTCTGTCTGTTTTTGGTGTATAGGAATGCTTGTGATTTTTGCACGTTGATTTTGTATCCTGAGACTTTGCTGAAGTTGCTTATCAGTTTAAAGAGATTTTGGGCTGAGATGACTGGGTTTTCTAAATATACAATCATGTCATCTGCAAACAGGGACAATTTGACTTCCTCTTTTCCTAATTGAATACCCTTTATTTCTTTTTCCTGCCTGATTGCCCTGGCCAGAACTTCCAACACTATGTTGAATAGGAGTGGTGAGAGAGGGCATCCTTGTCTTGTGCCAGTTTTCAAAGGAAATGCTTCCAGTTTTTGCCCATTCAGTATGATATTGGCTGTGAGTTTGTCATAAATAGCTCTTATTATTTTGAGGTACATCCCATCAATACCTAGTTGATTGAGAGTTTTTAGCATGAAGGGCTGTTGAATTTTGTCAAAGGCCTTTTTTGCATCTATTGAGATAATCATGTGGTTTTTGTCTTTGGTGCTGTTTATATGCTGGATTACATTTATTGATTTGCATATGTTGAACCAGCCTTGCATCCCAGGGATGAAGCCAACTTGATAGTGGTGGATAAGCTTTTTGATGTGCTGCTGGATTCGGTTTGCCAGTATTTTATTGAGGATTTTTGCATTGATGTTCCTCAGGGACAGTGGTCTAAAATTCTCTTTTTTGTTGTTGTGTCTCTGCCAGGCTTTGGTATCAGGATGATGCTGGCCTCATAAAATGAGTTAGGGAGTATTCCCTCTTTTTCTATTGATTGGAATAGTTTCAGAAGGAATGGCACTAGCTCCTCTTTGTACCTCTGGTAGAATTCAGCTGTGAATCCGTCTGGTTCCGGACTTTTTTTGGTTGGTAGGCTATTAATTATTGCCTCAATTTCAGAGCCTGTTATTGGTCTATTCAGGGATTCAACTTCTTCCTGATTTGGTCTTGGGAGGGTGTATGTGTCCAAGAATTTATCCATTTCTTCTAGATTTTCTAGTTTATTTGTGTAGAGGTGTTTATAGTATTCTCTGATGGTAGTTTGTATTTCTGTGGGATTGGTGGTGATATCCCCTTTATCATTTTTTATTGCGTCTATTTGATTCTTCCCTCTTTTCTTCTTTATTAGTCTTGCTAGTGGTCTATGAATTTTGTTGATCTTTTCAAAAAACCAGCTCCTGGATTCATTGATTTTTTAAAGGGTTTTTTATGTCTCTATCTCCTTCAGTTCTGCTCTGATCTTAGTTATTTCTTGCCTTCTGCTAGCTTTTGAATGTGTTTGCTCTTGCTTCCCTAGTTCTTTCAATTGTGATGTACACATACAATATTAACCTTAAATGTAAATGGGCTAAATGCTCCAATTAAAAGACACAGACTGGCAAATTGGATAAAGAGTCAAGACCCATCTGTGTGCTGTATTCAGGAGACCCATCTCACGAGCAGAGACACATGTAGGCTCAAAATAAAAGGATGGAGAAAGATCTACCAAGCAAAAGGAAAACAAAAAAAGGCAGGGGTTGCAATTCTAGTCTCTGATAAAACAGACTTTAAACCAACAAAGATCAAGAGACAAAGAAGGCCATTACATAATGGTAAAGGGATCAATTCAACAAGAAGAGATAACTATCCTAAATATTTAAGCACCCAATACAGGAGCACCCAGATTCATAAAGCAAGTCCTTAGAGACCTACAAAGAGACTTAGACTCCCACACAATAATAATGGGAGACTTTAACACCCCACTGTCAACATTAGACAGATCAATGAGACAGAAGGTTAACAAGGATATCCAGGACTTGAACTCAGCTCTGCACCAAGCACACCTAATAGACATCTACAGAACTCTCCACCCCAAATCAACAGAATATACATTCTTCTCAGCACCACATCACGCTTATTCCAAAATTGACCACATAGTTGGAAGTAAAGCACTCCTCAGCAAATGTAAAAGAACAGAAGTTATATCAAACTGTCTCTCAGACCACAGTGCAATCAAACTAGAACTCAGGATTAAGAAACTCACTCAAAACCACTCAACTACAAGGAAACTGAACAAGCTGCTCCTGAATGACTACTGGGTACATAACGAAATGAAGGCAGAAATAAAGATGTTCTTTGAAATGAATGAGAACAAAGACACAACATACCAGAATCTCTGGGACACATTTAAAGCAGTGTGTAGAGGGAAATTTATAGCACTAAATGCCCACAAGAGAAAGCAGGAAAGATATAAAATTGACGAGCTATTGTCTAATTTTATTCCTTACTGATATATTAAGTTACAGCCCCATCAGCAATGTATGACAGTGCTCATTTTACTCCATCTTGCCAACACAGTTGTGTTACTAAATTCTGATTATTGCAAATCTGTTAAGTAAAACTAATATCCTAAAATTAGGAGCAAGGTTCACCATATTTCATGTGTTTAAGAAGCATTTCTGTTTCTTTTTTCTGTGAACTATGACATTATTATTGACTGCGTCTCTCCCCTTTGAATTGTTAATCTTTTAAAAATCAATTTCTGGAATATCTTTGTATAATAGGGAGATTCGCCCTTAGTCTGAGATATGAGTTGCAAATATTTTTAATGGTTTATTTGTTATTTGGTCTTTGCTTATGGATTAATGATTGGTTTTCCATCTATGTAGAAGATTTTTTAAAAATATAGATAAACATATCTTTTTTATGGTTCTGTTTTTTGAGCCATATATAGAAAAGTAACCCTCACACTAGACTATAGAAACTCCTTCCATTTTATTTTCTGGCACTTCACTGTTCATTTATACCCTCCAGGTGGGCAGCAAGTCCAGGATATTAAACACGGTTTCATTGATTTTCTTTGTAAATCTGCCTAAGTAGCATAGCATTTCACTTTGAAATGTGAAACACTTGCTACCTACTATCTTGGGACCCTTGCTGGAATGTAGAAAGTCTCATTTCTTGTCTTTATTATAGTTCAAAAAACCAGTCTGATAAAGCTGGATGCTCTGTGGAGAATGGACTGGAGGGATGCAAGGCAGGATATGGGAAGAACATTATTAATTCCTCCCACAAATATTTGTTGGGCATTTCCTTTGTTCCCAGCCTCTAGATGCCAAGTGTGCCATGATAAACCAAAGAAACCCCTTGCTTTGTTCTAGTGGAGGAGTAAAAAAGTGAGCCAATAGCAATGTAAGATCAGCTTATTAGAATTGCAATGAAACATACCACAGGGAAAAAGGTAGGAAATGAAGGCTGTCATTTTCTAGAGATTAAGCAGAAAATGCTGCTCTGTCTGAGGGAGTGACATTTGAGCAAAGACCTGAGTGAGCCAGGGAAATGTGGAGAGAAAGGAGATTGGAGGGGAGGCCATTGCTCATAATGACAAAGCCATTGCCGGCTATGATAAAAACTCTGGATTTTCTTTCAAAGGTAATAAAAAGTCGTCAGAGTGTTTTCAGCAGGGGTGTGGCATCTATGACTTGTTCTCTGACTGCTTTATGAAGAAATGATTATGAAGGGGCAGAGGAGAAGCATGGAGGCCAGAAATAAGGCCATTGCTTGGTCCAGGCAAGACATAATAGACTGGATTATGGTAATGGCAGTGGCGACAGAGAATAATAAACCCATGTGAGAAGTTAGTAGGTAGAATGGATAAGACTTGCTGTTAGATTGCTCAATGAGGATGAAACACAAGAAGATGTAAAGAACACCTCCCAGATGTATTAAAACCTGCAACATTGTGAGGAGAGACTGGGCAGGACTGAATAACTGTTGGGTGCTATGTTCACTACCTGGGTGACGGGATCATTCGTACCCCAAACCTCAGCATCAAGCCATATACCCCTGTAACAACCCTGCACATGTACCCCCTGAATCTAAAATGAAAGTTGAAAATACTTTTTAAAACTCTGCAATATTGAAGTAGGAGCAGGTCTGGTGAATCAGGAACATTACCATTTCATTTTCATTAGAGGATTTGCACAAAATCAAAGTGAGTACCCTCTTTAGAATGCTGTGCAGCAATCAGATATGGTGGTTTGGCTTGGAACATTGCCATACTGCCTGTCCCTGAAATTTTATGATTATATAATTTAGATGACTAGCCCAAGGACAGATCACAAGAGAACAACTTGCTCCTTCCACAGGAAGCTGCACCTGACAGAAGCTCCAGGATGCTTGTTCTCTTTCTCCTGGGCACAGTCTTTCTGCTCTGCCCATATTGGGGTAAGTCCTGGAGACAGAGGGGAAGCTGGTGGTTGGTTAAGAGACGGACAGATGCTGGGGGAAGAGAAAGTTTTCAAAATTGGCTCTTGGGGCAGTGGCAGATGTATGTGAGACTGTAACATGGAAGGTTTTTCTTCTTTTCACAGGTGAACTTCATGACCCTATAAAAGGTACAATCATGGCTTCTCTGAAGTCCTTGGTAAACAGGCAATTTGTGACATGTTTAGGAGCAAACCTTTCCTTCATCTTCAGAGAGGCCTGTAATCCATTCTTATTATAGAATCCTAGGGGTTTCGCCTCCTGCCAGACCTGTTTTGTCCATTTCTTAGAGTAAGGAGGCTAAGATCCACTTTACTTTCTTTTACCCATTACTCGGCAAAATCATCAGGCTAGATAAGGGGTTCATTACTGGAGGTCCATGGATAAATTTCATGGGAACCCTGACCTCCTGAAATCATATACAGTGTTTGATTTATGTTTGTACAGGTTATCTTTCACAAGATTTTTTTAATTGGAGAAAATGTGTACAAATTTATTAATGTGTACATGGGGAGGACCGCAGCATGATTATCCCTATCTTTCTCAAGATTACCAAGAGTCCATGGTCCAAAAAATGTTAGGAACCACTAGGCAAGAATAAGGTCCTGTAGTGAAGCCCCCAGCCCCAGAGAATATTCTCAAGACTGCATCCTCTAAGCACCTCTTTTTGTATCTGGCAGCGACTGAAATAATGTGTTATGAATGTAAAAAATATCATCTTGGGTTATGCTATGGTGTCATGACATCCTGCTCCCTGAAGCATAAACAGTCCTGTGCAGTTGAGAACTTTTACATCCTTACAAGGAAAGGTAATGTGGAGTATAGAGTGACTGGAAAATCACCACCACCATCCCTGAGAAACAGTAGTGTTCTTTTGCCCTCAGCGTGAGTAGGTGAATGGGATGGGTGAGTATGGGGTGGTCTTGAGGGGATGGCAAAGACAGACTTTTCCCTAAGACCATATTGAGTGAAAAAGAGGCTGATGTCCCTTACCTGGCAGGGAATAAAATCTACTCTCTGGGTCAGCAATTAACAGACTCAGCTTTGGAACTCATTTGGGCCTAGAGAAAGGTTAGTGAGGACACAAAAACAGATTACTCCTAGGAACGCAGTAAAAGGAAATGAGGTCATTATGATCATATTTCCTCTCTTTTACCTCCTCAGGGCAGAGCATGTATCATTATTCAAAACTGTCGTGTATGACCAGCTGTGAGGACATCAACTTCCTGGGGTTCACGAAGAGGGTAGAGCTCATCTGTTGTGATCATAGTAACTACTGCAACCTCCCTGAGGGAGTTTAGTTCTACGTCTCTCCTGGATTTTGGGTTCTTTTTCAACCACTACGCTCTTTTTCTCTTCCCTGAACCTGAATTTTGCTCTCCTCTTCTATGCATTGGTAGAGAGTGAGAAAGCCAGCTCATAGTGAAAAGACAAGCAGGCATAAGGAGACGCAGTGTGGACAGCGGAGCCTATTGATGATGGAGCACTAGACTCACTCTTTGCACATCCCTGTCGCTAACAGGTGGGAGGGGTTTTGCTCTCCTTACGTGATACTGCCATGAATAAGCTCAGACTTGGTCATTTATTATCTCCTGTATGAAAATGTGAACACTTGGGCCATAATAATCTCCAATTTGTACTGAGAATTCTGTGACTATCCTCTATCCTCATCTACACACACACTCCTCTCCGTTGGAATTCTCTTTGGATTAGCCCTGACACTTTCTGGCACTGTCCTTTTCTGCCCGTGGGTTCTGGAGAGGGCTAACCCCAGCTTCCCAGTGTGTTGGCAGCATGGGCCAAGTCTTTCTCTGATAGAGCTCTTGGGGGAACCTCAGGGCAGAAAAAAAAAAACTGAACAGACATAGGGATGAGCATCAAAGAAAACTTCAGGGGGCATTTCAACTGGTAAAAACTAAGATCTGAGAAATAACTTGCTGTGGGTGGAATTGGCTTGAATTATCATTGCCCTGGCTGGCCAGGCAGCCTTGGGCACATGGTTGAACTAGGTGATTGGATTGGGAACAGAGTGTTTTTTTAAGGATGGCTAGTCAGGTTCTTCTCATGGGACTGAGCAAACAAAATGCTGATAATGTGGCAGGTGGTGTAGTAGTTGAAGATAATAGGATGTAAATAGATACCATGAGGTAGTGTTCAAGTAACAGAGTGCCCTGTGTAAGAGGAAGTTATGAGTTTGCAGAAAGTGTGAGAAAGGTAGCATATATGGGTAACAGTGGTGGGAAGAGAAGAAGGAAGACACAGAAACAGATAGGAAGAGAAACTGAGTAGCATTGATGTTGGAGCACACCTGTGGCCAAGGTGGCACATTTTCCTTGGATACACACTAACCCTGGTGTTTCTGTCCTTATAAGGCTGACTGCACCCTAGATGACGGGTTGATGGGTGCAGCAAACCACCATGGCACATGTATACCTATGTAACAAACCTGCATGCTGCACTTTCTTTCATGTATCCCAGAACTTAAAGTAAAATAAAAAAATAAATAAATAAATAAAGGCCAGAAAAATTGGCCAAAAAATCTGAATAGAAAAAGATATACAGATAGTAAATGAGCATATGAAAATATGCTTAACATCATATCTCACTAGGGAATTGCAAATTAAAACAACAATATTACGCAACTATACATTTTAAATGGTCAAAATCAAAAAAATAAAAAACCCTCACAGTAGCAATTTTTGTCAAAGATATAGAGCAATAGGAAATCTCATTTATTGCTGGCAGGAATGCAAAATGGTAATGCTGTTTTGGAAGACAGTTGGTAGTTTCTTAGAGAGGTGATTATACTCTTGCTATGTCATTCAGTAATCATGCCTTTAGATATTTACTCAACCAATTTGAACAGTTATGCCCACACAGAAACCTGCACACAAATGTTAAAATCATATTTATTCATAATTGCCTGAGACTAGAAGCAATAAAGATGCCCATCAATAAGTGAATGGATATGTAATCTATGGTACATCCAAACAGTGGGATGCTACTCAATGATGAAAAGAAATGATCTATCAAGCTATGAAAGGACATGGATACATTTTTAAATGAATATTGCTAAGTTAATGAAGCCAGTCTGAAAAGGCTACATACAGATGCTCCTCAACTTATGATGGGGTTATATCCTGTTATAACAATTGCAAGTTGAAAATACTGTGAACTGAAAATGCATTTAAAACACTTAACCTTCCAAACATCATAGCTTAGCCTAGCCTACCTTAAATGTGCTCAGGATGTTTACATTAGCCTATAGTTGGGCAAAAGCATCTAACACAAAGCCAATTTTATAATTGGCTTTGAGTATCTCATGTAATTGAGTATTTCATGTAATTTATTGACTACTCTACTGAAAGTAAAAAACAGAATGCTTGTATGGGTACTAAAGTATGGCTTCTACTGAATGCTTATTGCTTTCACACATCTTAAAGTTTAAAAAACTTGTAAGTCAAATCATTGTAAGTCTGGGAACATGTGTACTCTGATTCCAATTTTGTAAAAGACCAAAGTATAGGGTTGGTGAAAATATCAATGACTGCCAGTGGATTAAGAGGAAAAAAGGGATTGAATAGGTAAAGTATAAAAGATTTTTTAGGGTGATGAATCTATTCTGTATGATACTATACCAGTAAATACATGACACTATGCACTTGTCAAACCCCATAGAACTTTACTGCACAAAGAATGAAACAATGTATGAGAATTAAAAGAAAAATCATTTAGGAAGTCAGAGGATTCCAGGAAGGAATGCACAATGTGACAAAAATGATGTAACTGTTACAAATGTGTGAAACAATCTCTCTGAGTTGAGTTGGGGGAAAAGTTTCTGATCTGAGTAACTTTGTAAATGAGTGGAGCCTGTAAGCTTAAAGGCAAAAGAAAATGTACACAAGCTCTGCACTCTACTTGATAAAATTGTTTTCCCCAAGGTTATAGGTTAATAATTCTGATACTGCTCTACAGGTACACTGTAATTGAACTCCTAAGCAAATGAATGGGGGCTGGGGGAATCCAGGTTTCTCACTGTTGGAGTTAGAAGTTACAGATAAGCAAGAGAAAGGTGCTAGAATGATCAATGAGGTAATGAATTAGACATCAGTATGAATTCATATTTAGTTAAATATAAATACAGATTATTTATAAATATGTATATAAAAGAAATATTTATAAATATGTATATTTATGAGTTATTATACATACATATATTTCCTTGCTCTGTCAAATAACAATAACAATAGTAATGAGTACCCCTAGCACCCAGACTGTGGTTTCTAATACCATTCTCAAAAAAAAAAAAGAAATCAGAAGTCCTTGGAGAAATGGCTGATTGTAGGACTGGGGCAGGAAATTAAATGAAGAGAAGATGAGCCTGTAAATCTGAGGGAGTATATCAGAGGGAAATAGGAACAAACAGAGAGATCTCCCCATGGCCCAAACTGGATCAATTTGAATGACAAAATAAATGAGCCCAAAGGTTAAAATAAATTACCATGAATACAAGATGAATGCATAAATAAATAATTGAAAAAAATGGGAGAAATGATCTGATTGTCCCAGCTCATTATTTGTTGTTACTTTCGTAGATCCATTGCTAGTCTACACATTTGTCTGCACTTGCCTCAGGTGCCTGCTGTAGTGCGAAAGGCCATGTGGTTGTGTTGTGGAGGACATGGCTACACAGGGGCTGTGGCCCTCACAGATCACTTTAGAAGGAGGCTTGGAAGACACAAGCAAGCATGGTCGAGCCTAGCTGTCTCCTTTCCTTCTGTGTGTAGCCATCCTCTGCTTTATCTAGCAACCATTGTTATAACTTTAACACATTATGAATTTGTTCTTACTTCTTACAAAGTTACATAAAAATGTACTCTCTCACTGTCCTCCACGTTATTAAATCCCTATTGAATTATGACTAAGCAGTCAGCTACTGACAGCCCAGCCCTTGAGAAACTCTGCTTCTTTCCCGCTAACAACTCATGGCCGCACTCTTCTGAGCATTGCTCTCAGACAGGAGGAGCTTCTCACTTGAAATGACTGGAAGGTTTGCCCTCTCCCCAAGGGTGACCCACAGCCAATGGTTGACTGATATGTGTGAATAAAAGGGAGGTTAACTTGCACAAGTTGGGGCTGGGTATAGTGTCATTTATGTTCCAGAGTTATCTTTTGGACAAAGCCTGACTTCACCTGAATCACATCTTCTTCAAGCATCACCCCATTGTACCGTTTGCCTCATTCCCTTATAGTTTTCTCCTGAGAGCACTTCCTCACTGCATTATTTGCATCAGAATCCTCTTCTCAAGTTCTGCTTCTGTGGAACCTGGCCAAAGACAGTTGGTAACAGGAGTGGTCACAAAAAGCAGGCCATAATAAGGAATATTGCATTGGATTGTTCAACTGGCTAAATGTCAATGAGTACCCTATGGTGGTATTTGGAGTACTGACCGTTGCTGATATGTGGTAGCAGTGTGATTGTTAAAACTTTCAATTGTGGTGAACTTGGACTTAGAAGAGGTGGAAGATGAATTTGCTTGTGGGTATCTCTGACTCTGAGAAATGCAGAGATGATAGTGATGATAAGGATTGTGGCATTGGATGGCTGTTGCTAAGCATGATTGGAGCACCAAAGACAGAAAATAGCAGGCTCGTATTTATTAATCCAAAAATTTAGAGCAAAGTGTGAGTCAGAGGCCTTTCTTGGCAGCATTTAGAAATACCTTCATTTCTTGCAGCTGATAATGAGGCAAGGCATTCAACTGTAAGGGTTGGAGAACTTTAGAGAGAATGAAATTCTTAGCCCAGACAAGTCTCCTGAGCCAAAGTCAGGGCCCTCATAAGGAAGGAGTGTGACTCTGAGACTTGGGATAATGGGGATATCTGGATTGGTATACTTAACTCCTTAAGCCCTGAAATTTTTCTTTTGTCCCAATGACCATGCAGGAAGATAGCAGTCTTCTTGCTAGAACAGCATGGAAAGACCACAAAAATGTCTTACAGGATAATGCCTGACTTTCCCAGGATCTGCCCGTACTTTCTCTGCTGGCAACCAGAGCAATGAATTGGGTCAAAGCTCATCATAGAAAAACTGGGGAAGTGCTGCTCTTTTTAAGGGAGGAGAGGGATTTGACACTGAAGGAGCTGAAGAGCCTACCTGACATATTCTGGCTACAACTGGGAGAACATACCTGGAAGTAAATTCTGAGGGTGCTGGATTGATAAGGATGGAATATGAAACCAAATAAGGGAGAATTTTTTTATGTGGCACTTTCCCATGATAAGTGCACTGGAGACTGATTGTTCCTGATCCACCGATGGATGGCTCTTGACAAGTTGCAAAAAGTGTCAGCCCACATTAAATAAAGTAGAAATGCAAAAACTGCCTTGTCAGATTGCGGAAGAGGGGAACGAAAGGCTCAGAGAATTCAGCATGTTAGAGTAGATCACTTATGTAAGTTTGGAAGAAATACTTGCTGGCCTGTATCAGGGAAGTAAAAATCTGCAGGTGAAGGATTTGTCAGCATAATTGAGAAGATCACTAGTGACTTTCCTCTGTAGGCTGGAGCTGATGGAAAGAGGCGCTGCCACAGAATTGGGCTCCCTAAGAACGGGGAAGATAGGATCACGAGCTAGGAAGAGCCAGGTGTCAGCACTTAATCATCAGATTCGAGGTAGGCAAAATTCCTGTAATGGGTAGCAAGACTGGATGGTAGCCATAGAATCCTGGCCCCTAGAACTCTACAGAGATAACGAATAAAACCTGGTTTTCTTAGGAACAAGTTGTGTGCTCCTCCAAGAGTAGTGCTTAATACATATGATCAAAAGAAATAAAAAATGAATGAGCAGAATATGGGCTTCAACTGACGAATGACAAGTCATAATCCCTTGCCTAGTTTTCATACCCGAGCCAGTTCTCAGACCCAGGAACATTAAGCCAATGGCCATTATATGGTGTAGTGCCCCCGACAGACAGAAACGTGAGTTTGGAAACCAACAAGCTTGGAGATCCATTTGGGAGACCACTTGGGGGATTTGTGTTTGCTGCCCTGTAGCTTGACATCGTGTGCCTCTAGATGTCCTGATGTCCAGAGGAGAAACCCTTTCATCAGGTGACTCAGTAGGTGTCTCTCAAAACTTAAAGCTACGGCTGCCTCCTGGACAATTTGAGCTCCCTGTGCCAGTAGACTAACAGACACAGAAAGCAGTTACTATGCTGGAAGAAGTAATTGGTCCTGAACATCACAAGAAGGTAGACTACTACTATATATGAAGGCAGTAAGGAATACGTTTGGTGTTCAGGCAAACATATTCATAAACATGCCCCACTGGGGCATCTCTTGTTATTCTCCTGCCCAGTGTGAAATGTGAATAGGAAAATACAACGCCGTAGTCTCATAAGTTCATACAGACCAGGAGCACAGACCCCTCAAGGATAAGGGTCTGGGTTATCCCACCTGTCAAGCCACCTAGACCAGCAGAAGTGAGACTGGTGTGGGAGAGGAAGGACGTAATAAATATACCTTATGTCCCCTTGACCAACTGCAGCAGTGGAGAGTAGTTCTTCCTATTAACCCTCCTCTAAAAACATTTGCAAGAAATTCTGGCTAATTTGGGGAAACTGCCTTGATAGAGTAGTTTTTACTGTGAGAAACAAGTTGATCTCAGTGAATAAGGTATAGACTCTAATAGATGCAACTGGAGCCCTGTCCAGGTCCTCTTTACTTGGCAGTGCTATAAATATTAGCTACTAATAGCTACCAGTGACACCCTTCTCTTGAGAATTGCTCTTGGATCAGGGGATCCACCTCACCTAGAAATGCCTCTTGTTGTGGGTGACACACAAAAAAATGACTGATACAGGGACACATGAGGTTGCCCCTTTGCCTAGAGATGGGATGAGCCTGTGCTGTCAATTATCCCCTGGCATGCTCTTAAGCCTGATGCTTAAGCTGAAACCACGCTTGTGCCTTGTTTCTCCCCTTGCTCTCTTCTGCTTTCTTTACTCCTTTACAGGTTATTCCTGAAAGTACTTTTTCAATGAATCACTTGCACTAGAATTCGTATCTCAGATTCTGCTTCTAGGTAACCAAACCTAAGATACTCATCACTTTTTCAGTTAAACAGTCTAGCCCACGGGTCAAAGCTCCCTCATTATCCATTGGTCCTGTAACTCCTGAAAACACCTGTTTCAGTACTTTGCGGCATCAACCTTGGGCAGCACACCTTCTTCTATATCACCTGGCTGTCTCAAGGTTTTAGCCAAAGTCTCAAGAAACATGTTAGTATTATTTGGGTTCAAATAGGAAACAGATGGCACATTAAATTAGCATTTCAACAAGTTTTTTTTATGAAGGGTCTAATCACACAGGGTTATGCAGGGAATAAGGGAACCACAAGGAGAGTTGAGGGATTGGAGCAAGAGGAGGTTGGATTTTCACCACCCTTAACCTAAAGAGATGAGGTGGAAAGGATGTTGCTGGGACTGGGAAGAAAGTGTGTTGAGCAGCAACTTTTTGTTGGGAGTACAGCCAGCCCGAAGCCATGTCCTACAGTGGGAACCAGGAGACCAAAGCCTGTGACCTCACACTATTTCCTTCAGCTGATCTGCATTAGCTTCCCACTGGTCACTCAAACAGAGTCCAGAGGCTTTGGGGGCCCAGTGATATAATCCATATTTGATATGGGGCAGAGAGCAGGCTGGAGAAGGGTAGGGAATGGGTGCGAAAGGGGTAAATGCAGGAAAGCCAGCACACCCAGCACACCCCACCCATTTTGCCTCTGAGCATCCATTCTTCTTCATCTGGGTGAGAGAATGCACAAATTCTCATTACAATCCTATGCTTGAGAGGTGATAGCAATTCATCATTCTGTCACCAAAAAGACCACGAAGCAGCCACCATCAGGGCTCTTGCTATAAAGCCGTGGAGTTCAAGGAAGGCAAATGAAATGACTAAACAATATAAAAATATTTGCTGCAGCCTTCACTTCCTTAACTGGCTGTGATGTCTGAGCTGACAGTCAAAGTGGCCCTCTTGCACTTCCCATCCCATGCTCTTACTTCTGTAGCATCTTAGCTGGGCGGGGTTCTCAACCTGGGGGCATACCGTGCAGGATTGGAATGCTTGTTAGTTTGTCTTACTGCATCGTTACAGTTTACTTCTTTCTTTTTGAGACAAGAGTCTCGCTCTCGCCCAGGCGGGAGTGCAGTGGCGCGATCTCGGCTCACTGCAAGCTCTGCCTCCTGGGTTCACGCCATTCTCCTGCCTCAGCCTCCCGAGTAGCTGGGACTACACGCGCCCGCCACCCCGCCCGGCTAATTTTCTTTTGTATTTTTTAGTAGAGACGGGGTTTCACCGTGTTAGCCAGGATGGTCTCGATCTCCTGACTTTGTGATCCACCGGCCTCGGCCTCCCAAAGTGCTGGGATTACAGGTGTGAGCCACCGCGCCCGGCCATCGTTACAGTTTTCTAATGAACAGGACTATTAGGTAAAGGAGCCAGTGGATTCTCTGATTTTCAAATATTGTCTTTCTTGCCCCCATTGTGTAATAGAAATTTCAATTCTTGTAATCAGAATAAATTCCTCAGTCAGTACAGTGACTTTTCTCTCCACCTATCAGACACAACCAGTTGAGAAATTCTGACATTCTGCTATCCTTACTCTCTCATCTCCCCTCTTCCCATTCTTTCTTTCTAACATAGAGCCACTGAGGCTTCATAGACTAATGGGCTGAAAGTATCCCGTCTAAATCATGAGACTGTTTTTTGATATGTGTGCCTCAGGCTCAGTTGTTGATATAATAGATGAAAGATAAAAGGAGTTTGGAAAACCCCTTCTCAAAATAATTCCCCAACTTAAGAGGCTGCAATCATGTTGCGTCATCAGATTTTAAATGTCAAACCCTGTTTATTACTATATTATTTTAGTTTTTTTTCTGTACCAAATCTTGTTTCACTCCTGAACAGAGAGATACCTAGGTTATACCAGCATCAGGATGGCTACTGTAGGACACAAAAGAGAAAAATCACATCAAAAATAGAATAAACCTTTCCCTGTTACAACTTCTCCAAGTCTCAGAAGCCTCTGAGGTCCTGCCCGCAGGCCCTCGGCTGCTCGGCCGGATCTACTTCAGCGCCTCCTGACAAGGCTGAGCTTGGGTTCAGAATGCCAACTTGAGAGGCTTCTTATCTTTCCTGCAAACTGAGAACTTTGATTTTTTTATCTTGCTCAAATCCTAGCCAAGGGGCTTGGGGAATGTGCCCTACGAACCGTGAAGTCTCACAGGAGGGATTTTATTTAACCCTACATATTGTGGCCTGCTTTCCAAACTGACTCTGGCACGTCACATAACAAATAAGGAAGGGAATCAAAATATTTTAACCCCGAATATATTTTCTTGCCATTATCTTGAAATTACCCTGCAACAAGGTTGTCTCTTGTGGGAATAATCCATTTTCTGTAGAGAATCCCCTTTCCCCCACTTTTTCGTTCTTTGCAGACCCAGGAAACAATCATCTAAGAGCCAGGCACCCTTTTAAGCCCAACAAGAAACATTTTACAACCTACTCCCTCTGAAGTCTCATGAGCGCTTCCTCAGCACAGTAAAACTTGGTCTTCACAACCCTCTATCTTAACCTAAACATTTCCTTTCTATTGATCTCAGGTCTTTAGATAAACTTAACCAATTGTCAACCATAAAATTTTTAAATCTACCTATAAGCTGGAAGCCCCCACTTTAAGCTGTCCTGCCTTTTGGGAACAAACTACTATATTTCTTAAATGTATTTGATGGAAGTCTCATGTCTCCCTAAAATGTATAAAACCAAGCTGCACCCCGACCACCTTGGATACATGTTCTCAGGACCTCCTGAGGACAGGGTCATGGGCCATGGTCACTCATAATTGGCTCAGAATAAATCTCTTCAAATATTTTACAGAGTTTGAGTCTTTTTGTTACAAAACCAACATAGTGTTTCTTCTCTCTTCTTCTTGTTGCATTAACTATGTTAACAGTGAGAATTTGCCGGGAACTGTTCTTGCATCTCATGAAATGTAAGCTTCTACAATAACGTCTCACTGTTAAAAACCTTGGACGTCTTCTCCAGTGGGTCCTGAATTCCCAAACTGGGCTCCCATGTTTCCTGGGTCCAAGTTATTGCCTCTGCAATAACTTATTTAACCTCTACGTATAAGCAAAGATTTTTTTTTTCTACTGAGGTGGTCAGAAAGTTAATATGTTTTCTCCAATACTATCTGTGAAATCAGGTTTCTATTCGCAGGCTGATAAGTGTTGACCATCTACTCCAAGGCATTAGCTGCTTTGAACCCACAGGAAGGATCTAGGGCCAGGCCTACGGGCTCTTTCTTACGCTTGGCTGCTCCTCTGCCTCAAGGGAGGACAAGCCTGTATGTTTCAGGGGTTTGGTCCAGCAGCAGTTCAAAATACTCCTCTTCAAGTTCAGTTTCTACACTTCCTGAAAATTCCCCCTTTGAAGTGCTCTTCTTGCAAGCACATTTGAGGGAAAAGATTAGTCTTATTTTGCTCATAATTCACTTCAATGCTATAACTGCACATCTCATTTCTATCACGAGCCCTCGTTCATTTACAACAGGTCACTCCCTGGGACTCAACGACTGTCCTTCTTGATATAATAAAATTTATTATGATTATAGTTTTAATATTAAATAGATAATGAGCATTTTCTTGTGCCAAGTGCTGACCTGAGCCACTTATGCACATTATCCCATTTTATTTTTTCTACAAGCTTATGAAGCATAGGGAGGTCAAGTTACTTTCGTAAAGTCTAATAAGTGGTACAGTAGAAACTGTAGGAGCTTTATCCCAAATATGATGCTGCTGCCATGACATGGGTCTCAGTAAAGAATTTAACTAGGTGGGCCCAGCTTCTCTATTTCCAACAATACTATCATTCAGGGATGTATAAATGTATCAGACTTACTGAGCAGCTGGCATAGGCAGAACTAAAATGCAAACTACGCATTCAATATGACTCCACAGTCCAATGGAAAGAGAAGGAAAGTGAAATCTATCTCAGGTGGTCCTCTTGTGGATATAACCCAGGTCCTAGCTTTGTTCCTCTATCCCCAAGTCTCTGAATCTTTCTTCAAAACGCCATTGTTTTCACTTGTCTCTTTTGTTGTAAGTAGTATTCTCAGTACCTCAAGCCACTTCTCAATACCTAGCAGGTGGCAGGCATCCAATATATACTTGTTGAAGGAATGAACTCAGGAATAAGGTAAGGCCTGTCTACTTCCCAGAAGTCTGAGAGTGGTACTCAGTAACTCATGGAATTTTACTTCCAAAGCAAGGAATTGATCAACATTGCTGCAGACATGGGGGGCATGTTATTCAGGAGGACAGGCTAGCATGGGCTTTAGCTCTCCAAATTGTGCAAGGAGCAAGGATTGGTTTCAGCTCTTGGACTCCTGTTCCTCATAAGAGCTTCCCAGCAATACAAGGTGAGACAATGCCTCTTCCATCATGGGGTATCCAGTTGGAAACTGGCTTATCCCAAATGCAAACATCAATTTACAGAGATAAATATTTTGCTGAGTAAATTAGAACCTAATATAAGTCCATCAACCATGAGGATGAAATTAATGTTACTTGGTCCTAATTATTCATCCTCCTGCTTCAAGCCTGCCCAGAGGTTCAGGGGCATAAGAATGAGGCCATGGGTCCTACACTTTTAAGCAACAAAACCTCCGTAATTTGATACTCAATGATTGACTTCACAAAGTCTGAGCTGAAGTTTTGAATCTACTACCTTTTTTCTTTCTTTCTTTTTTTGTGTTGGGAAGACTACTATTTTAGACAGATTTCTATGTCATTCTCTCTGTTTGAATAGGGATAGCAAGAGGACTCCATTTTATTATATCCCCCAAATAAATGAGGAATCAGAGACGTGGTTGTGTATGTGTTGCTACATATGCAGGGAAATGGGGTGGCAGGGTGGTTGTTCTTCCAGATACATACAATTTTGTGAAACACAGCGCAATGTTTTCTAGGTCATTTCCTTATCTGATGCATTGAAAACCTCCCCCAAAGTTCCTGCTTTAAATTCAGACAAGTGAATGTCTAAATGATAAGAAACTTCTAATCTTAAATGGCCTCCCCATAGAGATAAAGGAACTATTCTTAGCCAGTTTTCTACCTCTTTTACCCCACAACCAGGATTCAGTGAGGAAGTGGCTTCATTGAAAAAGACAGCGAGGGCACTGCTAGTAAAAGAGGGCAGGAAAAGGGAGGCAGAGGCAGTAATGGCAGCAGCATGTGAGACCCTTGGAGGGCAAGCAGTAGAAATCTTGATAGCAGTTAATCAAAGAATTTCCTGATGATCAGTAATCATTAAGAAAATCAGTAAGGTAGATAATCAGTAAGGCAGTATCAGGCACTGCTTTCCCTTCCCTTCCTCTGAGCATGACGTTCTCTATCATTCTCTTGCCTGGTTCCTAGTTCCTTCCACTCATTGTGGTGTAAATAAAGGAGTTCTTGACCTTCTCATCTAATAGAGTGTAATCTGTGAGTTTACACCATCTGAGGCCTCAGGAAACGATTGATAAATTTCCTGTCACAATGTGTTACAGCTTGGGAAATTTTGTCTGACTTGGACTTGGGTGCAGAATAGGTTATATCCCAAGAACACCGACCAGTCCCTCTAGGCTTTCTCCTTCCTTTTTTCCACAACCTCCTCACTCCTCAACAACCTACAGAAGACTACCTATTCCTACAAGTTTGGAACACCTACAAGGGCACTTCAGAGTCGTCAGCAAATCTCCAGGAGTTGGGAACTCTAGAAACGGGAAAGAGACACTAGGAGAGCCTCTCTAGACATTTCACCTGAGCTTCTGGGAATCTCTATGCATTCTCTAGATATTTCCTCAGTCGGTGGCAACCCAGAATTGTACATCAGAGTCTAGTCTCACTGAATCTCAACAGTAAATCTCAGTGAATGTCCTAATTTCTCACCCACCAAGAAAAACCAGATAGTCTGCTCTGAACCTGAGCCTCTGACTCCAAAGGCCATCTAGAAGAAACTGTTCTTGATCTCCTGCCCACTCCAACATGCAAGCCAAATCTAAGCCTTAGTGGTATTTGACCTTTATCAGGCCACTCCTGCAGCCACCCCACTGCCAGGCTCTTTCCCTTCCCATACCAGAGCATCAGCTGTAGACCCTAGCTCACTGCCCTCCCTGGGCATGTGACCTCTGAGAGTGGCTCTCGAAGCCTGAAATTTCTGACATCTACCCTGGCTAGGGGATCTGAGCTACTGTTGAAAACAAGAAAAAAGAATGTATTCAGTGATCTGTCCTCAGCCATAGCATACAACATTTTTAATTTTGGCAGACAGGGTGAGTGCCTGCCTGGATCACTCTTGGTCTGGGAATATAGAGACAATGGATCCCACAATATCATGTTCGGTAGTACCCCTTCCTATTCTTTCTGAAGCACTTTTATAATAAATTTACATCAACCAAAGGTCAATATTATCACTCTCATGTGCTTTACACAAAGGTTTTCTCAGGCAGGGGAGAACAGGCAGAGGTCACAGCTAGGGAGCTACACCATCCAGTCCCTCCTGTCCAGCCTGACTTGTCAGTGTCCCAGCAGCCTGCAGTGGGAAGGGCAAGTGAGAGATCTGCTGAAGCTGCAGCCATGGAAACTGCTCGAGAACTGCTGTTTGGGGGTGGCTTGCAGGAATCCCCCATCCCTATGCTCGTCACTCCCAAGGGTGGTGTGCTACCATCACACTGAGGGTGTGGAAGGCAGGAGGCTGGCAAGCTGGAATAAGGCTGGAGGGAGGGACTCAGAAGAAAGCCATCTCACCCTCAAAGACTGACATCCTGGTGACTCGGGGGAGGCAAAGCCATAGGAGCAGGGCTATGGGGCTCCTTTCACAGAGTTCAGTAAGTTATGCCCTATGGTGGGCATGTGGCAGGAACTGAACTAATGAAAGGAAATGACTCAGAATTCATATCTGACCCCCAATTCATACTCCATGGTTCACTTACCTGCCAACATGGTGTCTGGCCTGATAACTGAAAGCGTATGAATCAGGGTCTTCCTCCACCTTGATTTAGGTTGCTGATATAATTGAGTCCTCTTTCTTCTGTAAATTAAAGGCATCTGACTATATTGCTTCTATGCCTAACTCCTCTATTTTATGCATAATAGTGCCTTCCATGGTACCTTCAAGGCTGTCTGAGGCCAGAACGTTTGGAGGGCAGTTAGGAGGAGGGTAAGTGGGGCTTCGTCAGCAGGCTGATGTGAGTTGGCCATACAGTAGGATATGAAGAGTCAGGAGTTTTGGGGAGTTTGGGGATTTAGGCAAGCAGTCAGAGCAAAGTCCTGGAGTTGCTCTGAGATGCTAGAAGAAGATCAGGTCTGAGACAAGGACATGGATCTGTCAATCCAGAAGCTCAATAAACTCCATATAGGATTAACCCAAAGAAATCCATACTAAGACACATTATAATCAAACTGTTGAAAGCCAAAGACAAAGAGAGACTCTTGAAAGCAGCAAGAGAAATGTAACTTGGCACACACACACAAATACTCTGTAACATTATCTGTGGATTTCTCATCAGAAACTTTGCAGGCAAGAAGACAGTGGGGTAGTATATTTAAAGAGTGGAAAGAAAAAACTGTCCACTGAGAATTCTGTATCTGATAAAACTGTTATTCAAAAGTGAGGGAAAAAGTAAGAAATTTTCAGATAAATAAAAGCTGAGTGAGTTTATTACCACTAGACCTGCCAGATAATAAATTCTAAAAGAAGTTCTTTAAGTCGAAATAAAAGTATGCTAGAGAGTTACTTGTAGCCTTATGGAAATATGCTGATGTCTAGTAAAGATAAATACATAGACAAATATCAAAACTGATGTTATTATAATTTTGGATTGTAACTCCACTTTTTATTTTATACAGATTACAGGAAAATGCATAAAATAATTATAAATCTGTGTTCATTGGTACACAATACATAAAGATATAATTTATGACGTCAATAACATAAAGTGGCAGAACTATAAAGGAGTAGAGGTATTGTATGTTATTGAAGTTAAATTCATACCAGTTTAAAAGCCTTTGGAATGGGCCAACCAAAGACTACAGAATTGTAGCACTGTCAGTATGCAACACCAGCCTGAGAGAGCTGCAGGCATGAGAGTCCAATCTATGAAAGCTTCTGGGTATATTGAGCCCAGCAAAGCCATACTGGAGGGGATGTTTGAGGTCTTGATAACCCAAACCCAGTGTGCCGAGAATGGTGTCAAAGGAGATTATTCTCCAACTTTAAGACTTAATAATTTCCCTGTTGGGTTTTGGACTTATTGGGGACCAGTTACCCCTTTCTGTCTTTGTATTTCTCCCCTTTGGAATGAGAATGTCTATCCTATGCCTGTCCCAGTATTGTATTTTAGAAGCACATAATTTGTTAATCTCACAAGCTCACAGGTGAGTATTTGCCTCTGGTTGGATCATGCCTTGAGTATCATCCTTATCTGATTTAGATGAGATTCTGGGCTTTAGCTTTTTGAGTTGGTGCTGGGACAAGTTAAGACTTTTGAGGCTATTAGGATGGAATGAATGTAATTTGTATGTGAGAAGAACATAAGTTTTTTGGAGGCCAGGTGCTGAATGCTATGGTTTGAATGTTTCCTCCAAACCCATGTTTGAAATTCACTTGCCAATGTAACAGTATTGGAAGGTGAGGCCTCTAAAAGGGGATTAGATCATGAAGGCTTTACCCTCACAACTAGATTAATACCATTATCATAAAAGCTGATTAGTCATTCCAGGAATAGGCCCCTGATAAAAAGAATTAGTGTGCCTTGATTTCCTCTCTGTCTCACACACCCACTTTCTCACCATGTTATGCCTTTTATCATAATGTGACACAGCAAGAATGCCCTCACCAGATGTGGCCCCTTGATCTTAGAATTCCTAGACTTCAGAACCATGAGAAATAAGTTTTTTTTAAAAGATATATTACTCAGGCTGTAGCTTTCTGTTATAGCAGCAAAAAACAAACAGAAAACAAATTAAATGGCAAAAGTAAATCCTTCCTATCTGTATTTTCTTTACATGTAAAAAGATTAAACTCTACAATTGAAAGACATAGATTAGCAGAATGGATTTAAAAAACAAGACCCAACCACACACTGTATATAAGACACTCGCGTTAGATCTAAGAACATGCACAGGTTGAAAGGGAAAGAATGGAAAAATATTCAATGCAAATAGTAATCAAAATAAGACAGAAGTGGCTATACTAATATCAGACAATATAGACTCTAAGGCAACATTTTTTTAATTTTGATTTTTTATTTCAATAGATTTATGGAGAACAGATTGTGTTTGGTTACATGGATGAGTTCTTTAGTGGTGATTTCTGAGGTTTTGGCGCTCCCATCACACAAGCAGTGTACACTGTACCCAGTGTGCAGTCTTTTATCCCTCTTTCCCTTCCAACTCTTACCCTCCCACCCTTACCATCCCACTCTGATGATAGTTTCTTTTGCTGTGCAGAAGCTCTTTAGTTTAATTAGATCCGATTTGTCAATTTTGGCTTTTGTTGCAATTGCTTTTGGTGTTTTAGTCATGAAGTCTTTGCCTATGCCTATGTCCTCAATGGTATTGCCTAGGTTTTATTCTAGAGTTTTTATGGTTTTAGGTCTTATGTTTAAGTCTTTTATCCATCTTGAGTTAATTTTTGTATAAAGGGGTGTAAGGAAGGGGTCCAGTTTCTGTTTTCTGCATATGGCTAGCCAGTTTTCCCAGCTCCATTTATTAAATAGGGAATCATTTCTCCATTGCTTGTTTTTGTCAGGTTTGTCAAAGATCGGATGGTTGTAGATGTGTGGTGTTATTTCTGAGGTCTCTGTTCTGTTCCATTAGTTTATATATCTGTTTTGGTACCAGTACCATGCTGTTTTGGTTACTGTAGGCTTGTAGTATAGTTTGAAGTCAGGTAGCATGATGCCTCCAGCTTTGTTCTTTTTGCTTAGGATTGTCTTGGCTATACGGGCTCTTTTTTAGTTCCATATGAAATTTCACACAGTTTTTTCTAATTCTGTGAAGAAAGTCAATGGTGGCTTGATGAGAATAGCATTGAATTTATAAATTACTTTGGACGGTATGGCCATTTTTGCGATATTGATTCTTCCTATCCATGAGCATGGAATGTTTTTCCATTTGTTTGTGTCCTCTCTTATTTCCTTGAGCAGTGGTTTGTAGTTCTCCTTGAAGAGGTCCTTCACATCCCTTTAAGTTGTGTTCTTAGGTATTTTATTCACATTGTAGCAATTGTGAATGGGAGTTCACTCATGATTTGGCTCTCTGTTTGTCTGTTATTGGTGTATAGGAATGCTTGTGATTTTTGCACATTGATTTTGTATCCTGAGACATTGCTGAAGTTGCTTATCAGCTTAAGGAGTTTTGGGGCTGAGATAATCGGGTTTTCTAAATATGCAATCATGTCATCTGCAAACAGAGACAGTTTGACTTCCTCTCTTCCTATTTGAATACACTTTATATCTTTCTCCTGCCTGATCGTCCTGGCCAGAATATCCAATACTATGTTGAATAGGAGTGGTGAGAGAGGGCATCCTTGTCTTTGCCAGTTTTCAAAGGAAATGCTTCCAGCTTTTGCCCATTCAGTATGACATTGGTTATGGGCTTGTCATAAATAGCTCTTATTATTTTGAGATATATTCCATTGATACCTAGTTTATTGAGTGTTTTAGCATAAAGGGGTGTTGAATTTTATCAAAGGCCTTTTCTACATCTATTGAGATAATCATGTGGTTTTTGTCATTGGTTCTGTTCATGCGATGGATTACATTTATTGATTTGCATATGTTGAACCAGTCTTGCATCCCAGACATGAAGCTGACTTGATCGTGGTGGATAAGCTTTTTGATGTGCTGCTGGATTCAGTTTGCCAGTATTTTATTGTGGATTTTCACATTGATGTTCATCAGGGATATTGGCCTGAACTTTTTGTTGTTGTTGTTGTTATGTCACTGCCAGGTTTTGGCATCAGGATGATGCTGGCCTCATAAAATGAGTTAGGGTGGAGTCCTTCCTTTTCAATTGTTTGGAATAGTTTCAGGAGGAATGGTACCAGCTCCTCTTTGTACCTCTGGTAGAATTCATCTGTGAATCCATCTGGTCCTGGGCTTTTTTTGGTTGGTAGGCTATTAATTACTGCCTCAATTTCAGAACTTGTTATTGGTCTATTCAGGGATTCGACTTCTTCCTGGTTTAGTGTTGGGAGGGTGTATGTGTCCAGGAATTTATCTATTTTTTCTAGATTTTCTAGTTTATTTGCATAGAGGTGTTTATAGTATTCTCTGATGGTAGTTTGTGTTTCTGTGGGATCAGTGGTGATATCCCCTTTATCATTTTTTATTGTGTCTATTTGATTCTTCTCCCTTTTCTTCTCTATTAGTCTAGCTAGTGGTCTACCTATTTTGTTAATCTTTTCAAAAAAACCAGCTCCTGGATTCATTGGTTTTTTGAAGGGTTTTTCGTGTCTCTATCTCCTTCAGTTCTGCTCCGATTGTAGTTATTTCTTGTCTTCTGCTAGCCTTTGAATTTCTTTGCTCTTGCTTCTCTAGTTCTTTTAATTGTGATGTTATGGTGCCAATTTTAGATCTTTTCAGCTTTCTGATATGGGCATTTAGTGCTATAAGTTTCCCTCTAAACACTGCTTTAGCTGTGTCCCAGAGATTCTGGTATATTGTGTCTTTGTTCTCATTGGTTTCAAAGAACTTATTTATTTCTGCCTTGACTTTGTTATTTATGCAGTAATCATTCAGGAGCAGGTTGTTCAATTTTCATGTAGTTGTGTGGTTTTGAGTGAGTTTCTTAGTCCTGAATGTAGTTGTGTGGTTTTGAGTGAGTTTCTTAGTCCTGAATTCTAATTTGATTGCACTGTTTTCTGAGAGGCTGTTCGTTATGATTTCCATCCTTGTGCATTTGCTGAGGAGTGTTTTACTTCCAATTATGTGGTCAATTTTAGAATAAGTGCTACATGGTGCTGAGAAGAATGTATATTCTGTTGATTTGGGGTGGAGAGTTCTGCAGATGTCTATGAAGTTCACTTGGTCCAGAGCTGAGTTCAAGTCCTGAATATCTTTGTTAATTTTCTGTCTCGTTGATCTGTCTAATATTGACAGTGGGGTGTTAAAGTCTCCCACTATTATGGTGTGGGAGTCTAAGTCTCTTTGTAGGTCTCTAAGAACTCGCTTTATGAATCTGGGTGTTCCTGTATTGGGTGTATATATATTTAGAATAGTTAGCTCTTCTTGTTGCATTGGTCCCTTTACCCTTATATAATGCCCTTCCTTGTCTTTTTTAATCTTTGTTGGTTTAAAGACTGTTTTATCAGACTAGGATTGCAACCCCTGCTTTATTTTGTTTTCCATTTGCTTGGTAAATATTCCTCCATCCCTTTATTTTGAGCCTATGTATGTCTTTGCACGTGAGATGAGTCTCCTGAATATAGCACACTGATGGGTCTTGACTCTTTATCCAATTTGCCAGTCTGTGTCTTTTAATTGGGGCATTTAGCCCACTTACATTTAATGTTAATATTGTTATGTGTGATTTTGATCCTGTCCTCATGATGCTAGCTGGTTATTTTGCACAATAGTTAATGCAGTTTCTTCATAGTGTCATTAGTCTTTATATTTTGGTATGTTTTTGCAGTGGCTGGTGTCGGTTTTTCCTTTGCATATTTAGTGCTTCCTTCAGGAGCTCTTGTAAGGCAGGCCTGATGTTGACAAAATCCCTCATCATTTGCTTGTCTGTAAAGGATTTTATTTCTCCTTCGCTTATGTAGCTTAGTTTGGCTGGATATGAAATTCTGGGTTGAAAATTCTTTTCTTTAAGAGTATTGAATATTGGTCCCCACTCTCTTCTGGCTTGTAAGGTTTCTGCAGAGAGATCCACTGTTAGTCTGATGGGCTTCCCTCTGTAGTTAACCTGACCTTTCTCTCTGGCTGCCCTTAACATTTTTTCCTTTATTTCAACCTTGGTGAGTCTGACAATTATGTGTTTTGGGGTTGCTCTTCTTGAGGAGTACCTTAATGGTGTTCTCTGCATTTCCTGAATTTGAATGTTGTCCTGTCTTGCTATATTGGGGAAGTTCTCCTGGATATCCTAAAGTGTGTTTTCCAGTGTGGTTCCATTCTCCCCACCACTTTCAGGTACACCAATCAATCATAGATTTGGTCTTTTCACATAGTCCCACATTTTTTAGAGGCTTTGTTTGTTTGTTTGTTTTTTATTCTTTTTCCTCTAATCTTGTCTTCACACTTTATTTCATTCTGTTGATCTTCAATCTCTGATATCCTTTCTTCCACTTGATTGATTCGACTATTGATACCTGTGTATGCTTCACGAAGTTCTTGTGCTGTGTTTTTCAGCTCCATCAGGTCATTTATGTTCTCCTCTAAACTGGCTATTCTAGTTAGCAGTTCCTGTAAACTTTGTCAAGTTTCTTAGCTTTTTTGCATTGGGTTAGAACATGCTCCTTTAGCTTGGAGGAGTTTGTTATTACCCACCTTCTGAAGCATAATTCTGTCAATTCATCAAACTCATTCTCCATCCAGTTTTGTGCCCTTGCTGGCGAGGAGTTGTAATCCTTTGGAAGAGAAGAGGCATTCTGGTTTTTGGAATTTTCAGCATTTTTGCGCTGGCTTTTCCTCATCTTTGTGAATTCATCTACCTTTGATCTTTGATGCTGATGACCTTTGGATGGGGTTTTTGCGTGGGCATCCTTTTTGTTGATGTTATTGCTTTCTGTTTGTTAGTTTTCCTTCTAACAGTCAGGCCCCTCTTCTCCAGGTCTGCTGGAGTTTGCTGGAGGTCCACTCCAGACCCTGTTTGCCTGGGTATCACCAGCAGAGGCTGCAGAACAGCAAAGATTGCTGCCTGCTCCTTCCTCTGGAAGCTTTGTCCTGGAGGGGCACACATCAGATGCCAGCCAGAGCTCTCCTGTATAAAGTGTCTGTCGACCCCTGCTGGGAGGTGTCTCCCAGTCAGGAGGCATGGGGGTTAGGAACCCACTTGAGGAGATAGTCTGTCCCTTAGCAGAGCTCGAACGCTGTGCTGGGAGATCCACTGCTCTCTTCAGAGTCAGCAGGCAGGAACATTTATGTCTGCTGAAACTGTGCCCACGTCCCCCCTTCCCCCAGTGCTCTGTCCCAGGGAGGTGGGAGTTTATCTATAAGCCCCTAACTGGGGCTGCTGCCTTTCTTTTAGAGATGCCCTGTCCAGTGAGGAGGAATCTAGAGACCTCTGACCACAGTGGCTTCGCTGCACTGCAGTGGGTTACGCCCAGTCCCAAATCCTGGAGACTTTGTTTACACTCTGTGGGGAAAACTGCCTACTCAAGCCTCAGTAACAGCGGACACTCCTCCCCGCCAACCTTGAGTGTACCAGGTCGACTTCAGATTTCTGCGCTGGCAGTGAGAATTCCGAGCCAGTGGATACTTAGCTTGCTGGGCTCTGTGGGGGTGGGACCTGCTGAGCAAGACCACTTGGCTCCCTGGCTTCAGCCCCCTTTCCAGGGGGGTGAATGGTTCTGTCTCACTGGGGTTCCAGGTGCCACTGAGGTAAGAAAAAAAACTCCTGCAGCTAACTTGGCGTCTGCCCAAACAGCTGCCCAGTTTTGTGCTTGAAACCCAGAGCCCTGGTGGTGTAGGCATCCGAGGGAATCTCCTGGTCTGTGGGTTGCAAAAACCATGGAAAAAGTGTAGTATCTGGGCCAGATAGCACAGTCCCTCAAGACACAGTCCCTCATGGCTTCCCTTAGCTAGTTCCCCAGCCCCTTGTGCTTCCTGGGTGAGGTGATGCCCCACCCTGCTTCTGCTTGCCTTCCGTGGGCTGCGCCCACTGTCTAAACATTCCCAGTGAGATGAACTGGGTACCTCAGTTGGAAAAGCAGAAATCACCCACCTTCTGCGTTGGTCTCGCTGGGAGCTGCAGACCGGAGCTGTTCTTATTCGGCCATCTTGCCAGCCACCCAAAATATTTCTTTTCTAACCTGGAGTCAGACTCTTACAAGATTCTAATATTGCTAATTAGGTGATAAATGCCCTAATTTAAGGTAGACTATAAAACCTCAATTATGACTACTAAGAGAATTATTAAAGAATATATAATTTAAGAACTATCAGGGAAGATAAATAAGAAATATTAGATTAATCCAATAGGATTTAAAAAGATAAGAATGAGAAAATATTCTACAACTGCATAAAACACATAGTATTTTCTGTTATAAAGCAGGTTCTGATAAATAGGTACATTGAGAACATTCAAAATATCATTCTTATGTTCCTATCCAGGCAGAGAAGTGTGTAAAAATATATCTTCTACTTATGTTTTTTCCTTACTAAAAGGGTCTTTCAAATACCAAGACATCAAAGATTGTTGCAGTCTTCTATGAAACTGGATATTTTGACTAATAATTTGCTACTCTAGAAATAACACTTAAACATAACTATTTTTCTGAAGAATGTTCTATGTTTCCTTGTTAAGGTATTGAACTTTGGCATTTCATTCTTCTCCCTTTATGCATAATTTCCTTGGTAGATGAATGGCTCTTTCTCACTAGATGTGCTTAAAGATTTGTCGTTGTCTTTGGTATTCATACATTCAATATGTGTATGTTTTCTCCTATTTCTCTAACTTGTATTCTATGAACTTTTTGTTCTATGGTCATAGTCCAAAGTTAGTAGAAGGAAGGAAATAATAAAGATCAGAGCAGTAATAAATAAAATAGAGACCAGAAAAGACATAGAAAAAATCAATAAAACTGAGTTTGTTTTAAAGATACAAAAATCAACAAATCTTTGGTTAGATTAAGAAAAAGAGAGAGAGAAAAAAATAAAATTAGAAATGAAAGAGGAGACATTGCAACTGGTACTACAGCAATGCAAAGGTTAGTAAGAGTCTACTATAAACAATTATACACTAGCATATTGGATAATCCAGAGGAAATGAATAATTTTCAAAAAAAATCCAACCTCCTAGAACTGAATCATGAGGAAACAGAAAATATGAATAGTGAGGAAATTGAATCAATAATAAAAAATCTCCCATCTAAGTCCTCTTCCTTCTTACTGTATTCTGGAAGATATCCTTATTCTGATCTTCCAACTGCCTATCTTTGTTCATCTTTTAAGATCTATTTTAATATTCCATCTATTGTGTTCTTTATTGATTATACTTAATATCAAATATTCCTACCTCTTTTTGATGATTTTTGTTTCAACTTGTACTTTTAATTATCTCTAAATATATTTTCATTCTTGTTTTGAATTCCTACTTCTAATAATTTGGCTTCAGTTAGTACATACTGTTTAGTACACTAATTTAGTGCTTTTTTTGAGCATAATTGTACTCTTCAGTTTATAATTATTTTTTGTCTGTGGATTTCTATTTCTCCAGGGTTATCAAAATCTCCACCTGATAATGGATTTTAGAAAGGCCAGATCCTAGTCCAATAGTCTTGGTGAGTTCAAAGAGTGGGGAAGGAATTAGCCTTAAAGAGATGGTTTCCAGGGACTATGAAATAGTCGATAACTCCCGTTTGCATACATATTACCAAACAACTGATTTATTCGAGATTTACCATTAAACCCTTAAAGAGAAGTAGCACTGGGATGAGGCAGTTTTCCTAAATTATAATGTACAAATCCTGGGGCTTTGAAATGAGCAGACTAATAACTTCTGACCTGATAATATTCCCTGCACTCTTGACCCCAAAATATAGTCTGGGCCATGCCAATTTCTGTGTTGAAGTAACAGGTGATATAGTCCCACAGAGATGAAGAAGATAAGTGAGCACAGAATTTAAACAGCTCTCTAATACACTGAGGTTATGGCCAACAATGCCACCACCCCTCCACCAACCCCGCCACAAACACGCTGCTTCAGACAACTGAACAACCTCCTGCCAGAACTTCTCAAACTTCTAATGGTTTTGTTGATTCATAGAAACCCAGTTTCAGAGCTTATCTAGGGCTGACTTTAGAAGAGAGAGACAGAGATCATGCTATATCTTCATCTCATGGGGGCCAAATAGTCTGCCTTCTGTTTTTTGTTTTTGTTTTGTTTTGTTTTTTTCAAGACAGAGTTTCGCTCTGTTGCCCGGGCTGGAGTGCAGAGGCATGATCTCGGCTCACTGCAACCTCCGCCTCCTAGGTTCATGCAATTCTCCTGCCTCAGCCTCCTGAGTAGCTAAAACTATAGGCAAGTGCCACCATGCCCAGCTAATTTTTGTATTTTTAGTAGAGATGGGATTTCACCATGTTGTCTAGGCTGGTCTTGATCTCCTGACCTCAGGTGATCCGCCTGCCTCGGCCTCCCAAAGTGCTGGGATTACAGTCGTGAGCCACCGCGCCCTGCCTGCCTTCTGTTCTTATAATCTCGTAAGTCTGTGTATGAGGAGAGAGTTTACTATCCTCCAAAATAGAAAGCCGAATCTTAAACCTAAGGCAGATGTACCTTAAAACAAACAAACATGCAAAACAAAACAAAACAACAAACACATGGGCCATGATGATTTCCAAAAGGCTAAAGAGAATCATTGAATTCACAAGAAAAAAGAAAGAACACTCAAAGGAAGCGGTCACGAAGGGAACTTCTTTACCCAGATGGTTTGCACCTCCTGTTCCCTTTACCTGGAAGGAAGGTGCTTTTGGTACATGGTTGCCCCCAACCGTTTCCCTCTTGCCCTGACCTAAATAGGTTAGCCCACGATTCTAAGCTTAAATGTAACTTTAGAAAGAGCTTTCCTAAGACCCCAGTTAGCATTGTCTTCTGCTTACTTTTATTACCCTGTATTTTTTCCTACACCTGTTATAGTTATTTCTTAGTTATTTGTGCATAATCATTAAGAGTAAAGACTTGAGACAGACAGCCTAAGTTTGACTCTTGCCTCTGTCATTTTCTATTTATATGACTTTGGCAAGTAATTTAATCTTCTATAATCAGTTTCTCTGACAATGGGTCATCAAGTAATCATGATACCTGAGCTTCCCATCATGAACTGTGTTTTCTGGGTCATGAAGCCATAGATTGGGCATGTAAGATAGCAATCTGCCACTAAGGAGAAGAAGCCAACAAGAGAACAGGTTCAAGCTAGCCAGGACTGCACAAGTTAGTTGCATGAGCAGGTAGTTCTGCTCCATTGCCTCCTCTCTTCTATGGCACACCTATGGCCTCTTAGTTTTCTGTTTAATAATGAACTGATCTGAGATAGGAGAAACTGGCATTTACAAATGGATATTCTGGCAACAACTGGGAGGTGGACTCCCCAAGCATTAAACCACAATCAGGGGTGTCTCATCCATTGAGTCTGGACAGATCTACATTAATTCATGGCTAGTTGCTAACAGCTTGACTTCCATCATGGTTAGAATTTATCCTCACTGGAATAAACAGATATTTTTGGATATGGATGTTCCTGTTAATAATGCTTCTGCCGCCACCATTAATTGTGGACTTAGGGAATGCTTTATTCTCCATCAGCGTGTTTTAAACACAGAATTATTTCCATCCAAGAAACTTATTTCACCACAAAGAAGTATAGCAATATGTTCATGCCCATGGACATCATTTATCTTACCATTCACCCCATCATCAGAAGCAACCAGCCTGATGGAATAATGGAATGAATGGTCAAATGAAATCTCAATTTAACTGTAAGTTGGGGCAAACACTCTGAAAAGATTAGATTATATCTTAGAATGCGGTATATGCTCAGAATCAGCAACTAATATATAATTCTGCTTTTCCCATAGTCAGAGTACACAAGTCCAAGAATCAAGATGTAGAAGTAGGAATAAATTCTCCCATCCCTGCAACTTTGATTTTTGTTCATTTGGAAGTCTTAGTTACCAAGGGAGAAATGCTTCCACTAGGGAATAAAACAATACTTTAGTTGATTTGAATGCTAAGACCATTTTGGGCTCCTGATGCCACCATGCCACAATATAAGCATAGAGGTTATTCTACAGGCTGAGAAAACTGATCCCGATTATTAAAAGGGAATTGCATGGCTGTTGCACAATGGGGTAAGGATGACTGTGTCTGGAATACAGGAAATTCTCTGAAGTGCTACCTTGTTCTTCCTGTCCAATAACAGTAAATATAAAGCTCTGAAACTGAAAAAAAAAATCCAGGCCATTGAAAATTTGAACCTTTCAAGAATGAAGATTTTCATCATCCCAGCAGATAGATAATGCTGACCCAATGAGGTTCTAGTTGTGGAAAACAAAATGTAGAATTGGTAGCAGAAGAAGGAAGTTATAAATATTGCTTGCAGCCTTATTAGCGGTTAAAAAAAAAACAAACACTGGGTACCTAGGCATATCTTTTTCCTTTCTTGTCATATTTTCTTCTTGTTTTCCTCTACCCTTTTATTATTTTACATAAAAATTATTGACGGTAATTGACAGGTGGAATTTATTGGATTTCAAGAGTATTTAACATTGCACAGAAAGAATATCTAGGATATCACTCTGAGATAAAGATGACTTTAGGACTGTGTGTCCTTATTTAAAGAAAAAATAAGAGTATCTTTACTTGTATGGAGGATAAATGCATCTCTTTAGGCAAAAGCATAAAGTTGCCTTTCTTGTTCAATGGAGTCCAAACATATATAAAAAGGTATGTACAGATGTTGAAAGGTCAAAGACGTGATTGAGCTGGTTATTAAATGATTGTCTCTCAGTTTTAAGTTCACACTTCTATACCCTGCTTTATGATGGTGGTTTTTGCAAGCTAGATCCTTGTTAAATTCTGCCAATAGGAGGTGCTGGAGGGAGACTGGCAAGCTGGACAAGGGATGCATCTTTTCCCGTTTGCTTCCTCTTCCTCTCAACAGCTTTTTACCTGGGCAGTGGCAGTTGGCTTCAGAGCTACAGTTGGTTTTGTTCCATGGTTTTCCCCACAACACTTTCAGAACCAGCTTCCTGGTGCCCCACAGAGATACCAGCACCATCTGAACAGTACCCCTTCCCTAGAGGTATGCATTTTATCTTTATGGAGGCCCTTTGTTCCTGAGATGTTTGGGTTCCAGTTCCAAGGGATCCCTCCCTCACAGTTTTAAGTTAATTAATTAATTAATTTTAGAGATGGGATCTTCCTCCGTCACCCAGGCTGGAGTGCCACTGCACAATCATAGCTCGCTGCAGCCTTGAATTCCTGGGCTCAAGAGATCCTCCATCTGCACTTCCTTCCCCCACACTTCTAAGGTCTAGTCTAATTACCTTAATTACCTTAGACCTTAGAAGTATGGACCTCCAACATTTTCCTTGTGTTTCCCTAGACCTACAGGTTTTAGCTGTTTCTTGCAATTTCTGTCTCTGTTAACTCGATATCTCCCTTTGGCTTTTTGTATCCTTCAATACCTGGTTAACCGCTCTTAATTTTACAGTCTCTGTAAAAATAACTGGTGCTGTTTTTGGTTTCTGACTGACCCACATGGGGAGTAGTATGACTTTCAGGTTTGTGTGAAGGGTAAATGAGTCAGAAAATAAAAAGTGTTTATAGCAGTGCCTCTCATATAGTAATTGTCATATAAGTGGAAGCTATTATTATTATTTACTTAAGATCTGTCTCTCCCATTAGTCTAAGCTCCATGAGGATAGGGATTATGATGCTGTGTACATACTAGGGTCTAGCAGTACCTGGAACATAGTATGTTTTGAATACATGTTTGTTAAAGGAATTAGGAAGAGGTTGGAGGAGAGAGAAAGAAGGACACACAATTTGGGTATAGAAGAAAGGTAGCTTTCTTTATATTTTTATTATTATTTTTATATAATATAATATAATTCATCACTCTTTCCAGGCTTCATTCTACAAGTTTCGTTAGAAATCAGCCTCTACCCTTGTGAACAGGTTCGGTCAAACTGCCATTTTTCTCCAGGATGTTAGAATTATACAGAGTGGCAAGCTCAAGTGTGTGAGATGGAGGTAAGGGTGGGAGAGGCATCTGGGGTCATGGGGCATCTCTTCACACAAGTGGCTGATGAGATGTCTAGTGGCCAGACTCAAATGGCTTCCTCAGACCCCACATTTCTCAGCTTCCTCTATGCCATGCTCCAGGCATGGGAATATTTGTTTTGCTGCTGGTGGCTCTGTCTCCTGGAAGTATCCTGAAGCTGTTCCCTGTCTAGAGGTTGATGTCTCCTTGTGAGTTTGGCAGGGAAGCTGGATGCAGGTACTATTTCTAGAATCCCATAGACTTCTCCTGCTTTTATTCTCCAACCCCCAGCCCCAAACAGATCTGATTCTAGAAGGCAGACAATCTTTCTCTGTTCATGTTTCTGATGCAGTTTCCTTTCTATGTCCCAATCTTCTCCTCACCCTGGGATCAGCATTCATGAACAAACTCCAAGAAGACTTGAGCCACTTCTTTTTATGTTGCTACTCCCCATCCCTTCAGGCCACAGTTATGTGCTTTCTTTGGAGTGGGATAAGAAGGATAACACAGAAAGGAAAAAAATTTGAAAAATATATTAAAATACCCTGCCACAGAAGGAAGGAAAGCAGCAGAGGAAAGAGGAAGGGATTCTTTTTTGAAATTAAACTACCCTTTCCTCCTTTTCTGAATGAACTGGCTATACAGTGAAAGCACAAGGGTTTGTAGCAACCTGCAGGATATATTGATCTTGTTCTTTCTCTCAAGGTTATTTATTTACTTATTTTAAGGGGCGTGACAGAGACTGTAGAAAAGGAGAGGGACTTTCCTTTCGTGTGCAGAAGATGGAGCCATGTGTTTGCAATCCTCTTCTGTAGTGTGTGTGTGTGTGTGTGTGATTTTTTTTAGAAAGTCATTGTGAAGAGGCTGAGGCAACAACCTCACCCAGAAATTGGAGTCACAGAAGAACCATTAACTTCTAAAGGTCTTCATTGCACAGGTCATGGCTCCTGCAGCACCTGAAGTTCACCAAATAGACACTCCACCTTATGCCTTTCACATCAGCACAGTTCTTTAGGCAGCCCATGAAGGTTAACCAGGGATTACCATCCCCTGTGGAGGGGAGAAAAAACAGATCAGGAAGCCTGGCCATGAAAGTTCTGCTAAAAAACTTTTCTCCAGACCACACCAACATATAGAAATAATCTTGTGTAGTTCAAAGCTCCGTTATTCAAATGTAAAGAACTGGAAGATGTTGCAAGCTGGGGGCTTCCCAAAAGAAATGCAGTGATGGAGCAGTCTAAAATGATCATTTGGGGTAGGGCAGTAAGGAGAGCCGTAATTCAGGGATTGCCAAAGCTGGGTGTTTCTCTTGAGAGTCTTAACACTGGTTCAAGTGAGGGTTATAAATGCCAAGAGATAATTTAGCACAAAGGGTGGAAAAAGAGAAATCATGATGTCTCATCTTAACCATCCAGGGCAATTCAGCCAGAGTCTACTGATGACACTGGCCCTTCTATTTCCACAGTTTAGAACCATCCGTAAGGAAGCCCAGACAGGCACAAGAACCAAAAGCCCCCTCCACAACTCAACAACACACTGTTACCCATTGGGCATAGATTACACCTATTCTCTTACCTTGATTTATTCTCCTCTGTTTTCTTCAGGCTTCTCAAAATGCTAATCCCTTAGCTGTAGGCCCCCACCCTCCTTAGTGACCACCTCCATCTAATTTTCATTACGGCATATGATGGGGATGAAGGAATCAGCCATCCCAGGTATGAGACTGCCTATAGTAAAAGTAAAGTAAGATCTCTCCTTTCCCCTGTGGCTGATACGTCCCTGTATACGTCCTCTGCCCGTTCTTCTTTTCCCCAACCCACAACTTACTTTTGAACATCCTTCCAACCATGCAGGCCTCTTCTGTTGTTGCTGTGCATATTCCTCTTCCTCTGGAGCACTTTTCTCCTGGGAACTGGAGGTGGCACATCCTACACTGAACAATTTCTATCACTTGGCCAGAGAGAGGGGAAAGAGAAGTGAGAAAAGATGGCACTACCAGGAAAGAACCCCTCTCCCCTTTTGGGTTAGAAGTCTGCCTAGAGCCACAGGGCTTTGCCAGAGCCCATCAAGCGTGAACCTCTTCCTCTGTGGAAATACACTAAGCCAAGAGAGTGATTGAGGTTTATGGTCTCAGGAATTTTAGCCTGAAAAATGGGAGGGGAAAGAAAGGTGGAGGAATAAGGAAAAGTGAAACATTATCAAGACTGAGGTGATCAGACAGGTCCTCTTCATACTTACCAGGAAAATTGTTTTTCACAGCAACTATTTCATTGACTGTACTGGCAAGAGAAAGAAAACACATCTGAAATGTGCCTGAGATTTACTCTTGTATTGGGTTCTTATAGTCTGCCCTTCAGGGTCCATCCTGCACTCTTAAACTGGAGCCATTCCAGGCCCACTCTGTCCCCCTAATGCCTAGTCACCTACTGGGCATCTCTGCACCTCTTCTCTCCTTCTAAATCTCTTCACCTCTTCGGGGCTTCTCAGATTCATCTACCCATTCCTATAGGATGCAGCACAGACCAGGAGGAGAAAGATAAGTGCACCTGCTTTTTTGCTTCATTCCCTTCTTTTTAATTGACTCTGTGTGGCACTCTTACCTGTGGGTGCCTGGAATCTGACAATGGGGACAACCTGAAATTCCTGAAGTTGCCACGCTTTAGATTTGGCCAAGCGACACCTGAAAAGCCAGCATTCCACTTCCTCCTTTTCCTTTTCCTTGCCCTTCACTGACGCTCACTCCTGACCTTGTCAGTTGATGCTAATGTTATTTTGTCAAACCTAAAATCAGCTCCCATGCCAGCTCTGTCCTGCTGGAAGAGGTTGTTGCGTGTTGGAACTCAAGGTCTATTCGTATTTTGGTTTTTTTTGGCCCCTGGTGCTCACCTCACCCCACTCATCTTTTCCTCCTCAGACCTTCCCCTTCTCATACCACTTATCTATTCCTACTCACCTGCATCATTTCTCATTGAAAGTGATCCAGATAATGCTGTTGGAAAAAAAAAGAGATACACTGTCTGCAGACCTCATTTTCCAAACCCCATCTCAAAGCTTCTATGAACATCCACTCAATTCCTCTCTAATCTACCTATTTCCCCCCATAAAGGAAGGGAGAAGAGCTTTAGTTAAGGTCCTGGGGACATGACATACCCCTGGTAGAAGGCATAACATTAGAACAGAAGCTCATCATGCTTCAGTTGCCATAGGACTCCCATGAGAAGGCCTCTGTCATGGGTGCTCTCACCTGTTCCTAAATTCAGGACTCTTACCAGCTGTCAACCCTAGGGACTCACCCCTAAAGCAGCAGAGCAGGATGGGGAGTTCCAGCAAGAGGGACTTGTCCATTTTGGAAAGAGGGAGGGCCAGGCTACAGCACGAAGCTTCGAGAGTGCCTATTTATACACCTGCAAGGTTGGGCTTTCCTGCGAAGGGTTAGGGGTGGGGACTCTGTGGAAGTTCTTGGAAGGCATAACCTGCTCCTAGGGAAATCAATGACTCTGTTATTTCTCTTCCTTGCAACTTGGTGGGGAGAGGTAATGGCCAGGTCAATCCTGAGTCTGATTTATTCCAGTTCTACCACTCAGGATTTTTGATGCCAGGTTCTATGGTCTTTTCACTATACTGTACTGTAAGAGAATGCAAGGATAAAGCTGGGCTGGATGGGTAGAATTGAGAGTCATCTACAACAAGACATTCATTAAAGCTGAGAGAATACATAAGTATAAATCATTGGAATGCAGAAAGGCAAAAGGAAGGCTGAACGCAGACTTAAAAAATACATACCTCTAGGAATGGAGAAGAGAGGGCACAGAAAGGTTAGGCTCAGAGGCAGACAGAGGGTTCCCATGAGGAGAGTAAAGTTTCTCACTGTCAATCATCCTGGAAAGAAGCAGACCCTAGGGTAGAAGATGTAAGCTGAGGAGGGAACTGTTTTCCTTTCTTGAGGCTTCCTGGTGGCTGCAACTTAGACTTTAGTTGGGAGAGAGAGATTTAAGACTACTTCATCTGGAGAGAGGTAAGCTGATCCTTCTCACTTGATGGCAGGCCAGGGTATTGAACCTGTGGATTCTAAGAGCAGCCGTATCTAGTATCTCATTTTAAGTTTTCTGTTAATTTCCTTCAGTTATTGCTATGCATTCAGTGCATTGTAATGAACGTTGCAGCTTAGTCTTCATTGTCATTGTAGAGAACTGACAGAAGAGCTTGTGCCCATGCTTAGGGCAAAGCGTGTATTGCTAGGAGCATCTTCTCTATATGAGAAGAGCAGCAACTGGAAGGATGCAGGTTGCAACAGGGCACAATGCAGGTCTACAGCCAAGTGGGATGGTGGTCTAAGCAAGATGCTGGCTGAAGTGGTTGGGGACAGCAAGAGTAATGTATAAAAAAGATTTTTGCATCCATGATATTTTGGAGGTTATTATCACATGCCAAAAGATCAAACTGGCATTTCCATGCACAGAGGAAGAGAGTTATATACTAACTCCTGACCTGGCACTGACTACCCTGATGAAGTTTTAAAATAACACCATGAAGTATTAATGTACTACATACACACTTGTGCACACATATGCACATGCGTATTCACACACACACACACACGCACACATGACAGCATCGATTTTTGTGTTGAGCATATTCACGGACAGAAGTCTTCCTTTCCTTCCTCTCATTTCCCTGAAATTTAGCATCTTCCCTTGCATCTTTACATTCCTTTCTCTTGCCTTTTGAGATCTCCCCTCCTTTCCTTCCAGGAACCCCATAATTATTTGCCTAATGGCACCCATGAGAAAGGAGGAAATGTTCTCTTCCTCTGCCCTGTCGGAAACGTCTCCTTACCTAACTACACCTCTATAATATTATTATACCACTTCCCCTACAGCAGAAATTTCCTTCTCCCAGCCAATGATTTGTACTGATCCACCTGTATTCCTTGCTTATATTTAAACTCCTTTATCGACTTACCCCTAACATCTCCTCAAATGTATGAATACTGCCTAGCCTTGTGGCCCTAATACCTGATTTTCTTACTGAGCCTCACTCTGCTCCTTTTCTTTGTGACTCTAATCCTTTTACTTTTTGCCTTAAGGGACCCCCCACCACCAAATTCTTCTTATGTCATAAATTCCAGACCTGTGCCCAGAAAGTATTCAGGAATCCCTTTCGCCCTATTGTTTTGAACCCTATGGAAGTTTATAAAGCCCTTTATTCACGATCCCCTCCCTCTAACACAGAGTTCTGGAGATTCAGTTAGTCCAGAAGAGTAAGCCCTGGCTTATACCTCATCTCTGAGAGTGATGAGGTACTTAGTTATGTCTCTGTGTGTACGATTAGAAGATGTTTAGATTATAGCTGAGAACTTTTAGTTTGCATCTCCAATGTTATCCTGCAAATAAAAAAATGATGATTTTTGAATGGAAATTCACCTTCCAATCAGTTATTAATTTTAAAAGAAATAAATCTACGCTTCACAGGGGATACAGCAACACATCCTGAGTTTCATTGGTAACTGAGATGTTTTTATGTAATAATCATTTTGAATATGTTAACTGGGTTAGTGATGAGGATGAGTACCAGGATTTGAGGAAAGACATCTCAGCTTAGGCGGACCTTACATATGAGGAGGTGGGTAAACCAGATGAACCACAGTTATGGTTCTACTGCAGCACCAGTGGCCAGGCCCCTGGAGTTTCCCTAATACCACAGGACTTATACTAGTAGTGTGCAGAGAGGGGACAGTTCTTCTCTGGCAGGCTTTGAAGGAATGGTCAGATCAGAATAGCCTGTTCCTTTTCCCTCAGGCAAGTGAACAGCATAGCTTTGGGTGACTCAAACTAGATGAAATCAGAGTCATTCTATCCTCTTGAGGGACATGAAAGATGGAGGAAATATTCAGACAAGATGGGCAGATCCAAGAAAGTTTCTAGGAGCCATTATGATTCTGGGGAGCCTTTCTGTGTATGTTCTTTGCTACCATGAAACTTTCCATCTCTTAAGAATTGCTATGAATCTCAGAATCTCTCAATATGTTGACAATTCCCCAGGTAATTTCTTTCAATTGTACTGAGGGTTGGAGAAGATATCCTGGACATTAAAGTGACCAGGGAGGTAGGTCTGGGATTCAAAATGAAGAAGCAGCCAATAATTTATTTATTGTTCCTATTGTAGCTTGCAGATTAAATAAAAGTCCTAGATTTTAATATTTTGTACCAACAAACCTAGCTATCCCCCGGAGACTCTTTTTAAGGGTGACCTCAGCTAAGGAGAAATTAGGGACTCCTCCCCTACTTTGCAAGGTAAATTCACAAGTACCTGAAGGCCACTCCCAGAGACCTCCTCTCAAACTGCCAGTGCACCCAAGGAGGCACGTAGCTGCCAATATTGGTGAGTTTACTACAAACTTGTGAAGTGTCTTTCTCCAGACAATAAAAATGGTCTTTCTGTGTTCAGAGAGGCTATCCCTGGCCAGTTTGCCCAAGCAGTTTCTCCCTTGTTATTTCCTGTGTGTGTGTGTATGTGTGCATAGGTGTGGGACTTTTATATTTGTGAAATATAATTCACATACCAGAAAAGGCATAGGATTTAAATTAATATTTTAAACTATTTTAATTCAAATTGTGTAACTACAAACCAGGTCAGAAAGTTGAATATTGCTCAAACCACAGAAAACTCCCCACACCAAGTGGTCCTCTCTAAATACATTCTTTTTTCCTTGTCTGGTGGGAAACACTATTCTTTCTTTTATGAATTCTAACCATTGTTTTCTTTTGTAGTTTTACCACACTATATTTTTGCCTGCTTTATTATTTTTTATTTTTTATTTTTGAGATGGAGTCTCACTCTGTTGCCCAGGCTGGAATGCAGTGGCACGATCTTGGCTCACTGCAACCTCCACCTCTCGGGTTCAAGCAATTCTCCTGCCTCAGCTCCCCCCTACCCCACCAACAGTAGCTGGGATTACAGGTGCCTGCCACCACACCCAGCTAATTTCTGTATTTTTAGTAGAGACAGGGTTTCGCCATGTTAGTCAGGCTGGTCTCAAACTCCTGACCTCAGGTGATCCACCCGCCTCGGCCTCCCAAAATGCTGGGATTACAGGCATGAGACACCATGCCTGGCCACCTATTTTAAATGTTGATGTAAATGGAATCATACAGTATGCATTCTAGGAATTATTCATGTTTTTGTATAAAGCTTTACTTTTTTGCAATATATTATGGTATTTAGTTATATGAATATTATGGTAGAGAACTTTCCAGTACTGATGGAAAACATCAGCCCAGAGATTCAAGAAGCCCGAAAAGCCCTAAGCAAGAAGAACAAAAAATGCAGCTTGATAGTAAAATTTCAGGAAGTCAAAGAAAATAATAAAATGTTAAAAGCAACCAGAGGACAAAGGACATAATACATTCCAAAGAACATTAGATTGACGGCTGAATTCTCAATAAGAAGGAGGCTAGATGTTATGGGATGATATCTTTAATATGCCAACATAGAATGGTGTGTCCAGAGAAAATATTATTCTGCATTAAAGTGAAATAAACACATTATTAAGCAATAATAATGCCATTAACAAACTTGCACTTATTGGGACTAAGTACTATCAATAAATAATTGTTAAGTTGCATTGATATGTTAGTTTGAATTAATCAAGACTGGAGGAAAAATGTATCCGTTCAAGAACTACTGTAGAGAAGAAAGAAAAGATTTCCAATGTGATCTTCTTTGGTTCCTCAGGCCCACAGAGTCCCTACACTGCAGACTTCCTTAGTGCTTCAGCCTGGAGTTCACCAAGCTCAAACTCCAAGAATCTTCCTCCATTGTCAATCTTCCTGAATGCATGAGCATTAGTCTAGCTGTTCTGATTGAATCCAGAGGGACACAGATGTGTTATCTTTGGGCCACCAGTACCTTTGGTACTTAAGAGGTTCATAAAAAAAATCACCCAGAGACATCAAGGATGATGCACAAATTCAGTGCCAAATTCTACTAAGAGATCAATTAAAATGAAACCTGGAAGGTGACAATGTGATTGAAGACATAGAGGTCATTCATGTCCACAGTAAGAACAGTAAAGGAGAGAAGGGGAAGCCAGATGAAAGGGAATAAAGAGTGAATTGTCTAGCAAAAAAGTTAGAAAATAAAGTTCTAAAAACCAGAGTGTAAAATAGATGAAGTAGCTAGGAATCAATCTAATACAAGCTGTACGACTTCTCCAAGGAGAAAATAACATAATTTTAAAAAGCTAACTAAGATCCAAAAAAAAACAAACAAGTTATTACAGAAATGTTTATTTTGAAATCGCAAGAAGTTACAAAAAAATAGCTTCTATGTATTTTTTTACCCAGCTTTCCCAATGATAACATCTTCAAAAATCAATACATTTTCTAAACCAGAAAATAGACCTTGGTACAATACTATTAACTATTAACTTACGGACCTTATTTGAGTTTCTTCGGTTTTACATATACTTTTTTTGGTGTATATTACTATGAAATTTTATCAATTTGTGTAGGTTTGTGTAAAACCACTAAAGCAGGATACATAATTGTCCATCACCACATAAAGGGAATCATTTAGTATGCAATCCTCTGCAAGTGGATTTTTTCATTTGGCATAATAGCCTTGAGAGCAATCCAATTGTTGCAAGTATCAATAGTTCATTCTTTTTTATTGCTGAATAGTATTCAATTGTATGAATGTACCACACTTTGTTTACCCTTTCACCCTTAGAGGAATATCTGTGTTCTTTCTAGTTTGAGGATATTACAAGGAAAGTTACTATGAACATTCCTTTCTAGGTTTCTGTGGGAACATGTGTTTTCTTTCCTCTAGGGTAAAAGCATTATACTGAGGGAAAGAATATACACACAAAAAGTGCTTGATTCTCTTTGTTTGAAATACTATAGCAGTCAAAATTTATCTTAGTGACAGAAAGTAGAGGAGTGGTTACAGGGGATGGAAGTTGGGTTTGGTGTTGATTGCAAAGGGCATGAGGATGCTTTTTGAGATTATGGAAATGTCCTATATCTTGATTATGGTGGTGGTTACACAGCTATGCACACTGTCAAAACTCAATGAAATCTACACTTAAATGTGTTCATTTTAATATATGTAATCTCTACGTCAGTAAAATTGTTTCAAAAATGTTTTGTGCATGAGTCTAATAATTTTTCCTTGCATTGTTTATATATATTTTAGGAAATTCTCCACATACATTTTGTGTTTCTCAAATAAACAATTTAAAAAGAGAAAGAATAAGTTGGGTGTTGGTAGCCACTAGTGCAGTGTCATGATGTTGCTTGTAGGTGCTGAATTCTCACTGAGAAGAACTTCCAAGCCATAGAAAAGATAAGTATTTTTTTCCTTTTTTGATCATGGAAGCTTAGGGAAGATTTTCAGTTTTGAGAAAAAAAGAATGAGGTCACTTGAGTTCAAACTTCTGTTCTATTGAAGCTTTGATTAGCATTCCATCCTCACACAGAGGGACTAAAATCACGCTGTGGGGCAATAACAAATGGCCATAAAGAATCAGCATGGCTTTCAGTACTAGAGTGTTCATATAGTGCCTCTAGAACTAGTGTGTGGAGCAACAAACACTCATTAGACTGGCAAAACATGGCATGTTCAAAGGGTAGCAGTGTCCCAGCCACTGACACCTCTAACTTATCATATATCTTTTAATTTTGTGCTTCTTTCCATTGAGAAATATCAAATACATACGAAGTACACAAAACATACGTAAATTTAAAAAACTATAAATAACATTTATGCAGTACTTACTAAGTCCACTGTTATGTCTTTATTTTTATTTTTTGCTTAACATTTTTTTTTTTTAGTACATGTCAGAAAAGTTTTATTATTCTTGAGTGTAATATCAAGAAACAAGCGTTTGCAATTTTATACACAACTATTTCTAGTTACCTGTTCCTTATTTATGTGAAGTTGAAAACATAGTGTAATTTTTAATATTCTCTCTTCCTTCTCCTTCCTCACACTAATGTTTTATTAATATTATTTTAAATTGATGAATCATAATTGTATACATTTGTGGGGTTCAGTGTGATGTTTTGAAATATATATACAATGTGGGGTGATCAAATCAAGCTAATTAACATCACCTTGCTTATTATTTTCTATAGCGAGACATTTGAGATTTACTCTCTTAGCTATTTTGAAATGTACAAAATATTATTGTTGAATATAGTCACCTTGCTGTGCAATAGATCTCAAAACTTATTCCTCCTATTTACTTGAAACTTTGTACCCTTTAATCAACAACTCCCCATTCCTTTCCTCCTCAGCATGCCAGCCTCTGGTAACTATCATTCTACTCTCCACTTCTACTAATTCAACTTTTTAAGATTTCACATATAATTGAGATCATGTGGTATTTGTTTTTCTGTGCCTGGCTTCCTTCATTTAGCATAACATCCTTCAAATACATTCATGTTGTCACAAATGGTAGAATTTTCTTCTTTTTTTTAAGGCTGAAGGGTATTCCATTGTGTGTGTATGTGTGTGTGCATGTGCCTCACGGTTTCTTTGTCCATTCACCTTTCAATGGACAGTTATGTTGATTTGATAGTTCATCTACTGTGAATAATGCTGCAATAAACATGAAAGTGCAGATATCTCTTTGAGAAACTGATTTCATTTCCTTTGAATATGTACCCAAAAGAGGGATTTCTGGAACATATGGTAGTTCTATTTTAATTTTGTGAGTAACCTCCATAGTGTTTTCCATTATGAGCATACTAATTTATATTCCCACTAACAGTGCACAAGTGTTCCCATTTCTCCACATCCTCCCCAAAACTTACCTTTTGTCTTTTTGATAATAGCAATTCTAATAAAAGTGTGAGGTTATATCTCATTGTTGTTTTGATTGGCGTTTCCCTGATGGTTACTGATGCTGAGCATTTTTTCATAACTTTCTGGTTATTCGTATATCTTCTTTTGAGAAATACCAATTCTGCTCTTTTGCTCATTTTTAATTAGGTTGTTTGTTTTCTTGCTATTGAGTTGAGTTCCTTGTAAACTTTGGATGTTAACTCCTTGTCAGGTATAAATGTTTTATAAATATTTTCTCCCATTTTGTAGATTGTCTCATTACTCTGCTGTTTCCTAGCAGTAAAGAAGCATTTTCATTTGGTGCAATCTCATTTGTCTATTTTTATTGCCTGTACTTTTAGGATCATACACAAAATTAATTGCCCAGACCAGTGTCAAGAAGATTTTTTCCTCTGATTTCTTCTGGTAATTTTACAGTTTTAGGTCTTATGATTAAGTCTTTACTGAATTTTGAGTTTTAAAAAAAATATATAGTGTAAGAAAGGGTTCAATTTATGCTTCTGCATGTGAATATCTGGTTCTCCCAACACCATTTATTGAAGAGACTGTCCTTTCCCTGTTTTGTGTTCTTGGCATCTATGTCAAAGATCAATTGACTATAAATGCATGAATTTATTTCTGGTCTCTCTACTCTGTTTCATCAATTTAAATGTCTGTTTTTATGGCAATAATGTGCTGTTTTGATTACTATTACTTTGATTTTTTGGGCTTCATGGATCTGAATGTTCATTTTCCTCTTCGAATTTGGGACATTTTCTGTCATTGTTTATTTAAATAAGCTTTCTGCTCATTTCTTTTTTTCCATTCCTCTGGAATTCCTATAATATCAGTTTACTTGGTGGCATCCCATAAGTCCCATAGGATTTCTAAACTTTTTTTCATTCTTTTTTCTTTTTGTTTCTCTGACTAGGTAATATCAAATAACCTGTCTTTAAGCTTACTGATTCTTCTGCTGGATTGATTCTGCTGTTAAAGCTTTCTGTGAAAATTTGTAATGCTGTAATTCTGTTTTTAGCTCTAGAATGTATTTGGTTCTTTTTTTTAGGGGTTTCTATCTCTTTGTTGAACTCCTAATTTTGTTCATGTATTATTTTTCTGATTCTATTTAGTATCTATTTTTGTCCTGTTGTCACTCATTGAGTTTCTTTAAGATAATTAGTTTGAATTCTTTGGCAGTTCGTAGATCCCTTTTTCTTTAGGCTCAGTTACTGATATTTTATTTTATTGTTTTGTTTTGGTAGTGTCATGTTTCCTTGATTATTCATAATCCATTTGGCCATATGTTGAAATCTGAACGTTTGAAGAAGTAAGCACCTATTCTAGTTTTTACAGACTGATTTTGACAGGGAAAGCCCTTTATCAGTTAGCCTTTCCAGAGATTCTAGGCAGGCTTTCTAGCAGGATTTGTGGGGGCAGGCTTGCTATTGAAGTCCTTGAAAAGGCTCTCCTGGACCTAAATGTTTTTTCCCATTCTGTGACTTGTTTTCTATTTTCTCGATAGTGCCTTTTGAAGTATAATACTAAAGTTTTTTATTTTGATGAAGTGTATTTTATCTATTTTTTGTTATTACTGTTGCTATGCTTTCAGGGTCATAACTAAGGCCATTATCTAATCCAGTGCCATGAATATTTATGCCTATATTTTCTTCTAGTAATGTTATAGTTACAGTTCTTAGATTTAGGCCTTTGATCCACTTTAACTTAATTTTGTGTATAGTGTAAAGCAGGAGTCCAACTTTATTCCTTCCCATGTGCATATCCAGTTTCCCTCGCATCATTTGTTAAAAAGACTATTTTCCCTATTGAATGGTCTTAACACCGTTTTCAAAAGTCAATTGACTATAATATAAAGATTTATTTTTAGACTCTCAATTCTATTCCATTGATCTAAAAGTCTATTCATATGCTAGCACCACACTATTTTTGTTACTATATGTAGCTTTGTACTATATTTTTAAATTGGAAAAGGGTATGTCCTTCAAATTTGCTCTCCTTTTGACAGATTGTTTTGGGTATTCTAGGCCCTTGCATTTCCATATGATTTTTAGTATCAGTTTGTCAATTTTTGCAAAAATAAAAACTGAGGTTTTGATAGGGATTGCACTGAATCTCAAGATTGCTTTGGGGAATATTGCCATGTTAACAATGCTAAGTCTTCCAATCCATGAACAAAGAATTTATTTACATTTATTTCTGTCTGTTTTAATTTCTTTCAGTGACTTGTAGCTTTCAGTGTAAAAGTCTTGTACTTCTGTTAACATTATTCATAACTATTTTATTCTTTTTGATGCTTATTAATTGGATATTTCTTTAAAAATTTATTCTCAGATTGTTCATTGCTAGTGTATAGAAATATAATTAATTTTTGCCTGTTAATCTTGTATCCTTCAACTTTGCTGAATTGATTTATTAGCTCTCATGGTTTTTTTGTGTGAATGCCTTAGGATTTTCAATATAAAAGATTATGTTATCTCTAAATACAGATGGTTTTACTTTATCTTTTAAAATTTGGATGCCTTTTATTTTTTTCTTGCCTAATTGCCCTGGCTGGAACCTCCAGTACAATGTTAAATAGAAATGAAAACTGTGGACATCCATATTTTGTTCTAGATCCTGGGAAAAAACTTTCAATCTTTCCCATTATATATGATGAGGGTTTTTCCTAGATGCCCTTTATCATATTGGGGAAGTTCTCTTCTTCTATTACTGGTTTATAACTTTTTTATTGTGAAAGGATGTTGGTGTTGAATTTTCTCAAATACTTTCTCTCTATCGAGATAGTCATGTGTCTATTATTATTACTCTAATCATATATTCTATTTATGTATTATTCTAGTCATGTATTACATTAATTAATATTTGTATATTTAATTAAGCTTTATGTGGTAAATCCCCTTTGGTCATGGTATATGATCTTTCTAAATATATTTTCCTGAAGTCTGGTTTGCTAGTATTTTGTTGATAATTTTTATATCTATAGTCATTAGTTATATTGATTTATAGTTTCATTTTCTTCTAATTTTTTTTCTAGTTTGAGTGTCAGGGTGTATTAGCCCATTCTTGCATTGCTATAAAGAACTGCCTGAGACTAGTAATTATAAAGAAAAGAGGCTTAGTTGCCTCATGATTCCACAGGCTGTATAGGAAGCATGGCTGTGGAGGCCTCAGGAAACTTAAAATCATGGCGGAAGGTGAAAAGGAAGGAGGTACATCTTACATGGTGGGAACAGGAAGAAGAACAGTGAAGGGGGAAGAGCTATATACTTTTAAACAACCAGATCACATGAGAATTTTATCAGGAGACAGCACTAGGGGGATGGTGCTAAACCATTAGAAATTACCCCCATAATCCAATCACCTCCCACAAGGCCCCACCTCTAACAGTTCAACATGAGACTTGCCAGACCATCTGAGGGTAATGCTGTCCTCATAGAATGAATTTAGAAGTGTTCCTTCCACTTCTTTTATTGAAAAAGTTTGTGAAAGATTGGTGTTTATCTTTAAATATTTGGTAGAGTATACTAATGAAGCCATTGGTGGCTGGACTTTTCTTTGAAGAAAGGTTTCTGATTATTAATTAAATCTTTTTACTTGTTATAGCTCTATTCAGATTGTATATTTCTTCTTGAGTCAGTAATAGTTTCTATGTTTCTTGGAACATGTCCATTTTACCTAGGTTATCTAATTTGTTTGCATATAGTTGTTGACAGTATTCCTTTATAGTCCTTTTTATTTCAGTAGGACCAGTAGTAATATACCCCTCATCATTTCTAATTTTAGGAATTTTACATTTCTCTCTCTTTTTTTGTTAGTCAGAATAGCTAAAGGTTTGTCAGTTGTGTTGATTTATTCCTAAACTAACTTTTGGTTTTATTGATTTTCTCTACTGTTTTCTATTCTCTATTTTGTTTATTTCAATTCTAATCTCTGTTCCTCCTTTTTTCTGCTTCTTTTAGGTTTAGTTTGCTTTGCTTTTTCTAGTTTCTTAGATTGAAAGTAAGGCTATTGAGTTGAGATCTTTCTTTTTGGATTAAAGACTCAAAGGAAACAATAGATAAAGAACTAAAGGAAACTAGGAAAACAACTTGTCAACAAGTACAGAATAGAAATAAAGGACAGAAATTATAACAAAGGAGCCAAATTGAAATTCTGGAATTGAAAAGTGCAATAACTGAAATAAATTTACTAGAGGGGTTTAACAAGATACTTGAGCAGGTAGAATAAAGAATTATAAAACTTAAAGATAGATCAACTGAAATTATCCAGAGTAAGGAGCAGAAAGAAAAAAAGCATAAAAAATGAACAGAGCTTTAGAGACCTGTGACACACCATGAAGCACACCAATATACACATGAAATAAATTCCAGAAAGAGTAGAGAGAAAAGGGCAAAATAATATTTGGAAAAAAATAAAGTCCCCAAACCTCTGCAGTTTGATAAAATACATGAATCTTCATATTCTAGAAACTCAAGGAACTCCAGATAGAATAAAATAAAAAAAGATCTACACTTACACACCATACTCAAATTGCCAAAAGTTCCTTAAATGCCTGAAATAAAAAGCAGACAAACACAAAATTCTTCCAGTCTTTGCAGATTGGCTCTGTGTTGGGGCACTCTTTCAATGCTAGGCCAGTCCATTTTGTCAACTCTGCCTTAGCCTTCACTCCCTACTTGAGCCTAAAGATCAGATAAAAGTTAAAGCTCAAGATATTCTCAAGTCATTCCTGTTCTGAACATGTATGTAATTTTCTATTATTCTTGAGAGCTTTCTAGAGTCATTATTCACTGAAGTAACTCTCTTCCCAGAGTTTTCCCTGAGGTTTTTGGCATGTCTGTTGTTGTCTCAACTCTATTCCATTGTCCAAGGTTTCAGCAGCTCATTCATTTGCTTTTCAATGTTTTCAAGGAAAGCCACCACTTAGCTGATTTTTCACACTGAGAGAGTTACAAATTAGGTAAAATAAAGGCAAGAGCAGACAAGTCAAAACAGACAAACAATTTTTTGGGAACAAGATCAACTTTGTTCCCTCTGAAATCAGGTAATTTCCAGCCTATGACCAGGAATATAGGCTGTTGTCTTTAAGATTTCAACTATGCCAGGGAGCAAGCTCAACAAAGTTTAACTTAAAAATGCTGCAAACCTTTCCTACTGTGTTTAAGTCATCTTATTCTGATTCATCATTTTTTTGGTTAATGTAAATCTTTGGATATTTTCCAGAGTTCTGATAAGGTTGATTCTGACAAATTTTGTGTGAATTTGTGTGTGTGTTTGTGGAGGTTACTGGAATTCCCTCTTTTGTTTTTTTTCACTGGTGTTACTTCCAGCCCTCCTCAAAAGGTATACTGTTTTAAAACAACTAAATAGCTTACATGTACTAATTTTGTACTTACGATGTTGTCGGACAGATACTGTTATTTTTTTTTTCTGTTGAAAACTGATGCTAGAGAGGTTAAAACCCACACAATCTCTCACAACTAGACAGTGGAGAATCCAAATTGAAACAGAGACTAGTCTAACTCCTAACCATGGCGCTATAGTGACCAAATGTGGAAAGAAGGGAGCTGGTTTCCATAGATCAAGGATTATAAGAACTTAGTATGATTTTTAAAACCCTTTAATATTTCTGTGCTTGAAGTGATTGACAATAAAATCCTGAAACCAAAAAGTACAAATAGCGAGACAGAACCTAGTGGCCTACTCTGTGGCTGGGCATAAATGGAGAAAAATCTCCAAAAGATACAGTGGACAGTAGAATTCTAGGGAGGAAAGAAAGGCAGCTGAGTCCCTGGTCATTTGGGGAAAGTGGGAAGATCCTGGGGAAGCTCCTTGGAGGGTAGGGTACTGCTCTCACCTAGTTGCTGCCTTTGCATTCAGTCCCACTCAGCTTGCACCAGAGGCTTCAACAATGAAGACCCTTTCTAAGTTCCCTAAGTAAGCCCCTCTCTTTTACATATGCTTTTGCCACTCCTTTCCTTGCTTAGAAAACTTCTGTTCAACCTCACATCTTGGTATAAATGTTTGTTTTTTCAGCACGCCCCCTCTGACCCATTTCCTCTTTTGTGTTCCCATAGCTTAGCCTAGAGCCATGATATGGATATAGTCAGCATTACCTTTGACTCCTTTTCCTCCCTTGTTCCACATTCAACCAGTGACAGAGTCTAGTCTATTCAGCACTCATCACATCACTACTACCATTCTCCTCTCCATTCCTGCTATTGCTATTTTTGTTATGGCCTCCATGTTGCTCACCTGGAGCCCATTCTTTTTTCAATATGTAAGCATTTGCTGAATTGAATCAATTAAAATGGAGTCCTGTGAGCCTTGGGTTTGTGCAGGGCAAAAGGCAGACAACTAATTTGTTCTGCTCCTCTGAGTGCAGGAAGGAGAAGCTGGGATGCTGGAACTGCTTGCAGGAATGAAAGAAGGCGGCACTGGAAGCTGGAAGGAGACTTTTTTCTAAGCACTAAACTTGAAAAAAGGCTCAGAGAAAAGAATAAAATGATGAAACTGCAGAAGGAAGTGTTGTATAACTAAAACCAAGAAGAAGAGGCCCTGAAAGAAATATCTCCCCTGGCTATGACCTAAAGTGCCAAGGGAAGTTAGATTGAATCCCTGTTCTCAAGGTTAGGCAAGAATGTAGTGGGTCTTTCTGGGAGCTTCATGAAGCTCTAGTCTGGGTGGAAGGTGGGTTGTGGAGACAGTAGTTCAGTGATTTGTAGTCCTGATAAGCCTGGGACCATTGTTCCAGGAACAGCTTGGGTTCAGTGCATGGAGTTAGGGGAATAGAACATCATCTTCTTGGGGCCTTGAGCTGAGGTAGATTTTTATCATTAAAGTGCAGATGGGCAGCAGATGAGAGGTGAAAACTCAGTCAGGTGAGAAGAGGGAACAAGGCGCACTGGAACGATGTGGCACCAGAACTCTTGGCAGCATTTGGAGGGTGGTGGAGAAGAAAGAGTACTAGGACATTTAGAAGATGTAAAAATACTAAGAAAAAAGAACTCTTATAATTTCAAAGGCTGAATCTTGTGCCAAAATGATAAAAATCAAAGGTTATAAAAGGACACAGCCTTTTCTCCAAGTTTTAGAAATTTTCCAAGGTTGCATGCTCACACATGCTATAAGAAAGTGAAATTTTTGGCAACACTTCCACACTCCCATCCCCATCCCAGAAAAGCTTCTTCCCCAAATAGAGATCTAGGATGCATGTCCAAAGGCACTCTGAAGGAAACTCTCCACTTGGGCACCTGTGAATTACGTGGGTCTCCACAGTTTCAAAATTGATGGAGTAGTCAAAATTTTAGTATCACAAGTACAATTGGGGCATAATTTGAACTATGATTTGTTTTATTTTTAATTGTCAAGTTATTTTTTGGTTCTCGCTACTTGCCAGTCATTTACCATTCTGTCTCCTGGCCCACCTCCCACCATTCAGGGTCACCACTCTGGCTTTATGAGGTGTTGGCATGGCGGCCCTCTTTTGGGCACTTCATTCATTCTGATGCCCTCTCGTCCTCCGAGCTGCTCCTCAGAAGCCAATCAGCAGGCACAAATCTAACTCCATTCATTCAGGAGGATTCTTAGCAGGCAGCTCAGTCAGAGCATAGGCAACAATCTGAAAACCAGACATAAAGCACTGTGCTTATTTGGCACAGCATCTATGCAGGCAGATGCATAAAAGTTGTACAAAACAACAATAACAACAACACCACTGTTAATTATAATAATACCTGGTGGCTTGAATTTCAGGTTTAAAATTTTCCTTTATAGTACAAAAAACCTGAGGCTATATAATTTACATGACTTGCTCAGTCCTTGGCCTTTTTGCTCTATTATCTCCTCCAGTTATCTCATCACATAGCTCTAAATACCCTCTACAGGCTGATGACCCACACGTCTTCATCTTCCTCTCTACATCCTCTTCTGAGATCCAGACTGCCTTTTTTCTAAATCTCCATATGAATATGCATTTCAAACTTGTTCAAAAAGCCTGTTTCTCATCTGAAAATGGGGATAATAATGCTGTTATGATCTTTAAATAAGACATGTAAACTGTAGCATAGTGCCTGACACATAATAAATGTCTAATATCTGGTCGCTATTTTATCATGATTACTACCATTACATTTTATGACTGGACCCAGATGCCACACAGCCTGACCCTCCACCATCAGAGTCACCCTTCGGGTTAACAATTTTCATCCTTCAGTATTGTGTTTTCTAATACAAAATCCTAGAATGTTGAGATTCACACTAAACATGTATTAAGTAGCTTAGAATACTCCCCGGGGGACCCTGAATCCAAACATTTTTTTTTCTTTTTCGTGGAGGGGAAGAGTGCCAGAAGTTTCTGGTCAGCATCTTGCTGATGTCACCCCCAGATCATGAATTAGTTTATCAAATTTCTTTCTTAACAATGGCAGCTGAAGAAAATGTCACTAATTTCTGGTGCCCAGAGGAAGCCCTAAGAGCTGGAAAAGGAAAGAGTCCCTCTCATGTGGTGACCCTGATGTTTCCTGAGTTTCTGATCACTGAGGGCTGGTGTTTGCAGACACAGACCTTGAGCCCTGAGTTCAAAGGCAGTTGGTCAAGCCTCAGACTTGGACTTCTGAGAAGATTCCTGCTGAGTTACTTCTTTCCTGGGTAAAGAAGGTTGCATTTTTCCCCACTCATCCGCTTTCTACTCTGCTTCTCAGAGAGTCTGCCACAAATAGTATGAGGTGGAGAGAAAGTTGACCTTGGGGTACTGTTAGGTTGCGTCTAGGCAATAAACACTATTTCAAAGGTCCACATTCATTTCCAGTGTGTCCCTCGGTCCCAAATTATGTTTAAGACTGAGCAGGTTGTGAGGTGTGCTTACCCAGCACTGGGCTTGGTCCTGAAACCCTCAAGCCACACCTTCTCAGACCTCTGCTTCCTCATGCTGAAAATGACCACCACATTGCCTTCCTCATGGGCTTATGGTTGGGAACAAGAGTACAACAAGATAATGTACATACAATAACCTTATAAATGTTGGCTGTTGTTATCAAGCAGCTCCTGCATTGTCCCTTCTTACCATTGTTCTGGTCCTTGGAATCCAGGAGTTTGAGCCCACTGAATTTTATCCAGTATCCAGCCCTTTCTCTGTCATTCTAGGCATTGCTTCAAGAACCCCCAGTTCTCTCCCAGGAAATAAATGCTTGTGGAAACGACCAACTTCTAGCATATGGGGCATGATAGCGGTCTTTCCCTGGTTCTTACAGAAGAGCAAAAGCTGGGAGTGGGGAGTGGGTATTGGCAATGAGGCTTAAAGAGGAAAGCTGTTCAAGGGGTCCCAAAGGGGGAAGAGTAGTTGGCAGGACACAGAAACAGAAGAGGTGTTTTTCCTCAAAAGGCAGAGTCCTAGGATAGGCCACTTCTTTTGTAAGTCTGCATGATCTTATCACTAGCATTTTCATCCCAACTTTCTTTTAGACAGGCAGTCAGGGTGCAAAGCCTTTTACTACTACTGCCTTACCTATAAAGTGGTATCCAGCATTGTAAAGAGCGTAAGCAGTAGAACCAGTTAGACTGTGGTCCAAATCTCAGCTCTTTCATTTATTGTCTTAGTTCATTACTTATACATGGGGATAATAGTACCTAATCCCCAAACTTGTAAGGAGCTCATAGGATGGGCAAGGTGCCCCAACAGTGCCAGGTGAGGCTACAGTAAGCACTCAGCTCTTGGCTAAAACTGTAAATATGGTTCTGTCACTGGAACATAATCTTGTTATGCAATTCTGCTCGATCCTGCTTCTCATGCTGCTGCCAGACGTTCACAGGCAATTTCCTAGCATGTTTCACATTCTGGAGTGGGCCTCTCTTCTGCCCCCTGTCCATTGTACACTGATTAGTAATGTTAGCTACATGCCAGGAACTATTGTAATGGCTTTACATATCATAACTCATTTACTCATCCAAACAACCTGATGGAGGTGATACTGTCCCCTCCATTTTACCACTGAGGGAATTGAACCTTAGACAAGTTACTTGCTTGTCTAAGATTACAGAGCTATTAAGAGGGATTCAAAGGTGGTATGCCTGGCTCATGAAGGGATCTTAACCAGTAAGCTACATGCTTCTCTCCTCCCCCTTTTAAAAAGGAAAGCAGGGTCATCCTTTGTACTTGAGTTTCCTTTGTACTTGAGTTTTAGGATTGCTCTCATGAACAGTTACACCCCTGGGTTTTTTGCACACTTTTCTGCCTTTATAGCTTTCCATGTAAAAAACAGTACTCCAGAATACCTCAATATTCAACCTACTGATATCTGCTCAGACATCAGAGAGTTATATACGTGCTTCAGAAAAAAAAAAAAAGAGGAAATAGAAAAAATGCTGGAAGAGTCCCTGCTGTTTCTGAAACACTGAGCTGGGTGCTTTACATATGGCAGGTGCTGGGACAACAGTTAATAGCTCCATGGACTGTTGAGACAGGCCCAAGTTCAAGTCCCAGTTTTGCTCCATAGTACTTTGACCTTGGCAAATCACTTAGCCTCAGTTTCCAAAACTGTAAAGTGGGTATAATGATACCTCTAGGAGAAAACATTCTAGTGTTAATTTCTCAGAGTTTTATTCAAAGACCTGCATCAGAATTAATGGAGGAATTACTTTGGCCATCCAGAACTAGAGGACATGAGATGGAAGCAGTGTAACTTACTGTGGTGCTCACACCAAAGGTCTTCTTGACCATAGCAGAATCTTTGGAAGAATTTTCACTAGAATACAGGACATTGACTTTTCACCTATGGCCCTTTACTAGAGCCACTAAAGGAGGGCAGAATTGATCATTTGCTAATCCCTTGAACTGCGGGAGAGGACTTATTTGACACACTATATCCATATGTGGGATAGAGGGACAGTCTTAGAAAAAACAATTTCCTGTTGTTTGAAAGATTACATTAGCCAAGAGAAGAGGAAAGGGGTACATTGAAAGGCCCCCAAGGTTCAACGTTGTTTTAGGTCCAGTCCATCTTCTGTTACCGTCTATTTCTGTAACAGAATACCTGAAATGGGGTAATTTATAATGAGGAAAGAGTAGTTGCAGGACACAAAAACAGAAGAAGTGTCCAATGGAGGGACATCCTACAATGGATGTCCAATGGAGGGACATCCTACAAAATACTTGACAAGTATTCTTCAAAACTGTTAAGGTCATAAAAAACAAGTAAGGTCTGAGAAACTGTCACAGCAAAGAGAAGTCTAAGGAGACATGACAACTATATTTAATGTAGAATCCTGGATGAGATTCTGGACTACAAAAATAAAGCCATCCGGTAAAAACTAAGGACATCCAAGTACACTGTTAACTCTATTTCATAATGATGTACCAATATTGGTTCATAAATTGTTAACAAATGTACTATGCTAATGTAAGATGTTTATAATAGTGAAAGCTGAGTGCAAGGTGCGTGGGAACTCTATGTATTATCTTCTTTTCTAAAATGTTTATATTGCTACAAAAAAAAAGTTTTGGTCAGGCATTGTTGTTCACGCCTGTAGGCTTAGTTACTCAGGTGGCTGAGGTAGAAGGATGGCTTGAATGGGGAAGGTGGAGGCTGCAGTGAGCCCAGATTATGCTACTGCACTCCAGCCTGGGTGACAGTGTGAGACCGTGTCTCAAAAAAAAAAAAAAAAAAAAAAGTTTCCACAAAGAAAAATTCTGGCTTCAGGGTGTCTTTTAATAAAAATGTGAGGAAGAAATGAAACAAATTTTTCAAAATCTTTCAAAAGTAAAATAAAGTATCTACCTTCTAACTTATTCTACAAGGCCAGCATTACCCTGATGTCAAGACCAGACAATGACATTAGAGAAAAAAAATCTACAAACCAATATTTTATAATAAATGTAAAGGCATTTATGTAGTTTTGTTGGTTTTTCTTCTAAAAGTGATCATATATTTTATATCTGTGACAACAGTACCTTGTCAAAAAGCAAACCATGAGATATGAGCTCAGTGTACTTATCATGTAAAAAATTCAGATTGTTGCAGCAAAACTAAAATAAAGAACACGTAAAATTTACTATCCCTATGTTGTTACCTGGGAAAATGTAAACACAACATGAACCAAGGTTTATAAATAAAATTTATTAATAATCTCACTAATAGGTATCTCTTCTGAAATGCTACTTGTGAAATCCATAAAAATTTGAAGCACTATGGAGATACATGTTAGTTCTATTCAGTTATTGTGAGTAAAACTTAAAGGCACCATATTTCTCCAAAGATTCTTTTTTCTTTTCTTTTTTCTTTTTTTTTTTTTTTTTTTTTTGAGACAGTGTCTCCTTCTGTCACCAGGCTGGAGTGCAGTGGCGTGATCTCAGCTCACTGCAACCTCCACCTCCTGGGTTCAAGTGATTCTCCTGTCTCAGCCTCCTGAGTAGCTGGGACTACAGGCACACGTCACCATGCTCAGCTAATTTTTGTATTTTTAGTAGACATGGGGTTTCGCCATGTTGGCCAGGATGGTCTTGATCTCTTGACATTGTGATCCACCCACCTCGGCCTCCCAAAGTGCTGGGATTACAGGCGTGAGCCATCGCGCCTGGCTCAAAGATTCTTAATATTAATTCAATTGTATATTTAGTTTATTCTGAACATAGAAGAATAGTCTTCATTTACTTGTAATGATGTAATTACAAGTACTTACAAGTAGTTACGATTACTAATGTAATTTTGAGGTTATAACTATTTGAGGTTATTTAACATTTTTCAGAAATTGAAGTGTAATCTTATACCTGCATCTAAGGAACAATGAACAGAGTGTTGTAAATTCCAAGTAATTTCCTTTAGTTTCCATTTTACTAAAATATTATTCCCTTTAGAAAAAGGGATTCTTTCAAATTCCATGTGTTCCTTTCTCAAAGAAGGACATCTATTATTCCATATTGTATTTTAAAGAGGTAAAATATTCTTGTTCTTAAAAATATTATTTTAATAAATTATATCTTCATTAAATAGGAGGTTGATAATTTAGTGATATCTGCATATAGCATATACATAAAGAAAAAAACAGTCTACATACTGTGAAGCAGGCATGTTAAGTCAAATCAATAAGATGAAATGTAACATCTAAGAAGCCTAGAAGAAGATAGGAGAGTGCTTTCAAATTGACCCCTCTTGGAATTTCAAAGAGCTACCTTGGTATGTACAGTCAAATCTCTGCATCTGTAGGGTCATGTTGCAGATTCAATCAACTACAAATGGAAAATATTCAGAACAAAATAACAATACAACAATAAAAAATAATACAAACAAGAAACCAAACATCATAACTATTTTCATAGCATTTACATTGCATTAGGTATTATAAGTAATTTAGGGGATTTAAAGTATGAAGTGCATAGGTTATGTAGGTGACTTGAGCATCTGTGGATTTTGGTATTCATGCAGTATCCTGAAACCAATCTCCCAAGTACTGAGAAAGGACTGTACTATCTGCTTTCTAAAATATGTTCTGAGTCAACTTCTTTATCAAACAGAATCCATGGTTTTACATAACAGAAAACCATCATATTCTGGATTAAACATTTGGGGGATTTTTTTATCTGACGATGCTAGAAATCAAAGTGATAGAAGACTTCAGAGCTGGGTTAGTCCAGGAGCTCTGGGACTTCATTTTGCTGTGACTCTCTCAGCTCCACTTTCATCCTGGAAAAAGAGCAGTCCTCTGACCTCTATTCTTTAATGGTAGTGAAATGGCTACAGCAGCTGCAGAAAGCATCATCCAAGAGGGACTACCTTCATGTTGGAATTTTTCTCCATTAATCAGCTTAAGTCCCATAGTCATCTTTAAACAAATCTCTTGGCCAGAAGATGGCTGATTGTCTATATCTTAGCTCTTGTTCCACCTGTGGAACCTGAGGTGGACTCAGCCTCCCTGGAAACATATGGGGCTCTTGGGAAGAGTGAATGGAAATGGGGCCTATGAAAGCAATCAATAGGTGTCCAGTCAAATTCCACAGGGACTGTCACAGTCACTTCTCCAGGAAAAAAGACCTGTTAACCAACCAATATTCATAATCGAGAGGTATTATGAGGGAATAAATGGCTTTGCTTTAAGGGGGCCATTCTTTGTTGTACATCCACATTCCTGGGCAATGATTACCCATTGTGTTATCCAATATGTATGTGTCGTTCCATGTGCTACAGTTGAGCACCGTGATGCATCAAAAGCAAGTGTAACACACACACCAGTGCAGGGGTGAAATGTCTTACAGAGAAACATTGTAATATCTGTCACTGAAGATCCATATTCACTGACAGAAATACTTCAGAGCTGTGCTTGAGTTGGGAGAAGAAATTGTTAGAAAGAGGAGGGAGAGGAAAGGGGATGCGCATGGCCAAGTCCTTCAGGACCTTATCCCAACCTAACTGAGCAGGCTCATCTTCTGGACTCCCTCTACCATTTCTATCTGATTGACTCTTATCCACCTGCTGCCATCTAGTGAGTGAGCTTTAATATGCCTTACTGCCCTGGTACATGTTGTTTCCTAGGCTTATAATGCTCTTTCACTCCTTCTTGCTTTGTGGCTTCTGACTTCTTCAAAACCCAGTTAAATCACTGTTCTTTCTGGCCCCTGCCCCAACTGACCTGAGCATTCAGAATAACCCTCCTTTCTAGGTGGCAAGAGTAGCCACTTCCTTCCTCTAGAAAGGCATGCAATATAGATTTATTATTTTTCCTATGGGGAAGCTACTAACACTCACCCCCTCAGTGCTGTGCACAAAGTAGACATTAAGTAACTTTATTTGGATGATTTGGTGAATTACAGTAAGATGGCTGAGTTTCTGAAATCTAGTGTGACTACTCAAGGGAGCTGCTCCTTTAGCTCCTCATCCCTAAGTGCCCATATCTAGCACCATTTATGTGGGATTGCACCACTTTCTTGATGTATGTCATTCCCTTTAGACCATCCCTTTCCCTTGAGACAGCTCATGAGAAAAGAGGTGATGTCTTATCTGCTGCTGTATTCTGAATGACCAAGAGGGCCTACTGTGCACTTGGTATACATCAGAGCTTCTTGAGGGAATTGATGAATGAGCATAACTCACCCCTTCACCCACAAAGTGAGAGGCAGCACAGCGTAATGTTTAAGCCAGTGATCTCTGGAGGCAGGCTTTTTGCTTTCCAAAATAACCACTGCCACTCACTAGCTGTGTGACCTTAGTTAGGCAAGTCAATTAGTTTCTTATGCTTCAGTTTCCCAGGATCACCACCTTGCACTCAAATCCTTTTGTCACTGTCTGTCATAGAGGAAAATCCATACTAAGATAAGCACTGTTTATTTTTACTCATGGTTTTTCTCTGTTTTTCGTCCAGCCTATCCCTTCCTCGGCAATATCTTATTTTAACCTCCCACTACTCTTTTCCCACAAATAAACTGTAGCAGGCACTTACTGAGCACACAGTAGGTTCCAGACACTCTTCTAAGCACTCTCATGGATTATCTCATGTAAACCCCATTACATTCCAAAGGTAAGTATCTTATATTAAGCTGATTTTATATATAAGTAGGCTAAGCACACGGTCAGGTCAATTTGCCAGAGCTTTCCCAGAAAATGCGTGCTTCGTTTTGGACTTAAATGCAGGCAGCCTGAGCCAGAGCCTGTGATCTCAACTACTGCACCATAGTACATGAATCCAAATTGATGTCTTGCCCCATTATTACTGACCACATATTTATAATGAACACAAGAGTCCTCTCCACAGGCCCAGTGGGGGTCAACCTAATACACATTAAACGGTCTTGCCCTTTAATGTGGACCTCTAAGTTCTCCAGCTCTACTCACCAACCCTCACTTCCAGATCTCCAATGATACTCTAACATTTTTATTAAAATACATATTCAGTAGGAATAAGGAACAATGGTGGTGAAAAAGAATATGGAAGATAATTAAAGAGAAGAAAATGGGGACAAAGGAGAAGAAGGAGAGAAGAGAGGAAGCCAGGGAGGGAGATAATGAGGCAGGATGAAGAGAAGGAAGAAAGAAAGAAAAAAAATCTAAAAAGCAAAGTAGAAAGGAAGGGAAGTGGGAAGTTAGGGAAAAAAACTACTAGAGTAAAAGGTCTGGTTAGGGAGAATGTAAAATGGAACAGGCACTTTGGAAATAGTTTGGCAGTTCCCCAAAATGTTAAACATACAATCTCTGTATCACTCTGCAATTCCACTGCTAGGTATTTACTGAAGAGAGAGAGGGAAAAAAAACATGTCCACACAAACACTATTACGAAAATGTTCATAGGAGAATTATTCATTATAGCCCCAAACTGAATATAACCCAAATCACTATCAATGGATCAATTCATAGATAAAATACAATGGAATATTATTTGGCCATAAAAAGGAACTAATACCAACATGGGTGAAACTTGAAAACATTTTTCTTAGTACAAGAAGCAAGTTATAAAAGATCACGTATTGCATGATTCCATTCATATAAGGAGTCCAGAACAGGTAAATCTATAGAAACAGAAAGTAAATTAGTGAGTTCCTAGGGCTAGAGAGTTTGGAGGAAAATGGGGTCTGACTGCTGATGAATACAGGTTTTCACTGGGGCGAGAAAATGTTCTAAAATTGATTGTGGTGATAGTTACATAACTCTGTGAATATACTACAAACCACTGAATTGTACATTTTAAATGGGTGAATTATACGATGTACAAATCGTATCTCAACAAAGCTTACCAAAAATGTCTCGCTTTCACCTTGGTTCAATTCTCTCTTCTTTTCTCAAAGTGTCTACAACATCCTTGTTCATTTGTCTGTGCTATCATCTTGCTTCTGCATCACAAAGGTATTTGTGAAACCCAGAAGCAGTTCTATGCATACTATTGGAGGTGGCGGTTGGGAACAGGCTTAAGGAAATGTGTTGTGTGGGATGTGTGCCAGACAAAGTCAAGGGAACTGACTTCCCCAGGTGATGCTTGAGGAACGCTTTAGTCCAGGATAAATACAGACCTTGAAGAGGAGAACAGGGATAATCCTGGGGAAAAGGAGGAGGTGGCAAGACAATTTGACTCCAGTCTCACACTGTGTAATTGTTAATGGCTTTGAGAAGGAATTGCAGAAATCCTGTGTTTTACAACAGGTTATCCACCGTATTATGCCTTTAGTCAGAGTCTCATCATTACGGCAACAGCTCATCACATAGTCTCCATCCCCATCGGAATATTCCCTGTGGAAGAGAAAAGCAGAAACAGGTTTGTTTCCCCCAAAACCAAGTCTGCAATGAGCTATGAATATTTTAAAGGACAGGGGACTTCCATAGAAGACACAATGCCATAAAGCAGCCCTGCTACCCTGAAGAAGCCACATCCTATCAGGGCTGCTTCTCCCAGGACTCTCTAATGCTGGGAAATTACACACTTGGAAGTGAGATGCGGTTCTAGAGATGGACAGCACAGCAGCCCCTCCCTCTCAGCCAGACAGGCACAAAACACAGGCTGAAAACCTGAGTTCCAGGCTCAGCAGTAAAGAGTACCGGTGTAGGGTGGTGAGCAACATCAAGTTCCTGCTCTCAAGCAGCAGGTATTAGGGAATGATGGCAATTAGAACACACCATGGTAGATGCTATGGGATGGACATAGCAGCAAGCCTGTGGGAGCACAGGGAGAGAGGGTCATGTGGATAAGGAGAAGGGTCAAAGGAAGCTTTGAGGGCGGGTGACTCTAAGCTGAGACAGAAGTTTAGTCAGCATTATACAAGTGGAGCAGTTGCCACCAGGACGCATTGTGAAAAAACAGCATATGTAAAGACGCTAAGATTTAAGCGCCTTTGGGCCCGGAATAACACCGAGGGTAGGGCTCAGGTGACTCATGATGAGATCAGTACAATGGTGAGGAATAGTCCCAGTACACTAGTACCCCACTACCCTTGACTCAACTTTAGAGTTCCCAAAAATAGGATGACACCATCCAAGGCTCAGAACCTTCTTTCTGATCTAGATTCACTCCCTGCATCCAGTATTCTGTCTTAAAGGAAGGTGGTTTGACCCCTGAAAAAGAAAACTTCCACAATACTCCACCAGAAGCCCCTGATCACAGAATACACTTACCATGACTTAAAAAAGAATATATTTTAATAGACACACAGAAACCATTAGGAACTTCGCATGTTTGCATCTTACTCCAACAATTCCCGTTGCTGTAGAATTCACATTCACTGAGCCATATAGCTAATGCTGCAAGAAGAAAAACTGTTGAGTAGAGAAGGGAAGCATCACTGCTGCTTCCCAAAGACAGCAGAGATCTCTTGGGAACTCTATCAATGTTCTGCCCTTGGGCCTGGTTCCAGGCATTAATACATCTTAGAACCTCAGCCTGAGCAGGAGGAACTGGGGAGACACTTAATTCTTTCCTGGCAGGCAGGGAGACTCAACACTCCTTCAACTTACATTTTCTTGCTTGCTGCAGGAATTACATATAAAATGGAGAGCTGAGGGCATTTCTATGGATATCAAAGCCTGGGCTGAAGCCTCAGGGGTGTGACTGAGGTGGACAGTTCTGGCTGACCAGGAGCCCCTGAAACCTCACTCTACAATAACCATCATTTAGGGGGGTACATAAAGCTTAGAGATCAAATTGGATCTCTAGTAAAGGCCAAGGGCTAGGGAAGGACCCAAGCGGAGTAAGAGGATTTAAGAAACAAGATGACCAGGGCTGCAGACTTCTGTGTGTGGAACTGGACTTCATTCCTCAGAGAACAGTTAGAGCTCACAGAATCCAAGGGAATGGGGGAAAGATAGGCTCTGCTTAAATATATGCCAAGGTTAAGCCTAGGCCGATAAGTTAACCATTGCCAAACCATCTCTCAAAGATTTACTTTTTTTCTTTTTTTAGATAGAGTCTTGCTCTGTCACCAGGCTGGAGTGCAGTGGTGTGATCTCAGCTCACTGCAACCTCCGCCTCCCCGGTTCAAGTGATTCCCCCACTTCAGCCTGTAGCTGGGAGTCACACAGGCATGCACCACCATGCCCAGCTAATTTTTTGTATTTTTAGTAGAGATGGGGTTTCCCCATGTTGGCCAGGATGGTCTCGATCTCCTGACCTCGTGACCTGCCTGCCTCGGCTTCCCAAAGTGCTGGGATTACAGGCTTGAGCCACCGCAGCCGGCCAGATATACCAATTTTTATGCAGAACAGAAAGAGACCCAGCTTCAGTAGTTTTTCCATTCTGCCTCAGTTGATTCTTGAAGCTGATTCTGTAAGAGAGCATGTAGCACTGGAGCTGCTTAGTGGTAGAGCATTGTCTGCTAAGATCAGCCTTCCAGCCACTTTCTAATGCACTCAGCCAAGGATATTGACCAGTAGGGACAGGAGAGGAAGGGAAAAGAACAAATCTAAACTTTCCACTCACTGCAACACTTCAAATCCCTCCTCCATTACCCATTATTTCCCCCCTGCCTGCCCTAGGACATTGCTCTAGGCTGCCACAACTACAGGTGACAAGAACGGTACTCTCAAGTTAACAGATTTTTGTGGACAGCACACTAAGTGCCTAGCTTACTGGGGCAAGTTATGCCTGGAGTTGAACATGAGATATGAAAGAAATATTCTCTCCACTAAAGCAATTTTCCACTTAACCAGAGAGTGGGGAAAGATTATAGATAAATCAAGATGAGATCACCGCAGAGTCAAGCTGTGTTCACCAGAGACTCCAGTACAAACAGGGAAATCCAAGGGGGATTTTCTCAACAATGTGGGGGTGAGTTACATCTTAAAAATGGTCAAATTTAAAGAATAGAAGATGGGATATTAAGAGAAGGTTAAATCCTCCAGAGGTGATAGCAGCTACGATATAAAATGGCCCTTTGAGCCACCAAAGCAGTTCCCTACTTTAATTATCTTGCTGTTGATGCCTTTATTCTCTGGGATCAGACTTTCTAGTTCCTCTGCCCCACAACTCATATTCACTATCAGACTTGAGGATATGTCTCCATCCTAGCTCTTTCTCGCTTTGCTAGAAGAATGAAGACTTATTGACCTAGGGATAGGTAAGATATTTTGCACAGTAGTGCCACTCCAGTGTCTTTGGGATGTGCTGGCATTCTCTGATTTCTTTATCCACATCTATTCTCCAACACTGAAACCATGGACTCCTTTCTCCCAGCCTCCTGAAGCACTCCATTTCCTGTTCTGATCACTCACGTGAGGGTAACTAGGTAACTTGTACTGAAAAATGCCACCCACACCTAATGTCACAGAGCATTCCTTTCTTTCCCCCAATCAGCCCCTCAGGAAGATTAACACTTCCTTAGGTGCAAAAAGTCCTTTGTGGATGCAGGACTGTGACAGAGAGTGACTTCTGAGAGCACCCACACTAGGTCAGAACTAACCTCAAAATTAAAAAAAGAGTTGAGATGTGAAGACTACATGGCTCAGGTACAGGCCTGTCAAGAAATATTGGACACAGTACAGACATTTAACATGACTTTCTTGATCTCCAGGGCCAAGGAATAAAAGAAAAACTACCAAACACTATAAAAGTCTACTGAGATAACAAAAGCAGCACAAGCACTAAATACATTAAATAACAAACTAGTCATATGTGAAGAGAATCAATTCACAGAGCATGGAAAAAGAGAATAAAACTGAGACTCAGTTATGAGGGCCTAGATTTAAATCCTTGCCTTTCCATCATCTAGGACTGATTTTCACTTTGAGATATTTTTAGAATAATAGGTTTTTGCTTACTTTAAAAAGGACTCTGAGTGCATTGTCAAAAGTAGAATATAACTCTACAACCATATGCAAAATAAATAAATAAATAGACACAAACCTTACACTCTTCCTAATTAACTCAAAATGGATCATAGACCTAAATATAAAATGAAATACTATAAAATATTGGAAGATAACATAGAAGAAAATTTAGATGACATAGGGTTTGGCTACATAAAATGACTTTTTATATAAAAGACCAAAGGCTCAATACATTAAAGAATAATTGATAAATTGGATTTCATTAAAATTAAAAATTTTGGCTCTGCAAGATACATTGTCAAGAGAATGAAAAGGTGAGCCATGGACTGGGAGAATGTATTTGCAAAAGACATCTGATAAAGAATTGTTATCCAAAATATACAAAGAAGTCTTAAAAATTAGCAATAAGAATACAACCTGATGGGCGGAGCCAAGATGGCCGAATAGGAACAGCTCCAGTCTATAGCTCCCAGCGTGAGCGACGCAGAAGACGGGTGATTTCTGCATTTCCAGCTGAGGTACCAGGTTCATCTCACTGGGGAGTGCTGGACAGTGGGTGCAGGACAGTGGGTGCAGTGCACTGTGTGTGAGCCGAAGCAGGGTGAGGCATCACCTCACCCGGGAAGCACAAGGGGTCAGGGAATTCCCTTTCCTAGTCAAAGAAAGGGATGACAGACGGCACCTGGAAAATAGGGTCACTCCCACCCTAATACTGCGCTTTTCCAATGGGCTTAACAAACGGCACACCAGGAGATTATATCCCGCACATGGCTCAGAGGGTCCTACACCCATGGAGCCTCACTCATTGCTAGCACAGCAGTCTGTGATCAAACTGCAAGGGGGCAGCGAGGCTGGGGGAGGGGTACCCACCATTGCCCAGGCTTGAGTAGGTAAACAAAGAGGCCTGGAAGCTGAAACTGGGTGGAGCCCACCACAGCTCAAGGAGGCCTGCCTGCCTCTGTAGACTCCACCTCTGGGGGCAGGGCACAGACAAACAAAAGACAGCAATAACCTCTGCAGACTTAAATGTCCCCGTCTGACAGCTTTGAAGAGAGTAGTGGTTCTCCCAGCACACAGCTGGAGATCCGAGAATGGGCAGACTGCCTCCTCAAGTGGGTCCCTGACCCCCGAGTAGCCTAACTGGGAGGCACCCCCCAGTAGGGACAGACTGACACCTCCCACAGCTGGGTACTCCTCTGAGACAAAACTTCCAGAGGAATGATCAGGCAGCAGCATTTGCAGTTCACCAATATCTGCTGTTCTGCAGCTACTGCTGCTGATACCCAGGCCAACAGGGTCTGGAGTGGACCTCCAGTAAACTCCAACAGACCTGCAGCTGAGGGTCCTGACTGTTAGAAGGAAAACTAACAAACAGAAAGGACATCCACACCAAAACCCCATCTGTACATCACCATCATCAAAGACCAAAGGTAGATAAAACCACAAAGATGGCGAAAAACCAGAGCAGAAAAACTGGAAACTCTAAAAATCAGAGCGGCTCTTCTCCTCCAAAAGAATGCAGCTCCTCACTAGCAACGGAACAAAGCTGGATGGAGAATGACTTTGACGAGTTGAGAGAAGAAGACTTCAGAAAATCAAACTACTCCGAGCTAAAGGAGGAAGTTTGAACCAATGGCAAAGAAGTTAAAAACTTTGAAAAAAAATTAGGCGAATGGATAACTAGAATAAGCAATGCAGAGAAGTCCTTAAAGGACCTGTTGGAGCTGAAAACCACAGCATGAGAACTACGTGACGAATGCACAAGCCTCAGTAACTGATGCGATCAGCTGGAAGAAAGGGTATCAGCGATGGAAGATGAAATGAATGAAATGAAGCATGAAGAGAAGTTTAGAGAAAAAAGAATAAAAAGAAATGAACAAAGCCTCCAAGAAATATGGGACTATGTGAAAAGACAAAATCTACGTCTAATTGGTGTACCTGAAAGTGACGGGGAGAATGGAACCAAGTTGGAAAACACTCTGCAGGATATTATCCAGGAGAACTTCCCCAATCTAGCAAGGCAGGCCAACATTCAAATTCAGGAAATACAGAGAACACCACAAAGATACCCCTTGAGAAGAGCAACTCCAAGACACATAATTGTCAGATTCACCAAAATTGAAATGAAGAAAAAAATGTTAAGGGCAGCCAGAGAGAAAGGTTGGGTTACCCACAAAGGGAAGCCCATCAGACTAACAGCAGATCTCTCGGCAGAAACTCTACAAGCCAGAAGAGAGTGGGGGCCAATATTCAACATTCTTAAAGAAAAGAATTTTCAACACAGAATTTCATATCCAGCCAAACTAAGCTTCATAAGTGAAGGAGAAATAAAATCCTTTACAGACAAGCAAATGCTGAGACATTTTGTCACCACCAGGCCTGCCCTAAAAGAGCTCCTGAAGGAAGCACTAAACATGGAAAGGAACAACTGGTACCAGCCACTGCAAAAACATGCCAAATTGTAAAGACCATCAAGGCTAGGAAGAAACTGCATCAAATAATGAGCAAAATAACCAGCTAACATCATAATGACAGGGTCAATTTCACACATAACAATACTAACCTTAAATGTAAATGGGATAAATGCTCCAATTAAAAGGCACAGACTGGCAAGTTGGATAAAGAGTCAAGACCCATCAGTGTGCTGTATTCAGGAAACCCATCTCACATGCAGAGACACACATAGGCTCAAAATAAAGGGATGGAGGAAGATCTACCAAGCAAATGGAAAACAAAAAAAGCAGGGGTTGCAATCCTAGTCTCTGATAAAACAGACTTTAAACCAGTAAAGATCAAAAGAGACAAAGAAGGCCATTACATAATGGTAAAGGGATCAATTCAACAAGAAGAACTAACTGTCCTAAATATATATGCACCCAATACAGGAGCACCCAGATTCATAAAGCAAGTCCTTAGTGACTTACAAAAAGACTTAGACTCCCACACAATAATAATGGGAGACTTTAACGCCCCACTGTCAACATTAGACAGATCAATGAGACAGAAAGTTAACATGGATATCCAGGAATTGAACTCAGCTCTGCACCAAGAGGACCTAATAGACATCTACAGATCTCTCCACCCCAAATCAACAGAATATACATTCTTTTCAGCACCACACCACACCTATTCCAAAACTGACCACATAGTTGGAAGTAAAGCACTCCTCAGCAAATGTAAAAGAACAGAAGTTATAACAAACTGTCTCTCAGACCACAGTGCAATCAAACCAGAACTCAGGATTAAGAAACTCACTCAAAACCACTCAACTACATGGAAACTGAACAACCTGCTCCTGAATGACTACTGGGTACATAATGAAATGAAGGCAGAAATAAAGATGTTCTTTGAAACCAATGAGAACAAAGACACAACATACCAGAATCTCTAGGACACATTCAAAGCAGTGTGTACAGGGAAGTTTATAGCACTAAATGCCCACAAGAGAAAGCAGGAAAGATCTAAAATTGACACCCTAATGTCACAATTAAAAGAACTAGAGAAGCAAGAGCAAACACATTCAAAAGCTAGCAGAAGGCAAGAAATAACTAAGATCAAAGCAGAACTGAAGGAAATAGAGACACAAAAAACCCTTCAAAAAATCAATGACTCCAGGAGCAGGCTTTTTGAAAAGATCAACAAAATTGATAGACTGCTAGCAAGACTAATAAAGAAGAAAAGAGAGAAGAATCAAATAGATGCAATAAAAAAATGACAAAGGGGATATCACCACCGATCCCACAGAAATACAAACTACCATCAGAGAATACTATAAACACCTCTACACAAATAAACTAGAAAATCTAGAAGAAATGGATAAATTCCTCAACACATACACTCTCCCAAGACTAAACCAGGAAGAAGTTGAATCTCTGAATACACGAATAACAGGCTCTGAAATTGATGCAATAATTAATAGCCTACCAACCAGAAAAAGTCCAGGACCAGATGGATTCACAGCCGAATTCTACCAGAGGTACAAAGAGGAGCTGGTACCATTCCTTCTGAAACTATTCCAATCAATAGAAAAAGAGGGAATCCTCCCTAACTCATTTTATGAGGCCAGCATCATCCTGATACCAAAGCCTGGCAGAGACACAACAAAAAAAGAGAATTTTAGACCAATATCCTTGATGAACATTGATGCAAAAATCCTCAATAAAATACTGGGCAAACCAAATCCAGCAACACATCAAAAAGCTTATCCACCAGGATCAAGTGGGCTTCATCCCTGGGATGCAAGGCTGGTTCAACATACAAAAATCAATAAATGTAATCCAGCATATGAACAGAACCAGAGACAAAAACCACATGATTATCTCAATAGATGCAGAAAAGGCCTTTGACAAAATTCAACAACCCTTCATGCTAAAAACTCTCAATAAATTAGGTATTGATGGGACGTATCTCAAAATAATAAGAGCTATCTATGACAAACCCACAGTCCATACTGAATGGACAAATACTGGAAGCATTCCCTTTGAAAACTGGCACAAGACAGGGATGCCCTCTCTCACCACTCCTATTCAACATAGTGTTGGAAGTTCTGGCCAGGGCAATCAGGCAGGAGAAGGAAATAAAGGGCATTCAATTAGGAAAAGAGGAAGTCAAATTGTTCCTGTTTGCAGATGACATGATTGTATATCTAGAAAACCCCATCATCTCAGCCCAAAATCTCCTTAAGCTGATAAGCAACTTCAGCAAAGTCTCAGGATACAATATCAATGTGCAAAAATCACAAGCATTCTTATACACCAACAACAGACAAACAGAGAGCCAAATCATGAGTGAACTCCCATTCACAATTGCTTCAAAGAGAATAAAATACCTAGGAATCCAACCTACAAGGGATGTGAAGGACCTCTTCAAGGAGAACTACAAACCACTGCTCAATGAAATAAAAGAGGATACAAACAAATGGAAGAACATTCCATGCTCATGGGTAGGAAGAATCAATATCGTGAAAATGGCCATACTGCCCAAGGTAATTTATAGATTCAATGCCATCCCCATCAAGCCACCAATGACTTTCTTCACAGAATTGGAAAAACTACTTTAAAGTTCATATGGGACCAAAGAAGAGCCCACATTGCCAAGTCAATCCTAAGCCAAAAGAACAAAGCTGGAGGCATCACACTACCTTACTTCAAACAATACTACAAGGCTACAGTAACCAAAACAGCATGGTACTGGTACCAAAACAGAGATATAGACCAATGGAACAGAACAGAGCCCTCAGAAATAATGCCGCATATCTACAACTATCTGATCTTTGACAAACCTGACAAAAACAAGCAATGGGGAAAGGATTCTCTACTTAATAAATAGTGCTGGGAAAACTGGCTAGCCATATGTAGAAAGCTGAAACTGGATCCCTTCCTTACACCTTATACAAAAACTAATTCAAGACGGATTAAAGACTTAAACGTTAGACCTAAAATCATAAAAACCCTAGAAAAAAACCTAGGCAATACCATTCAGGACATAGGCATGGGCAAGGACTTCATGACTAAAACACCAAAAGCAATGGCAACAAAAGCCAAAATTGACAAATGGGATCTAATTAAACTAAAGAGCTTCTGCACAGCAAAAGAAACTACCATCAGAGTGAGCAGGCTACCTACAGAATGGGAGAAAATTTTTGCAACCTACTCATCTGACAAAGGGCTAATATCCAGAATCTACAATGAACTCAAATAAATTTACAAGAAAAAAACAAAAAACCCCATCAAAAAGTAAGCGAAGGATATGAATAGACACTTCTCAAAAGAAGACATTTATGCAGCCAAAAAACACATGAAAAAATGCTCATCATCACTGGCCATCAGAGAAATGCAAATCAAAAACACAATGAGATACCATCTCACGCCAGTTAGAATGACGATCATTAAAAAGTCAGGAAACAACAGGTGCTGGAGAGGATGTGGAGAAATAGGAACACTTTTACACTGTTGGTGAGACTGTAAACTAGTTCAACCATTGTAGAAGTCAGTGTGGCGATTCCTCAGGGATCTAGAACTAGAAATGCCATTTGACCCAGCCATCCCATTACTGGGTATATACCCAAAGGATTATAAATCATGCTGCTATAAAGACACATGCGCACGTATGTTTATTGCGGCACTATTCACAATAGCAAAGACTTGGAACCAACCCAAATGTCCAACAATGATAGACTGGATTAAGCAAATGTGGCACATATACACCATGGAATACTATGCAGCCATAAAAAATGATGAGTTCATGTCCTTTGTAGGGACATGGATGAAGCTGGAAACCATCATTCTCAGCAAACTATCGCAAGGACAAAAAACCAAACACTGCGTGTTGTCACTCATAGGTGAGAATTGAACAATGAGAACACATGGACACAGGAAGGGGAACATCACACACTGGGGACTGTTGTGGGGTGGGGGGAGGGGGGAGGGATAGCATTAGGAGATATACCTAATGTAAATGACGAGTTAATGGGTGCAGCACACCAACATGGCACATGTATACATATGTAACAAACCTGCACATTGTGCACATGTACCCTAAAACTTAAAGTATAATAATTAAAAAAAATGTAGATTTCATGTTAAGTGTTCTTACCACAAAAAAATAAAAATTTTTAAAAAACTTATGCTGTTGGATTTTGGTAACACAGTTTCATATTAAAATAGCTTTATTCTATTCACATTTACTTATAATTTACTTAAACTTTTATTAGAAATATTTATAAAATGTATTTTCAACAACTATTCACGTTATGACATGCTATGTGTAAATGTATTAATGTAATTAATTATATTGATAGTTTGTTATACTGAACATTACTTAATTCTTCTATTAAAAATAGCTGCTCATGAGTTATTTTTGATATCTTGCTGCATTTTATTTGCTAATATCTTGTAGGTAATTTCTACTTATATGAGTAACAGACTTCAAAAATCTTCTTATTTTATTTTATTTTACTTTAAGTTCTGGGATACATGTGCAGAACATGCAGGTTTGTTACATAGGTATACATGTGCCATGGTGGTTTGCTGCACCTATCAACCGTCATCTAAGTTTTAAGCCCTGCATTCATTAGGTATCTGTCCTAATACTCTCCCTCCCCTTGGCCCACACCCCCCGACAGGCCCCGGTGTGTGATGTTCCCCTCCCTGTGTCCATGTGTTCTCATTGTTCAACTCCCACTTACGAGTGAGAACATGCAGTGTTTGGTTTTCTGTTCCTGTGTTAGTCTGCTAAAAATGATGGCTTCCAGCTTCATCCATGTACCTGCAAAGGACATGAACTCATTCTTTTTTATGGCTGCATAGTATTCCATGGTGTATATGTGCCACATTTTCTTTATCCAGTCTATCATTGATGGGCATTTGGGTTAGTTTCAAGTCTTTGCTATTGTAAATAGTGCTGCAATAAACATACGTGTGCATATGTCTTTATGGTAGAATGATTAATAATCCTTTGGGTATATAACCAGTCATTGGATTGCTGGGTCAAATGTTATTTCTGGTTCTAGATCCTTGGGGAATTGCCACACTGTCTTCTACAATAGTTGAACTAATTTACACTCCCACCAACAGTGTAAAATCATTCCTATTTCTCCACAGCCTCACCAGCATCTGTTGTTTCCTGAATTTTTAATAATCGCCATTCTAACTGGCATGAGATGGTATTGTGGTTTTGATTTGCATTTCTCTAATGACCAGTTATGATGAGCTTTTTTTCATGTTTATTGGCCATATAAATGTCTTCTTTTGAGAAGTGTCTGTTCATACCCTTCAACCACTTTTTGATGGGGTTGTTTGTTTTTTTCTTGTAAATTTCTTTAAGTTTCTAGTAGATTCTGGATGTTAGACTTTTGTCAGATGGATAGATTTCAAAAATTTTCTCCTATTCTGTAGGTTGCCTGTTCACTCTGATGATAGTTTCTTTTACTGTGCATAAGCTTTTTAGTTTGATTAGATCTCATTTGTCAATATTGGCTTTTGTTACAATTGCTTTCAGTGTTTTAGTCATGAAGTCTTTGTCCATGCCTGTATACTGAATGGTATTGCCTAGGTTTTCTTCCAGAGATTTTATGGTTTTGGGTTTTACATTTAAGTCTTTAATCCATCTTGAGTTAATTTTTGTATAAGATGCAAGGAAGGGGTCCAGTTTCTGTTTTCTGCATGTGGTTAGCCAATTTTCCCAGCACCATTTATTAAATAGAGAATCCTTTCCCCATTGCTTGTTTTTGTCAGGTTTGTCAAAGATCAGATGGTTGTAGATGTGTGGTGTTATTTCTGAAGTCTCTGTTCTGTTCCATTGGTCTATATATCTGTTTTGGTAGCAGTACCATGCTGTTTTGGTTACTGTAGCCTTGTAGTATAGTTTGAAGTCAGGTAGCATGATGCCGCCATCTTTGTTCTTTTTGCTTAGGATTGTCTTGGCTATACGGGGTCTTTTTTGGTTTCATCTGAAATTTAAAGTAGTTTTTTCTAATTTTGCCAAGAAAGTCAATGGTAGCTTGATAGGAATAGCATGGAATCTATAAATTACTTAGGACAGTATGGCCATTTTCACAACATTGATTCTTGCTATCCATGAGCATGGGATATTTTTCCATTTGTTTGTGTCCTCTCTTATTCTCTTGAGCAGTGGTTTGTAGTTCTCCTTGAAGAGGTTCTTAACTTCCCATGTAAGTTGTATTCCTAGGAATTTTGTTCTCTTTGTAGCAATTGTGAATGGGAGTTCACTCATGATTTGACTCTCTGCTTGTCTATTTTTGATGTAAAGGAATGTTTGTGACTTTTGCACACTGATTTGGTATCCTGAGACTTTGCTGAGGTTGCTTATCAGCTTAAAGAGTTTTTGGGCTGAGATGATGGGGTTTTCTAAATATACAGTCATGTCATCTGCAAACAAAGACAATTTGACCCCCTATCTTCCTATTTGAATATGCTTTATTTCTTTCTCTTGCATGATTGCCATGGCCAGAACTTCCAATACTATGTTAAATAGGAGTGGTGAAAGAGGGCATCCTTGCTTGTCCTGGTTTTCAAAGGGAATGCTTCCAGTTTTTGCCCATTCAGTATGATATTGGCTATGGGTTTGTCATAAACAGCTCTTATTATTTTGAGATATGTTCCATAAATACCTAGTTTATTGACAGTTTTTAGCATGAAAGGATGTTGAATTTTATCAAAGGCCTTTTATGCACCTATTGAGATAATCATGTGGTTTTTGTCATTGGTTCTGTTTATGTGGTGGATGACATTTATTGATTTGTGTAAGTTGAACCCAGCCTTGCATCCTAAGGTTGATGCCAACTTGATCATGGTGGATAAGCTTTATGATGTGCTGCTGGATTTGGTTTGTCAGTATTTTATTGAGGATTTTTGCATCAATGTTCATCAGAAACATTGGCCTCAAAGTTTCTTTTTTTTGTTGTGTCTCTGCCAGGTTTTGTTATCAGGATGATGCTGGCCTCATAACATGAGTTAGGGTGGAGTCCCTCCTTTTCAATTGTTTGTAATAGTTTCAGAAGGAATGGTATCAGCTCCTCTTTGTACCTCTGGTAGAATTCAACTGTGAATCCATCTGTTCCTGTGCTTTTTTTGTTTGGTAGGCTATTAATTACTGCCTTAATTTCAGAACTTGTTATTGGTCTATTCAGGCATTTGACTTCTTCCTGGTTTAGTCTTGGGAGGGTATATGTGTCCAGGAATTTATCCATTTCTTCTAGATTTTCTAGTTTATTTGCATAGAAGTGTTTATAGTATTCTCTGATGGTAGTTTGTATTCCTGTGGGATCAGTGGTGATATCCCCTTTATCATTTTTTATTGTCTATTTGATTCTTCTCTCTATTCTTCTTTATCAGTCTAGCTAGCAGTGTATCTATTTTGTTAATCTTTTCAAAAACCCAGCTCCAGGTTTCATTGATTTTTTTGAAGGGATTTTCATGTCTTTACCTTTTTCAGTTCTGCTGTGATCTTAGTTATTTCTTGTCTTCTGCTAGCTTTTGAATGTGTTTGCTCTTGCTTCTCTAGTTCTTTTAATTGTGATGTTAGGGCATCGATTTTAGACATTTCCCACTTTCTGATGTGGCATTTAGTGCTATATATTTTCCTCTTAACATTACTTTAGTTGTGTCTCAGAGATTCTGGTACATTTTCTGTTTGTTCTCATTGGTTTCAAAGAACTTCTTTATTTCTGCCTTAATTTTGTTATTTACGCAGCAGTCATTCAGGAGCAAGTTGTTCAATTTGCATGTAGTTGTGCGGTTTCGAGTGAGTTTCTTAATCCCGAGTTCTAATTTGATTGCACTGTGGTCTGAGAGACTGTTATGATTTCCTTTCTTTTGCATTTGCTGAGGAGTGCTTTACTTCCAATTATGTGGTCAATTTTAGAATAAGTGCTATGTGGCCCTGAGAACAATGTATATTCTGTTGATTTGGGGTGGAGAGTTCTGTAGATGTCTATTAGGTCCACTTGGTCCAGAGCTGAGTTCAAGTCCTGAATATCCTTGTTTATTTTCTGTCTCATTGATCTGTCTAATATTGACAGTGGGGTGTTAAAGTCTCCCGCTATTATTGTGTGGGAGTTTAAGTCCCTTTGTAGGTAACTAAGGACTTGTTTTATGAATCTGGGTGCTCCTGTACTGGGTGCGTATATATTTAGATAGTTAAGTCTTCTTGTTGCATGGATCCCTTTACCATTATGTAATGCCTTTCTTTGTCTTTTTTGATTTTGTTGGTTTAAAATCTGTTTTATCCGAGACTAGGATTGCAACTCCTACTTTTTTTTTGCTTTCCATTTGCTTGGTAAATATTCCTCCATCCCTTTCTTCTGAGCCTATGTGTTTCTTTGCACGTGACATGGGTCTCCTGAATACAGCACACTGATGGGTCTTGACTGTTTCTCCAATTTGTCAGTCTGTGTCTTTTAATTGGGGCATTTAGTCCATTTACATTTAAGGTTAATATTGTTTTGTGTGAATTTGATCCTGTCATCATGATGCTAGCTGGTTATTTTGCACATTAGTTGATGCAGTTGCTTCATAGTGTCATTGGTCTTTATATTTTGGTGTGTTTTTGCAGTGGCTGATACCAGTTTTTCCTTTCTATATTTAGTGCTTCCTTCAGGAGCTCTTGTAAGGCAGGCCTGGTGCTGACAAAATCTCTCAGCATTTGCTTGTCTACAAAAAATCTTATTTCTTCTTCAGTTATGAAGCTTAGTTTGGCTAGATACAAAATTCTGGGTTGAAATTTTTTTCTTTAAAAATGTTGAATATTAGCCCCTACTCTCTTCTGGCTTGTAGGGTTTCTGCAGAGAGATCTGCTGTTAGTCTGATGGGACTCCCTTTGTAGGTAACCTGACCTTTCTCTCTGGCTGCCCTTAATAATTTTTCCTTTGTTTCAACTTTGGAGAATCTGATGATTGTGCATCTTAGGGTTGCTCTTCTTGAGGAGTATCTTAGTGGTGTTTTCTGTATTTCCTGAATTTGAATATTGGCCCATTTTGCTATGTTAGGGAAGTTCTCCCGGATAATATCCTGAAGTATGTTTTCCAACTTGGTTCCATTCTCCCTGTCACTTTCAGGTACACCAGTGAATCATAGATTTGGTCTTTTTACATAATCCCATATTTCTTGGAGGCTTTGTTTCTTCCTTTTTTTTCTTTTTTCTCTAATCTTGTCTTCATGCCTTATTTCAGTAAATTGATCTTCAATCACTGATATCGTTTTTTCTGCTTGATCGATTCAGCTATTGATGCTTGTGTATGCTTCACAAAGTTCACGTGCTGTGTTTTTCAGCTCCATCAGGTCATTTATGTTCCTCTCTCAACTGTTTATTCTAGTTAGCGGTTCCTACAACCTTTTATCAAGGTTCTTAGCTTCCTTGCATTGGGTTAGAACATCCTCCTTTAGCTCAGAGTTTGTTATTACCCACCTTCTGAAGCCTACTTCTGTCAATTTGTCAATCTCATTCTCCATCCAGTTTTGTGCCCTTGCTGGAGAAGAGTTGCAATCATTTGGAGGAGAAGAGGCATTCTGGTTTTTGGAATTTTCAGCATTTTTGCAATGGTTTTCCCTCATCTTTGTGGATTTATCTATCTTTGATCTTTGAGGCTGATGACCTTTGGATGGGGTTTTTGTGTGGGGGTCCTTTATGCTGATGTTGATGTTGTTTCTTTCTGTTAGTTTTTCTTCTAACAGTCAGGCCTCTCTTCTGCAGGTCTGCTGGAGTTTGCTGGAGGTCCACTCCAGACCCTGTTCGCCTGAGTATCACCAGTGGAGGTTGCAGAACAGCAAAAATTGCTACCTGCTCCTTCCTCTGGAAGTTTTGTCCCAGAGGGGCACCAGCCTGATGCCAGCCAGAGCTCTCCTGTATGAGGTGTCTGTTGACCCCTGTTGGAAGGTCTCTCCCAGTCAGGGGGCATGGGGGTCAGGGACCCACCTGAGGAGGCAGCCTGTCCCTTAGCAGAGCTGGTGTGCTGTGCTGAGAGAATCCCCCTTGTCGGGATCAGCTGCCCTTTTCAGACCCAGCAGGCAGGAATGATTAAATCTGCTTTAGCTGCGCCCATAGCCACCCCTTCCCCCAGGTGCTCTGTCCCAGGAAAATGGGGGTTTTGTCTGTACGCCCCTGACTGGGGCTGTTACCTTTCCTTCAGGGATGCCCTGCCTAGTGAGGAGGAATTTAGAGAAGCAGTCTGGCCACAGCCACTTTGCAGGGCTGTGGTAAATTCCTTCCAGTCCAGACCTCCCAGCCTCCTTAGCACTGTCAGGGGAAAACCGCCTACTCAAGCCTCAGTAATGGTAGACCCTCCTCCTGAGAGGTGACAGCGTGCTGGCAGTCCTCAGAGCCCTCACTTGCTCTCGGCACCTCCCCTGCCTGGGCTCCCACTTTGGTGGCATTTGAGGAGCCCTTCAGCCCCCCACTGCACTGTGGGAGCCCCTTTCTGGGCTGGCCAAGGCTGGAGCCCACTCCCTCAGCTTGCAGGGAGGTGTGGAGGGAGAGGCACGAGCGAGAACCGGGGCTGTGTGCGGCGCTTGCGGGCCAGCTGGAGTTCCGGGTGGGCGTGGGCTTGGTGGGCCCCTCACTGGGAGCAGCCAGCCAGCCCTGCTGGCCCTGGGCAATGAGGGACTTAACACCCGGGCCAGTGGCTGCGGAGGGTGTACTGGGTCCCCCAGCAGTGCCAGCCCACCGGCGCTGCGCTTGAGTTCTCACAGAGCCTTAGCTGCCTTCCCGAGGGGCAGGGCTCGGGACCTGCAGCCCGCCATGCCTGAGCCTCCCACCCCCTCCATGGGCTCCTGTGCGGCCCAAGCCTCCCCGACGAGCACCACCCCCTGCTCCAGGGCGCCCAGTCCCATCGACCACCCAAGGGCTGAGGAATGCGAGCGCACGGCATGGGACTGGCAGGCAGCTCCACCTGCAGCCCCGGTGCGGGATCCACTAGGTGAAGCCAGCTGGGCTCCTGAGTCTGGTGGGGACGTGGAGAACCTTTATGTCCTGCTCAGGGATTGTAAATACACCAATCAGCACCCTGTGTTTAGCTCAAGTTTTGTGAGTGCACCAATCGACACTCTGTATCTAGCTGCTCTGGTGGGGCCTTGGAGAACCTTTATGTCTAGCTCAGGGATTGTAAACACACCAGTCAGCACCCTGTGTCTAGCTCAGGGTTTGTGAGTGCACCAATCGACACTCTGTATCTAGCTGCTCTGGTGGGGCCTTGGAGAACCTGTGTGGAAACTCTGTATCTAACTAATCTGATGGGGAAGTGGAGAACCTTTGTATCTAGCTCAGGGATTGTAAACGCACCAATCAGTGCCCTGACAAAACAGGCCACTCAGCTCTACCAATCAGCAGGATGTGGGTGGGGCCAGATAAGAGAATAAAAGCAGGCTGCCCGAGCCAGCATTGGCAACTCGCTCGGGTCCCCTTCCATACTGTGGAAGCTTTGTTCTTTTGCTCTTTGCAATAAATCTTGCTACTGCTCACTCTTTGGGTCCACGCTGCTTTTATGAGCTGTAACACTCAACCGCGAAGATCTGCAGCTTCACTCCTGAGCCCAGCGAGACCACGAGCCCACCGGGAGGAACGAACAACTCCAGACGCGCTACCTTAAGAGCTGTAACACTCACCGCGAAGGTCTGCAGCTTCACTCCTGAGCTAGCGAGACCACGAACCCACCAGAAGGAAGAAACTCCGAACACATCTGAACATCAGAAGGGACAGACTCCAGACGCGCCACCTTAAGAGCTGTAACACTCACCGCGAGGGTCCGCGGCTTCATTATTGAAGTCAGTGAGACCAAGAACCCACCAATTCCGGACACACTCCCACTCACCAAGCTCAATCATCTCAGGTTGACTTCAGACTGCTGTAATGGCAGCCAGAATTTCAAGCCAGTGGTTCTTAGCCTGCTGGGCTGCATGGGATTGGGACTCGCTGAGTGAGACCACTTGGCTGCCTGGCTTCAGCCCCCTTTCCAGGGGAGTAAATGGTTCTATCTCGCTAGGGTTCCAGGCGCCACTGGGATATGAAAAAAAAAAAAAAGCAAACTCCTGCAGATAGCTCGGTGTCTGCCTGAACAGACGCCAGGTTTTGTGCTTGAAACCCAGGGCCCTGGTGGTGTAGGCACATGAAAGAATCCCCTGATCTGCAGATTGCAAAAACTGTGGGAAAAGCATAGTAACCTAGCTGGGTAGCACAGTCCCTCATGGCTTCCCTTGGCTGGGGGAGGGAGGTCCCCCAGCTCCTTGCACTTCCTGGGTGAAGCGAAGCCCCACCCTGCTTCTGCTTGCGCTCCATGTGTTGGACCCACTGGCTAACCAGTCCCAGTGAGATGAACTGGGTACCTCAGTTGGAAATGCGGAAATCATCTGCCTTCTGCGTTGGTCTCACTGGGTGCTGCAGATCAGAGCTGTTGCTATTCAGCCATCTTGGCCCCTCCTCCATAATATCTCTCTTTAATAATTGTTTTGAATTTTTTTAACAACTTTTAATTTACAGTAATTCTAAATTTACAGAAAAATTTCAGACATAGCTCAGTTTCCTCGTACTCCCCATTAGTGCCCCCTGTTGTTAACAGCTTACATTAAAATGGTCTATTTGTCCACAAAAAATGAACCAATTTTGATTTGTCTGATATTAGTAACTACACTCTATACCATATTCAGATTTCATTAATGTCTTACTTAACGTTGTCTTTCTCTTCCAGGGCAATACATTGTTTTTACTCATCATGTGTCCTTACCCTCTTCTCGGCTGTGGCAGTTTCTCAGACCTTCTTAATGTGGTACTCTCCCCTTTCCCCTAGGGATGTGGCTTCCTGAGAGCCAAGCTGCAGTGTTTGTTATTTCCCTTCTGGATGTAGCCACCCAGCAGAGCTACCAGGCACCAGGCTGTTACTGGGGAGTGTCCGCAAAGAGTCATATGATGTGATCCATCTTCAGGTCTCTCAGCCATGGAGAAACCTCCTCCAGTGGAGGTAGCTGGGCAGTGAAGTGGACTCTGTGAGGGTCGTTGGTTGTATTTTTGATAAGTGCACTGGTTTTGTGTTGGTTGGTCTCCAGCCAGAAGGTGGCACTTTCAAGAATGCATTAGCTACAGTTTTATAGGGAGGATACAAGTTTACCCTAGGGTTGCCTTTGGATAAGTATTCAGGTTTCTTAGGTGGTGGGCAGGGCCATAGAGCTCCCATAGAGCTATCCTTTGTCTTCAGCTACCGGGGTGGGTAGAGAAAGACCATCAGGTGGGGGCAGAGTTAAGCATGTTTGAGCTGACTCTTCTGGGATGGGGCTTGCTATGGCTGCTGTGGGGTATGGGGGTGACCAATGGAGTTATGTTTCCGGGGGGATTATAGCTGCCTCTGCTGTGTCACACAGCTCACCAGGAAAGTGGGGGAAAGCCTCCAGCCACAGGCCTCACTCAGCTCCCCTGCAGCCTGCAGCCTGAAAGGCCAGTCTCACTTCCCCGTGCCCCCCACCGACAGCACTAAGTTTATTTCCAGGCAGCCTCTGGGCAGGTCTGAGAACTTGCCCCAGGCTACAAGCCTGCCAGCTGAGAAAGCAAGCTGTCCCAGTTCCTCAGCTGTCCCACGGAGCCTGCAGCAACAATCTACCTCTTTCAAAGGGCCTGTGGATTCTCTCAGCTTTCCTGGTGTGTTCCTATGGTGGTTCTTGGAGCAAAAGTTCACAGTGTGGGTCTCCACCTACTGCTGTGTCCATCCAAGTGGTTAGTCCTGCCTCTTATCTGCCATTTTCCCTGAGTATCTAAAATTTTTAATTGTAGTAAAAAAGACATAAAATTTACCATTGTAACCATTTTTAAATAAACAGTTCAGTAGTGTTTATTCATATTGTTGTACAGCTAATCTCCAGAAGTTTTTCATCGTCCAAAATTGAAACTCTATACCTAGTAAACAACAACACTCCTTTTGCCCTTTCCCAAACCCAGCAACCATCATTTTATTAACACTTTCTGTTTTTATGAGTTTGACTACTTTAGATATCTCATATAAGTAGAATCACAAGGTATTTGTCTTTTTGTGGCTGATTTATTCCACTTAGCATAACGCTGCAGCATGTGGTAGGATTTCATTCCTTTTTAAGGCTGAATAAAATTATACAGGATATAGAAACCCATTTTGTTTATCCATCCATCTGTCAGTGGACACTTGGGTTGCTGGCTTCTTTTGGCTATTGTGAATATGCAGCTATGAATATGCATGTGCAAATATCTCTTCAAGACCCTGCTTCCAATTCTTTGGGATATACACCCAGAACTGGAATTGTTGGATCATATGGTCATTCTATTTTTAATTTTTTGAGGAAACGTTGCACTGATTTCCACAGCCGCTGCACCATTTCCCATTTCCACCAACAGGGCACAAGAGTTCCTATCTCTCCACCTCCTCCCCAACGCTTGTTGTTTTCTGCCTTCTTGATAGTAACCATCCTAATGGCTGGGAGGTGATAAAAGGCAACTTAAAAAACAATAAAAAGCGCTCTCGCCCCTGCCTTCATCACCATGATCCATCTGTGGTTTTTTTCTGGTGAGACCAGGCATAAGTAGACCCAGATAAATTGAGGCTGGAATATTTGCATTAGGATTATCATCATGGATACTGTCACGGTTATTACTGATATTTTAACATTTACTAACAAAGTTATGACTTAGGGCATGCCTCACAATGCCTCATCTAACCTGCTTTTCCTTTCATCTCCTATCTTGTCTCAAATTTCGAGAAAAAATTCTATGGAAAATATTTAAATTTGACATTCTCACAGAAAAGTAGATTTTTAGAATATTTTTCTAATGAGTTAGGAAAAAGTTTTAAACATAAGCCACAGAAAAGGAATGAAATTTATTTTTGTTAGTCTTTTCAACAGAAATATAACATACTCCATTTACTTTGTTTTAAATATTAAATGGGAAACAGTAATTTTAAAATGTAAATAATAATTCCATTTTTGCAAAATGAACTGCAAAAAGAAGGACAAAGAAAAAAATGGATAAGGGCAGAGACATGAAAAGAAAAAGAAGCAGAAAGAGATAGACAAAACGAGCAGGATATATTAATTATAGAATGGGAGAAAAAATGTTTAACTATGCATTGAGAGAGATAATAAGATGATGACAAAGACTCCTATAGCCAAAACAAGAGAAATTTTACATTAAAGGAATGTGAAAAAATGAGAAGACACACCTTCTTTTGCCTAAAAACATATTACACTCATTCTTCTTTACAAAATTTGACTCCACTCTCTCCATTCTTCCTACACTTTTTGGAAGAGCTGCGCTTACTCACCATTTCCTCCTGTCCCAGACTCCTCTTTCCTCATCCAGTGAAATGCGGCTTCTGTCCCACTTCCCCAGTGAGGCTGCTCTGCCCCAGACTCCACGTTGTCCAAGCAGACAGTGATGCCGCTGAATGCTGGCTCCCCTGCTACTTCTCTGACCACCACTCAACAATCTTTTGGAGAGAGACCTTCACTGCCTTTGTATTTGGGTGGTCGCTAGTGTCTATGATTCATCCACCCCTGTTCTCACTCAACTCACTGGTTACTTCTTTCCATCTCATAACTTAGGCTATCAGTAGGTTCTGGGTGTGTAGGTGGCATCTAAAGCTGATGACCCCACTGGTCTGCCCCAGGCCTTGATACCTTCCTGGACGTTAAGCCCTCTCTGTCCCTCTGCCAAGTGGACATGTTTTCCTGAGTTTTCCCCTGACCCCTCTGCCTCCTGGTGTATGAAATGGAGCCCATTACCTTTCTGTGCTCTCTACAGTCACTGCTAAGTTGTTGGTACTGGAAACTGGGCAGTTAGTCAGTCAAATTAATGCAGGAATGGTGAGGGCTGAGAAGATGCAAGCGACACAGGGCTGCTGGGGATGAGCAGATGTGAATGAAGACGAGAATGAAGCGAGGGTTAATCCATTTGGCATTGTTATAAAGGAATACCTGAGACGGGGTAATTTATAAGGAAAAAAGGTTTATTTTGGCTCATGGCTATACTGGCTGCACAAACATGGAAGCAGCATCTGCTTGGCTTCTGGTGAGGCCTCAGAAAGCTTTTATTCATGGCAGAAGGCAAAGGGGGAGCAGGGGTGCCACATGGTAAGAAACAAAGCAAGAGAGAGGAGAGGAGGTGCCAGGCTCTTTTAAACCACAGCTCTCATGTCAACTAATACAGTGAGAACTCACTCATTCCCATGAGGAGGGCATCAAGCCATTCATGAGAAATCTGCTCCCATGACCAAAACACCTTTCATCAGACCTCACCTCCAATATTGGGGATCACATTTCAACATGAGATTTAGAGGGGACAAACATCGCAACAATATCACAGGGTGAACTGAGAGTATTTGGCGTCAGAAGGATGGAGCCAGTAGCCTGGAGAGAAGTGAGGAGGGATACTTGGAGGGCACTCCAGGATCCTGCAGGCTCAGCAGGAGCACGTGGGGAGGGGGAGCACACCAGAGATACTGGCACAGAAAGAGGTGAAGGGCAAACCACCACTGCCAAGGAAGTGATGGTCAGTCAGTCTTCGTGGTCATTAATTGTCCTTTATTTCTATTACAGAAGTCTTGATCTTTACAGCAAAAGGTTGAAACCTTCAGGTCATAAGATACATATGTGAAGGCGCACATGTATTTAAGCAGTTCAATTCCGTGTGATTATAGAACCACCCACCTGGAAGACAGGCATTCACATTTAGTGCCAGAAACAATACTTTACCTCAAAGTGGGGAGACCTTCCCCATCCATGCCACGTCTGGTCCCCGAATGCATTCACCACCCAGCAAGGCTCTCTCAGACTGGCTCACAGCATTACCTGTCTCAGCAAAAATGAAGAAATCCCTGGTTCTGCATCCAGAGCCATGGTTCACAGTGCAGTTGCCCTTGCCTATTAAACTGGCCTCTCTTAAAAAGCTTGCACACCATGCACATTGTGGCATCACCTGTAGAAAATAAACGTGAAGGCTGTGCCCAGGGCTGAATGGGCTGAGACCAAGGTGGGCTAGGCCACTATTAGGGCCCAGGAGTTCAAGGGCAAAGAATAACCCTAAGAACATCTCCCAGCATAATCTTAGAAGGTGGAAATGTTCCCATCAGATTTTGTCCATTAGTTCCTTAAGGAGCTGGAGATTTGGTAAAGTGATTTAATTTTATTGAAAATAAAAGAAAAGGTATCCCTTTGACAGTGGTGCCTTTGTGCAGAGCACAGTCAGAGCATCTACATACAACTTCTCTGAGGTTGATGATCTCTTGGGAAATGAAAGAGGCATAAAGACTGTGCTGGCTTCAAGGAAGAGAGGCATTCTCACAAAGTTTCCCACCACACCCTGCTAAAGAGGTATCTGATATCCAAACATATCTAAGTGAAACTTGCCATGGAAAGATTGTACAGGATGTTTGCTATGGAAACACTGGTTTAGGATAAGCCCTTCAGTGACTTCTACCTACTAGACCACTGTCCCTAGGTTGCTTCTATATAGAAAGCCTTGAGCAATCATTGGCTCTGCCACATAATCCCAGCCAGACAGCCTCAACGCCCCATGTTGAGAAACACACACCAGCCTTGATTTTCCCAAGTGAGTGAAACCTCGGGAAGAGGCCTGACCTCTTGCCCTGGTAGGAGTTGAGGTGGGGACAGCAGAGAGACACCTCCAATTCTTGTTGGTCAGATCATCCCAGAATCTTGGTGTTGACCTCCTCCCGTGCTGGCCAGATCATCTTCAGCCTGCTCGCCAGCTATCTTCGCCCCTGTTCTCACCTCCTGCCCCAGCCAGCCCAAACCCTCACTCACACCTTGGAAGAACACAAGAGGAAAAACCCCCAGCAGCAGGAGCATGAGCGGGAACTTGTCCATCTCAGTCTGGGAGGTAAGAAAGACACAGCAGGGTGGCTGGAACCAGGCAGCTAAGTGCTCCGGAAAGGCTAAGACAGGCTGCTTCAGTGTGCAGATGAGAGCAGGCTGGAGAGTCTGGACTGAGCTGCTCCCAGGCTGTGGGCAGAAGCTTCCTTTTACACACTCGCCAGTGGGTGTTTCACCACTGTCCAGGCTCAGGAAAGATTTCCACAGAGCCAGCCCCTTTGGAGCTGCCAAGAATAAAGGACATCCCTGAAGCCCCGTCCTGTTCCTCATAGGTGAAGTCCAGGCCTTTCACTCTTCTTTCGACCCTCTCTGTGTTTGAGCTTATAGTCAGGACCATGGCCCTCCCATTACTGAATTGGTTTTGGCAATGCTGGGAGTAGTCATAATAGCAAATACTTATTCAGTATTATCCATATAGCAGGATCTGTATCTGCTACTACCATTCAATATGTCACTTAAGATATGTCTTCAGTCTATCAAAAACACATCAAGTACACAGCAAATGCTATCTAAACAACAAAAGTAACAGAGGCCTTACAGGTGATAGATTATTTTGCAAAGTAAGAAACAATTCCTGCTACTTTTGATACCCTTATTTTTCAGTCGCTGAAACACAGAGGAATTGGAATCAAGCTGGGTTTATGTAGATAGAGGCTCTCACTTACTGCTCTAGCACTAGGCTGGAAGGCTCAGAATTTCCACACATACTACCTGTAGGGCCTGGACTAGGGTGTGACAGGTAAGACACTTAGAGTACAAAATACTTTTCACTTTTTTTAAATTATAATTTTCTACTGATATTCTCTAAAATGTCTTTAGCTAATTCATCATGCTTGATAAAAACAATCAAGCCTCTAGATACTCAGCACTCCTGAGATCTAGCCAAGGAGAGGAAGAGCATGGAACAAGACCAGGGCTTTCCAGCTTGGATGCTAGACAAAATAATCCAGGTGGGGGTGGCAGGTTCTCTCCTCCATTTAGACAACCCTTCATGGCAGAGACCTTAACAGTCAGATCTTCAGTGAACCAGAGCACTCTGCACAGCACGTGCTGAGTGGGCAGAGCAGGCACTCAGAAGATATGTACTAGTAGGCAAAGGATGATACCACCTGTGAATTAATGCAGGATGGTCTGCTGGACCAGAAAGCAGCTGCTGGAGAGGAAGGGCCAAGAACCCCCATGCTTCCATAGACAGAAAGCCTGCCTGAAATCTACACCTTGAGTGCACAGCTATGATGCATGAGAGCTCCCGTTCCCCGTGCATGGAAGACAGGCTTGCACCGCAGCACTGGAGGAGTGAGGTGCATGAACAAGTGGTTCCATGTTGTACCCAGACCCCAAACTGACTCACTTTGCTGTGTTACCCCCATCACCAGGATGCTCAGCATATGCCTCTCACACAGTGGCTGAGGAATGCCAGGGGTGCCCATGATTCCCAATCCTACATCACCCCATCATAATTGTGCCAGAAAAGGGGCTGTGGACGGTGTAGAAAATAATGGAAATGGGATACAAACGAATTATTGCAGATGCCAAAGAATAAATTTCTTTGACTCATCAACTTACTAACACCTCTCTGATTTTTGCAGACTTAAAGAATGTGTTATTAACAAATATAACACAAAATGTGATTTTGGAAAAAAAAGTACTATCAGCTGGAGAATATAGGAAGAGAGGTTGCGAAAAAGAAAATAAGGATCTGGTCAAATTTTCTAGTGGAAATTTATGCTTATTGAACATCCTAATGGTGTTTCCTCTGGAAAAGATCGTGGTGGGTCCTTTCCAATGGAACAATTTAGCCTGGTGTATATGTTCTGTCCTGGCTGTTTTTTGTAAAACAAAATCCTGGGTTTATGCATTTATGGGGCTTGGTTCCACTAGGAAAAGTTTATGACTGCTATTGCATAAGAACATAATTGATGTACAGAGACCAAAATTATTAGCTCCACTTATGTACTAAATTTACCCTGAGCATCATGTGGGGCTGCCTCCCAGATTCCGAGGGCTCTATTCTGTTCCATTGGTTTATATCTCTGTTTTGGTACCAGTACCATGCTGTTTTGGTTACTGTAGCCTTGTAGTATAGTTTGAAGTCAGGTAGTGTGATGCTTCCAGCTTTGTTATTTTTGCTTAGGATTGTCTTGGGAATGCGGGCTCTTTTTTGGTTCCATATGAACTTTAAAGTAGTTTTTTCCAATTCTGTGAAAAAAGTCATTGGTAACTTGATAGGGATTGCATTGAATCTATAAATTACCTTGGGCAGTATGGCCATTTTCACAATATTAATTCTTTCTATCCATGAGGATGGAATTTTCTTCCATTTGTTTGTGTCCTCTTTTATTTCATTGAGCAGTGGTTTGTAGTTCTCCTTGAAGAGGTCCTTCACATCCCCTGTAAGTTGGATTCCTAGGTATTTTATTCACTCCCTGAATAGATTGCTATACTTCTTTCTATGTTTGGATCAGCTTCCAACATTTTACCCTTTGCACTCTTGGTATCATGCAGTCTATCCGAGAGTTCCTGAATCATGTGAATATGTTCCCAGGAGACAAGGAAGCAACACACCTAAATGCTTTGTTGTCTGTGAGTGAACTAATGAACAGAGGCACAGTGCCAGACTTTGAAAGAAATGACATGATTGATAACTGATTGATAAGCATAAATTATTTACATGTTGATTTGTGGACCGAAGAGCTAGTAGCAAAGGTCATCTTTATGTAACTATCCATAATACATATACCATGGTAACCAAAATTTGAACTATGTTATTGAGGGGCTGGTGTCATTTAACTAATCCATGGTAACTTATATTCATGCATATGGGACACATGCAAAACAAAGACCACCTGTATGTATTTTCCTCACAATTCCCTTTAGTTCATATTCATTCTTTCATACCTGAACCTACAACCTTCATACCTTTCCCACATGGGTTATCATCACTTCCATACCCAGAATAGTGCCCCACACTAAGCAGTCTCACTTCCTCCCCATCACCCACACTCCAGAGACCCTGAACACCATCACCCCACATTTCTGCTTCATTTATGGTGGGAGATATGTGTAGAGGGTCTAGGAGGACTGAATAATGCCAAACCCCAGAGCGTCCAGGCTATTCAAGAAAAAAGAAGATTGGGAGGTCCATGAAGACATGAGGTCCTTGAGGAATGCCACGTATTTTGGCCTGATGAATCTTAGATTTATTCTTAGTCTATGGCCTTGTCCAAGCTTAATGATTAGTAAAGCTCCTTTTCCTCCCCATTATGTCTCAGTCCCCAGGGTGTATTATGTGGCCAGCCTACTCAGAGATCATCAAGCACAATCTCTCTCCCAGTGCAGGAACCACCTCCTCTGACCATTCAAGACACTGGGTGTTCAGAACTACCACAAGCTTCCAGGCCCACTCCAACCCCCATCAGATCTTCCAGTGAAGCATCTAGGCTGAGACTCACAAGGGGAGTGCCCTGGCCAGAACACGCACTCCAGAATCTGATGCGACTGGGTTTGAAGCCTCGTGCCAGCACTTATTGGCTAAGAAACCCTGGCAACGAGTTACTGAATCGTTTTCCTTAATTTCCTCATCAAGGAAATAGAGAAAATAACCACACTTAAATTCTAAGGCTATTATCAGAAACATATGAGACTATTGTTCATAAGGTTCTTAGCAGATCTGGGACACCATAACTATTGTTTCTACTCTTCATATTATCCTTGTATGTTATTATTAACAACACTCTTTAAAAAGTCATATTTAAAATCGGAACTGGGAATCAAAGGAAGCCTAAATACGGGACACCTTTCTCTTCCATGAACTTTTGCTTTTCTTAGCAGCTCCTCCCAATGCCACCCCATTCCCATTCACACACACTCATTCATGAAGTCCCTTATTCCTTCTTTGTCATGTCCTAAAACAGAGGCCGGCTATCTCCCATCTCAACTTTTCCTTGCACTCTTGTTCTACCCTGAGCAGTCACTGTCTCAGCCCAGGGCCACAGGACAAGTGAATAACTCCCCATGTCCAGACAGCTTCTGAATAGAGAATACTATGATACGGGATGATGAATAGATTTACCATGATAGGTACCATTCATGTTTCAACAGGAAACATGGTATCCTCTTCCATCACCTGCTCACCTGGTCCCCAGGTATGTCTGTTTGGCAGGAGGTGTGGTCTGATGGAGGAGCTCTTCCTCAGGCAGGTGGAGCTCCCCGACTTGATGCATTTTCAGCCTGGAGTTCTTTACTCTGCCCTTGCACTGCAGCCTGGACTCTCCCCAGGTTGTGTGTGAGGCTTGCTCTCTACCTGAGAGTAAGTGGGTAGGGGAGAAGGAGGGATGGAGTGAGGTGGGAAGTTGCTCAGGGACCTCAGGCTTGGAGTGTGTCAGGTTCCCAGCAAACATCAATTCTTCCTGTACACCATGTTACTATTCCTTCAGAGATCCTGTCCTCAGGTTCTCCCACCGCCCTAAAAAAACAGAAAAAAAAGTTTCATAAACTAGGGTGTTTACTCTGCAGAAAGTGCAACGGGGCTGTAACACTCCTGCAGTGGGAGTCAGAAGATGCTGATAGCAAAACGGCTCTGCAGACAGTGGGTCCCTGCCCCCTGCCCAGGGCTAGGAGAGAGCCAAAGCCTGGGAAAGCTGGCCTTTCAGTGGCAGCCTGCTTCCAGGACCTCCTTCCTGAGGACGATGGACAAGCTATTGGCACTGAGTGTGGCTCTGCTCTTCCTCCTGGGCGATGAGTCCTGGGTGGGTGGTGGTCTGTGAGTGGTGGTCAGCAGTCAAGGAGCTTGGCTGGCTCATTTGTGATCCCAGCAACACCTTGGTACCTGATGGTCCAAGAAAAAATTGCCATTCAAAAGCCAAATACTACATTTTCATTATCTTTTTAGAAAATAGAATACAACATAAAACTATAATAGGATGACCAACTCATCTCGGTTGTCTCTGGGACTTTCCTGGCTTTGGCGCTGAAGGTCCTACATCCCAGAAAACCCTCTTTCCCAGGCAGATGGAGATGGTTATACACTTATGTACATGATAATTAGCCTGGAAGTGTGGAAACCAAAATATTTATATTCGTTAGTAGGTTATTAGGTTAACCTATTATCTAGTTAACAGGCTATTGGTTATGTTAACTTTTTTTGGTGACGGAGTCTCGCTCTGTTGCCCAGGCTGGAGTGCAGTGGTGTGATCTTGGCTCATGGAAAGCTCCGCCTCCCCAGTTCACATAATTCTCCTGCCTCAGCCTCCCGAGTAGCTGGGACCACAGGTGCCCGCCACCACGCCTGGCTAAGTTTTTTTTTTTTGTATTTTTAGTAGAGACGGGGTTTCACTGTGTTAGCCAGGATGGTCTCGATCTCCTGACCTCATGATCTGCCTGCCTCAGCCTCCCAGACTGCCGGGATTACAGGCGTGAGCCTCTGCGCCTGGCCTATGTTAACTTTTTATACATAATGTTATGTATTTTTAAAATTGTCTACAGTGACAAACGTGGTTTTATTTTTTAGAGCAGTTTTAGGTTCCCTGAAAAATTGGGCAGAAAATACAGAGTTCCCATATATCCTTTGCCCCCACACATGCACAGCCTCCCCCAATATTAACATCCTGCACCAGAGAGGTCTGTTTGTTACAGCTGATGAACCTATATTGACACATCCTTATCACCAGAGTTTACATTAAGGTTCACTGTTGGTGCTGTGCTTTCTGAGTTTCAACAAATATGTAAAGATATGTATCCACTACAGTGACCAAGTCTTAATTTGCTCAACAGAGAAGTTGGGGAAATTATATTTTTTATCATTTTTTATTTTTTTATTTTAGTTAAATTCTGGGATACAAGTGCAGAATGTGCAGGTTTGTTACATAGGTATACATGTGCCATGGTGGTTTAATGCACCTGTCAATGCATTGTCTAGGTTTTAAATCCTGCATGCATTAGGTATTTGTCCTAATGCCCTCCCTACCCTTGCCCCCACCCTCTGGCAGGCCCCGGTGTGTGATGGTCCCCTCCCTGTGTCCAAGTGTTCTCATTGTTCAACTGGAGTTGGAGAAATTATAAAAGTCATTTTAAAACAATACAAATTCCACTCATTGGTCCTGCCTTTATCATTTTTGGTCTTTCCCTGTCTCTCTTGATTAGGACCAGACTGAATTTCCTCATTTAGGCTGAAGAATTTGAGTTTGGTTATTGTTTCTGTTTGGGTTGGTGCTTTTGTGTAGGTACAGGGAGAATTAACCAGATCCTGACCTAGACAGACTCATCTGCTTTACATTTCTCTCCTTTCTCATTCTCATGTTTTAAAAGTCCATTAAAACATATGTAATAATCTGAGCATTAAAGACATGCTTGTTGAAACTTTTATCAGAAAGAAAATGTTATAAGCTAATTATAGGCATATACAATTAAAATGGGAATTTAAAAAATGGATTTAATAATAATATAAATAATAAAAATATCCTTTATTTTGACATTAACTCCTGTTTTAAAAGAGAGAGAGTGAAGAGGAAGAAGAGAGAGGGGAAAGAATGAAAAAGAAAAGAGAAATATGAAACATGATAAACAGATGAAGAGAGGGAAGCTGAAGGAAAAAATAAAGGTGCAAAGAGTGATAAAAAGATGAATAAAAGTAGAGATTCCCAAATCCATAACGTAGACATTCTGTATTAATTTGAGGAAAGAAAAACATAAGAGAGAAATTTATCCTTGCCTAAAAACATGCCAAAATCATTGGGGTTTTTTGTTTGTTTGTTTGTTTCTTTAAAAAGCTGTCCTTGCTTCTACCCTCTCTATGGCTGCCGCACCATCATCTCATTCTCCTCCTAAAGCTGCTTTACAGAGCTGGCCACACTCGCCATCTCCACTCCCTTTCTGTTCACTCTTTCATTCACTCTCATCTGCCTTCTGCCTCTGCTTCTCACCTGAACTTGCTCTGACCAAGGTCGTCAATGATGGCCAAGGTCATCCTTGTGTGATCGGACCCCTGAAAGTCCTTGGACTATGTTAACCCCTCACTGCCTCTTAGAATATCTGACGCTCTTGAATTCTGGCTACTATTCCTTTCGGTTTTCCTTCTAAACACCACCCCTTGTTCTAAGGGTCACCTCGTTTTTGCTCTGCACTGGGTCCCACAAGTACTGTCTCCAGTCCTGCCTAGATCTCATTTTCCAGTCTCCTTAGGAGCATCACCATCTGATGTTGGAAAACTTTGGCCTCTGAAACCAGGTTGAGGCAGTTTCCTTTTAGGAAGAGCTAGGGCACCCCTAAGTCCAGGCTGCTGGCTCCAAGCAGACAGTTCTTCCTCTTCTTGCACTCTTCCCTATTTGATGAATATGTTCCTCAATAAGTTTTTCCTAGATAAGTTTCTTTGTGCTCTGATTTTTAGTAGATGTAAGGATAAGAGTGAAGAACTGCAACCTGTGGCTGGAGCACACGCAGCCTCTGCATTTGCCTTTGGCTGAGTCAGGACACTGGTAGCTGACAGTGACTCCCTGAGGTGCACTCGCAAGCATGCCACTTCTGCACAGCTAGTGTACAGACCTGGCCACTGGCAGGATCCTTATCATGGTGTCCCTGACTGGGTTCCCATGGGAGGAATCACAGAATTTATTTGATCACACATTGAATCCACAATGACTTGGTGAAGCTGCTGTCTTGGAAAGCATTGGGGAGCAAGCAAAAACCCCCACTACATTTTTCCCTAGCAATGTTTGTCTGCACATATTTGCCAGATGTGGAGGGCAGGGTGGGTGGCAGTGCAGCTTCCACATATGCAGAGAGCTGAGCTTGGTGGTGTGCAGCCTCCTGATGTGTCCCTTCTGCCTCTGCACGCTTCTGTCTCTCAGGGCAATCCTGTGGCACAGGCACTGGCAGTGAAACCTTTCAGAACGTCACCTCTGGCTCCTCCTGATGTCTCTGCAGCTTCTTCCATGGAATTCGGCCTCGTCCATTTTTTGGCCTTTGTGTTCTTGGATGTAATCACCACTTCTTCACTCTCTCAGCTGCAGTGCAGCGCTCATGCCTGCCTGGGTATGGCCTCCTAGAGTACAGTTACAATCATTTTACTCTCCTGCTCAAAATACTTTCCTGGTCCACCTGATGAAACAGCAACTCCTTGGTGTGGCATTCAAGAGTCTCCCCAAATGGGCCTCACCTTATACCCAGTCCTCCAGGATTACACTCCAACGGCAGCTCATCCCCAACTTGTGCAACTGATGATCTCTCCAGACATTGCCAAATGTGCCCTGGAGGGGAATTCACTCCCAGAGGAGAGCCACTGCTGTAGTCCCATCCCAATGGCAATTTTACATAAAATATTCGATACCCTTTTCTCCTACCTTTGCCTCCAATATTTCCTGTTTCCATTTTAACCTCCCTTATAATGCTGAATCCTATTCTGCCTTACTATGAACATTATCTGTAAATAGGTATTCCCTTTTCTTCCTTTTACAATGTTTTTCTGTCCCAAGGAGACCACAAGGCATAATTGAAAAAGAAATCTAAACAAGAATATCCCTTAGGCTCTGAAGTCAGCTGTCTGTGTATTTCAATCTCAGACCTACCACTTATTCACTGTATGGTCCTGGAGAGGATATTGAATCTCTCTAATCCTTTCTTTGCTTGTTAAAAGGGGATAAAATGTTAAGCTGAAGATGAAGAAATTATCACTTTTCGCACAGCACTGTCTCTGGCAGAAGTTGCTGCCTGAACAGGGTTTTAGCAGTGGAGGCCCCCGCATGGTCTGGGAAGATGGCACTCGCTCCTGTGCCCTGAGCTCTGAGGTTGTGAGGGCCAGGTGTGTGCTCAGGTTAGGGTGGGGAGCGGTGGGAGGAGGCTCACAGTGAGGAGCTGGCCTCAGGCCTGTGAGGAGAGGTTCTCAGAGTTCATAGACTCCTCCTCCCTCCCAGCCACTGCCCTGGTCATTCTCCCTGGAGCTGTGGCCCTGGAATGTGTTCAACACACATTATTACCAGTCATGGAGAATCATGCACTCCTGAGCATGATGGGATGTCAAGTCAAGATAAATGGATTACATCCTATGTAGTTTCTCAGAATCTCCTCTGTAAAATAGAGACAATATATGCTTGGCAGTATCACTGATATACAGGGTAAACTCTAAAGTGCCATGTGAACAAGGAGCAAATTAAACAGTTATTATAATATCAGCAAAACTGAAACCCTCAAGGGAAGGAAAATCATACTCAGTGGCTACTCTGTGAATGCCTCCCTCATGCCAGGCACTGTGCTGAGTGTGTTCACCTACATGGCCTCATTTCATCCTCAGAAGTGTGAAACATGGAAATGGTATTATCTCAATTCTACGCATGAGGCCACGGAGGCTCAGAGAGGGTGATTCTCTTTCCAAGGTCACATAGCCAGAAACATTCAGAGCAGGTTCCAATTCAAGTCTGCATGGTGGCCTTTCCTGGGTGGCGCCGTGCCAGTGCAGCCGCATCAGCGGGGGCAGTGCTGGAACACACAGAGGGATGCGCGCGAGACAAAACGGTTGCTCTTTCTGTTTTCCTCCTCCCTCTCTGGTGGCTCTGGCTCCAAGTCAGCACAAACTTGAGAGGCCTTCTGGTGCCCGTGTAGGCTTCACCAGCCTCCAGGAAGGGATAGTTCATGCAGAATGGACCAGTGGTCTGGGCCTGCGGAGGTCAGGAAGGGATTTCTGCTATATAAACTGCGAGAGGCTAATGGAATGGGAGCTCCTCTCTGAAGCTTGTCCAGATTTCTCCGAATTTCAGGTGGTTAAGTAACAGCACACATGTATGGACTGCTGCTTATTGAGAAGCTTGGCCATCCTCCCCCAATCTCCCATCCACTCCACCCAACACCCACACCCACCCTCCCCAACCACAATCAGCTCTTTCTTCTGGGATTTACCTCTATGAAATAATCAGTTTATATCACCCTCCCCTGCCGACACCAGCTCGGTTGGGGAGACCCTAACCCAGTGGAGCTAGAGGAATTAAAGACACACACACACAGAAATACAGAGGTGTGGAGTGGGAAGTCAGGGGTCTCACAGCCTTCAGAGCTGAGAGCCTCGAACAGAGATTTACCTACGTATTTATTGACAGCAAGCCAGTGATAAGCATTGTTTCTATAGATTTTAGATTAACTAAAAGTATTCCTTATGGGAAACAAACGGATGGGCCAAAATAAAGGGATGGGTCTGGCTAGTTAGCTGCAGCAGGAGCATGTCCTTAAGGCACAGACCGCTCATGCTGTTGTTTGTGGTTTAAGAACGCCTTTAAGCGGTTTTCCGCCCTGGGTGGGCCAGGTGTTCCTTACCCTCATTCTGGTAAACCCACAACCTTCCAGTGTGGGTGTCATGGCCATCATGAACATGTCAGTGCTGCAGAGATTTTGTTTATGGCCATTTTTGGGGCCAGTTTATAGTCAGATTTTGGGGGCCTATTCCCAACAGTCCCCAGCCATAATCAGCCCATTCTTCTGGGATTTACCTCCGTGAAATAATCAGTTTATATCACTATTTCTGATTCACTCATCTTAGACATTATCAATGGACTTTTTTTTTTTTTGAGATGGAGTTTCACTCTTGTCACCCAGACTGGAGTGCCATGGCACCATCTCAGCTCACTGCAATCTCTGCCTCCAGGGTTCAAGCGATTCTCCTGCCTCAGCCTCCAGAGTAGCTGGGATTACAGGCATGCGCCACCACACCCGGCTAATTTTTTGCATTTTTAGTAAAGACAGGGTTTCTCCATGTTTGTCAGGCTGGTCTTGAACTCCCAACCTCAGGTGATCCGCCTGCCTCAGCTACCAAAGTGCTGGAATTGCAGGCATGAGCCACTGCACCTGGCCATCGATGGACTTTCTTATGATGATAGATGAGAACTTCCCTCCTTTATACATCCCCCCGCCCCTCCCTCCATGCTCTCAATAGAGTTGATTCACAGTGCAGGATAAGTCAACGCTTAGTCGTCCTTTCAGACATCTATTTCGTGTCTAAGATATGCCAGACTCTGGGGACAGAGTAGTGTACACACAGAGGACACTCATACAGATAAAAAATCAAAATGATACATAAAATATTGCCAGGTAATGATAAAAACAATGAAGAAAACTGAAGGAGGCTAAGACAATAGACAGTGGCAGGGAGTGCTTTTTTAAAAGGGTTTCTCTGAGAAGTGATATTTCAGCAGAGAACCGAATTAAGGAGACTGAGGGAGGAAGACATGCTGGTATCTGGTGTTAAAACAAGTATTCAGGACGCTTGCTAAAGACAATGACTTGTTTCAGGGGGAACTACCACTGTAGGCATAGGGACCAATGCAGTGCGCTCTTGCAGTGGGGAGAGACTGGGCTGTAGTCTGAACACAAGGAAAGGGTGTTACAGTCAAGGAGCAGGGTAGGGGTCGGTGGATGGGACATTACCATGTGGAAACTTCTAAGATTCTTGCTAGACTCAATAGATTCTTGCTGAAGGCAAGCCAGGGTGATAGATATTCAGGTGATCAGATATCAAGGGCAGGGATTTTCACTGCACTGACTTAGCAGGATTCCTGCTCAAAGTGGATTTTACAAACAGAGAGAAAGGCAAGCCAAAGATTGGGCCTAGTGGGGCAGAGGACTCAAGAGAGCCTGATTCAAGTTAGATCAAGGAGAGTTTTTGCCACTGAAGGAAAAGGACTCCAGGCAGAAGGAGCAGTAAATGTGAAGGCCTTGAGATGGGGGCTATGTTGTTCTGGCCTTGGTGCATTAGCCCTCAACATCTTCCCCAATCTCTTCTAATAGCTCTTCTTTCTGGAAAGCCAAGAACTACATTTGCCAGTGTGATTAAAATTTCACTAATTAAGAATGCAGAAATGAGGGTCATCTTGTTGTACCTGAGCGAGTTAGAGAGAAACGCCACACTTTGAGCCGAATTCAGGAGTCGTTTATCAGCCAGCGCCCGAGAGGCGGCTAACGCTCGAAATTCAATCGGCCCTGAAGAAGGGGCTTGATTTTCTTTTATACTTTGGTTTAGAGATGGGAGGGGGTGCTTAATTGTAGCAATTCTACAGAAGTTAAAACATGCAAAAAGTTAAAAAAAAACGAATGGTTACAAGAAAACAAACAGTTCCAGGAGCAGGGGCTTTAAATTTATCACAAGGCGATAGGTACGGGGGCTCTGCTGGACACAAACGCCGAGGCTTTATGGTGCTATCTCTTGAGCGAATTCCTGGGAACTATGGACATTGCTTGCCACAGTACCTTATCAGTTAATTGGACTCTTCGATCTGCTTACACAAGTTAACTCCTTGAGGAAGGGGATGGGTGAGGAGTCCTTGATGTCTTGTAAATGAAGGAGCCAAATGGTGTTCGTCCGGTTTTCTCAACTAAGGGAGAGCCTATTCATATTGAAACAAGGTTAGGTAGCTAAGGGAGAGTCTTAAAACAAGGTTAGGTATTACAATCTTTCTGCTATGTCTATAGTTTTCCGATGTTTGAGAATATGTTGGAATTTTGTGAGGTGTTTTGTGTTTTATTTTGTTGGTTGTTTTTGCAGAAGCAGCATTCTACATCCAGGTACCAGCTTTATGATAGTGAGAGAAGAGGAACAAGACACCATGTCTTGCCAATGCCCGTCTAGCATGCGTGGAGTGCATATACAGCTACAAGTCCTAGTGGCAGCCCACTCCTGATTCCTGGCTCACACAGTGGTGCCCTCCTGAAGCCAACAGTTCCTGTGGAAGCTGCCTGACACTCTACAGTGACTTTCCTGATTGTGATAGAGGTGGCAGCCATTAAAAAAAAAAAGAAAAAAGAATGGCAAAAACTGCAATTACTTTTGCACCAACCTAATACCTTTCTGCTGAAGGTAACTCACCAGACAAGCTCCTGTGTCCTGCAAGTGGGCCCTGACTGGTAGATATTTAAATAGTATTCACAAGTGAAATAAAATGAGTACTAGGATGACATTTTTTATTACATGATTTTATATTCTTTTTCCTACAAATAATAATTACATTATCATTTGCTCAATTAATTTTATGCTTCTGGCTAAGCTTCCCCACCTTCCAAGAGCTTCTCAGTACACATTTGTACATGGCTGTCATCGGAGCTATCAGATAATATATTATTATTTCTCTGGAGACTTCCACTTTGGGCCATTCATTCTCCTGCCCTTATCTGGGAGGGTTGTCTCCACCCCAGCTGCACAGCAATCATGCTGAGGCCTTCCTTCATGGCAATCCTGGGAATTTCTTTGTGACATCATAAAAATATCTATTTGGTCCTTGCTCCTGGTTCCTGGCACAGGGATCCTAATACCCTTGGAACTGTCTTTTTATGCTAATGAGATGATTCATGAAGTGGGCCTAGGTAGCTTCAGGGTACGGGTTGGTCATCAGAGAAACCAATCCCATGATTCAAGGGTTGAGAAGTTCAGCTCCACAAATGGCCAATGATTTAATCAATTTTGCCTATGTAATGAAGCCTCCATAAAACCCTCTAAACAGGATTCAGAGACCATCTGGGTTGATGAACACACTGATGTGCTGGGAGAATGGCCCACCCACAGAGGCCACGGAAGCTCTGCACCCAACCACCTCCCCGCCCCACCTGCCGCCACATACCTTTCCTATGTATTTCTTCCATGTGGCTGTTACTGTGCTGTGTCCTCTAGAATAATCTGGTAAATATAAGTAAAGCACTTTCCTGAGTTCTGTAAGTCCTTCTAGCAAAGCATCAAACCTGAGGAAATCTAAGGAGTAGAGGGAGAGGTTGGAAGGGATGTTTCTGAGAAGGCTTCTACTAAAAATCAGAGCACAACAAACTTATATGGGAACATATTTATCAAGTAGGGAAGAGTGCAAGAAGGGGAGGAATGTCTGCTTGAAGCCAGCAGCCTGGACTTAGGTGTGCCCCAGCTCTTCCTAAAAGAAAGCTTCCTCAACCTGGTTTCAGAGGCCAAAGCTTTCCAATACCAGACGGTGATATACCTAAGGGGACTGGAAAATGAGATCTAGGCAGGACTGGAGACAGCACTTGTGGGACCCAGTGCAACGCAAAAATGAGGCGCCTTTGTTAGAAAGTGACGAAGAATTTCCAGAGATTGAAAGCAAAGCAAGAAACCAGGGCCCTTTTGAGTGTGGGCCCATGCGCCTGCTCAGGAAGCCAGCCCTGGGTGTAGGATAGTTGTATAATAGGGAGCAGTTAAGCTCCTATCTAGGTCTTAATGCACACACATATTAAAAAGACTTCTCCATCATCCCCTGAAGCTATTTTAAATAAGGCATTGATTATCTAGGCTTTCCAAATAGGTATTTCTGCCCTCCACCCTGAAGATTTTCAGTATAGAAAGTTTCAAACATATACAAAAGTAGAGAGTACCCGCATGTACCCATCACACAGCTTCAACAATCATGCACACAGGACCAATCTTATTTTATCTTCTTTTTTTTTTTTTTGAGACAGAGTTTCTTTCTTGTTGCCCAGGCTGGAATGCAATGGCACAGTCTCAGCTCACTGAAACCTCCACCTCCCAGGTTCAAGCGATTCTCCTGCCTTCGCCTCCCAAGTAGCTGGAATTGCAGGTGCCCGCCACCATGCCCGACTAATTTTTTTGTATTTTTAGTAGAGATGGGGTTTCACCATGTTGGCCAGGCTGGTCTTGAACTCCTGACCTCAGGTGATCTGCTCGCCTCAGCCTTCCAAAGTGCTAGGATCACAGGCACAAGCCACTGTGTCCAGTCTTATTTTATCTTCTTTCCCCGTTCATTGCTACAATCCCTCATTTAGGTTATTTTGAAGCAAATTTACATAGGGAATTTTTAAAAACAATTGTTTTCAGCTGAAAGCATCAGCTCTCCAGAGCCCACTGTCTGTCTTTCTATGTTCTAAGTTAGGGTGGAATAGATAGCACCTCTTCCCTTCTACTAATTTCCACTGCTTCTATCAACAAAAGTCAGACCCAAGGCTCATAGCTGTTCTTCCAAACTCATCCTGGAGGAAAAGAATTATTGATAGCATGCTCTTTCATACCTTTCTCTACTGTAAAGGAACCTGCCTGAGGCTCAGAAATCCTAGCTTTATCCTCTAACTCAAGTCAAGTAACTTTTGATCCCTGGTGATCTTGCTGTCTTCAACTAACCCAGAACCTTAATCCAGATTCTCTTCTATAGATTCTCTTACATGATTCTCTATAAATTCTCCTCTATGAGGCAGAGAGAGGCCCCAAAAGGTAACTCATTCCTTCCTTCCTTCAGGAAAAGCTTAGGCATGCTGCTAGGTACTGGGACTACAACAATAGTCAAGACAGGGTCTCTGCATTCAAGCTTAGAGTCCAACGGGGAGTACAAACATGAAACAAATAATTATAACAGTGATAAAGTGTTAGTCCAAACTGCACCATTTCGTAACCCCCACCGACCCCCGCCATTTTGCAGACCTTGGCTAAAGTGAAGCATTCCACGGGGGTTTGGGCCCTTAGAAACAGCCTGTCCAACTGCCTCCCTGACTTTATCACACTCTGCTGGGAAAAAGTCCAAGGAACATCAGCATCACATTCTGCGGGAACAAGGGCCAAAATGCCTCATTATGGGAACATCTTCCCAGGCAGCAAGCCATACTGCCCAGACCCGTCCTGCTCATACCTACAAGTACCCCAACCTGTACGAAGCAGTGGGCACTGGCATTAAGCTAGTCCCCCACCTCTGTAGGTCTTATGCTAGACAGAAAGCCTGGATTTGATGTAGAGCCGCCACTCTCTCTTTCTTTAACCCTCACCTTCCTTTCAAAATGTAACAATAAGTACATCTATTCTAGATTTAGCATTCAGTGGTATATAAAACAAAGTTGTTCAAGAGAGCTGAGCAGAGAAGCAGCGAGAAATGGAAGCTACCAGATCTTTGCCACTCAATCCTCCATAAGTTCTAGTTTTATATCAGGTGGATGCCTCACTGCATCCATCTTCTCAGCTTGGCCACCCCCTTGCTACCAAGTTGCAGCTCAAAACGCAGCTTTCTACTGTCTCTTGATCTCTTTACTCTGCCCATATCTGTGTAAACTCTCCTCAGTTACCCATTTGAGTTTGCCACCTGTTTCCTGCTAAAACCATGTTGATAAAGGTCTGTATGAAAAGACTATTTACAGAAGTGGGCAAGGTTAAGGAAACAAACAAACAAAAAAAGAGATAAGTTTGGGCATCCAGATTTTAGTAACAGCAGGAAACCATTATCATCCCTAGGCCTAAGAGGGCAGGGGGAGAAAAACATATTACCATAGCATGGATGAGAGCTGGAGCCATGGAAGAGAGGACACCCAACAGAAGCTCTGTCATGTAGACTCAGCCAGTGTCAACTGTGGCAGGAAGGGAATAGGAAGAACAAATATTCCAGTCTCGCTCTCTTTCTCCCCATTCCTCCCTTCCCTCTTCCTCTCTCTCTTTCTCTCTTCTCCCCTCCAATCCTGTATAAACCCAATCTGAAGCCAAATCCAGCCAGCATTCAGGTGATAAAGTCAACAGAGGTCAACCTTCCAGGGTACAGATCAGAGCCAAGAAAGGCTGATTTAGAAAGCCAAACAGAAAACAATCAACAATTACATCTCATTGTCAAAAACACTTTTAAAAGACAGTAGATATCTTTTAAACTTTATTACAAAAAATATGTGCTTTTTGGTAATACTTTTTTTTTTTTTTTAAAGATAGGGCAGATAGCCCCAACACACTACCCTGCACACAGAAAATAATCATTGGTCTTCACTAGTGAAATAAGCAGTGGGTTGCTAAGGGCCAACTTGCCTGAACAGGCTACACAAGAACCTCAGAGCCCAACCCATTGTGAAGAAACATGGGTTACTTCTGAGGTTCTAGAATTCCCAGAAGCTCTGCTTCAGCACTGGAAGCTTTTGCTCGCAGTTTGCTTCATAGCTCTGTGAAGAAGCTGTGGCCCACACTGGGGTCCCCTCTTTTCCTAAATCCAGATGAACAGGTTTCTCTTGCTAATGAGTCTTTATCTGCTTGGATCTGCCAGAGGTGAGTGTTTGATCTAGGCTTCAGGTAAATACAAAAGGGGTCTCCCTTAAGACATTTCAGGCCTTGAAGAAGGAAGACCAGTCTCTCAGTCACCCAAACCAATCTGAGTCAGAATCAAGAGCAGCTAAACAAGTCCAACTCGGAGAGCTCCTGAACCAGTTGATTTCTCTAGTCATAGCTTTACAGTCAGAGGGTCCCACTGGCTTGGCACAGTCTGGTTTCTACTTATTTTAGCCACTCAACATTTATACCTGATGCTGCATGAGATGAAAAAGTAGGCTTAGGGGTTCTGTAGAAGCCCAATGAAGGTTTGTCCCACCAATTAAATGTGAGGGATCCTTGTGTGGTTAATGTGCCAAGGAAAGATGGGAGATGGGAAGATGTAATGTGTTCAGAAAACAACCTCAGAACACGACAGAGCTATAGGCCAGAGACTTCATAAGCCTCTTCTTCATGGCTGTGTTATATCAATCAGGTTTTCTGTATCATCTCTTCTTTTGGGATCCCCCATTCATGGTGTGCTGTGTTCCCTCCTGCCTCCTACAGCAGAAAGAGGCCATGAGCTCTGAGCTTTCAGTGAAAAAACAATGTATTTTCTATAATGTCGACTGTCAGAGGTTTTGCTTTTTGCTTTGTTAGACCTTCAAAAGTTGACTCAAAAATGTAGATACACAGCCACCAGGTGATAGTATGTGCCAGTCACATGGTGACACGAGTCATAAACTATAAGATCAAGAAATTAGCATGCTTTTTATGTCTCCTTTCTATATCAGAAACATCTCTTTATCAAAACTTGTGTTAATTATTGAAAAACCAGTCAAGTAGATAGTATTTATGTAATAAGTTTAAAAAATAAAAACCTCCTAAAAGCTTTACTAAATCTTACCTTTCCTTTATCAACATATTCTCACCCTAGTCATTTAGAAAGTCACTGATTGTAAGTACTGCACTGTGCCAAGAAAATATATCTATCGCAAGATTCTTAGAGTTTTGAGTACTCTGGGGTTTTAGACTACCTCAGCCTCAAAGATCCAATAATTCCTCTCAGCTTTTGGCTAGAATTAAATAACTTGGTTGTTGTAGTCTACTTGTCTTCCTCTAGGTGGCTCAGTTTAATCAAAGAGTAATAATCAAATTATCTGTTTTGTGCTTCTGTTCACTTAAAATATACTTAAGGAATATTTGTCTGACAGTCAATGATGAGATGGATTGGCCAGACACAGTGGCTCATGCCTGTAATCCCAGCATTTTGGGAGGCTGAGGCGGGCGGATCACTTGAGGTCAGGAGTTCAAGACCAGCCTGGCCAACATGGCGAGACCCTGTCTCTACTAAAAATACAAAAATTAGCCAGGTATGGTGGCATGCACCTGTAATCCCAGCTACTCGGGAGGCAGAGGCAGGAGGATCACTTGAACCCGGGAGGCGGAGGTTGCAGTGAGCCAAGATTGTGCCACTGTACTCCAGCCTGGGCAACAGAGCGAGACTCTATCTTTGAAACAAAAAAAAAAAAAGAAAGAGACGGATTAAAGGTAGAAGAGACTGGCCAGAAAAAAATAACCATGTAAGAGTTTTGTAATTCCCAGTGTAAGGTGGGAAGAAAAGAAAAATAAAATTGAGTACTAGGCAATGGTGCACTTCACAATTTATCTTATTAAGTACTCAGGACAACTCCATGAAGTGAATGTAAATGGTATGTCACAAGGATACAATTCATATATGTGTGTGTGTCTATATATATATATATATATAATATGCCTAGACTTTTTTTTTTTTACCTTAATAGCTTATAGCAACTTTGCTCTCTGAATCCCCAACCCACATGGATTGGGGATTGAGTGTGAGAAAATACTTGACATTACCAAATACAGGCGGCTTAATCCCTTCTGATAATTTTTGTGGGCTCATACTTGTCATCCCTGTCCAAAGGTTAACTCTTCCGCCCTTAATTTAGGTTACAAATACTCAGGTATTGAAAACTACTTGCTTTCTCTCTCCCTCTTCTATCTCTACTCTTCTTGTCTTTCACCCATAGAGGAATGGGAGGGTTGGTGGCGAACTTCTGATTCTATCAGGGATGGTATCCTGACTTCCTGATGCTGACTTTGTCAGGGAGGCACATTCATTTTCCTTCAGGGGTTTTTTGTACATGGATGAGTGGATTCTCCTAAGTAGTTCTTAATATTGGGGAACTTAAGATTCTTCCCTTCAATCCCAGAGGTGGCCTCTGTTTGTTTCACTAAACACTTCTGTCCTCCATGGCCTTTTGGGATACTTAGTTGATTTTTCCCAACATCTGCAGTCTTCAGGTGCCCAATCTAGGCCCATAGGAAACCTAGGAGTCTCATAACATTAGCCTAACTCCATAGGAAGATAGTCTTTATCCCATTCTGTCAGCTTCACCAACTCTCTTCTGTTCCTTCTCCATCCCAGGAACATCAAGTCAGCCTAATGAGCTTTCTGGCTCCATAGATCATCAAACTTCAGTTCAGCAACTTCCAGGTGAGTTCTTTTCACTTGAAAACCCTTCTGATGCTGAGGCTTTATATGAGACTTCTTCAGGCCTGAACACTTTAAGTGAGCATGGTTCCAGTGAGCATGGTTCAAGCAAGCACACTGTGGCCGAGCACACTTCTGGAGAACATGCTGAGAGTGAGCATGCTTCAGGTGAGCCCGCTGCGACTGAACATGCTGAAGGTGAGCATACTGTAGGTGAGCAGCCTTCAGGAGAACAGCCTTCAGGTGAACACCTCTCCGGAGAACAGCCTTTGAGTGAGCTTGAGTCAGGTGAACAGCCTTCAGATGAACAGCCTTCAGGTGAACATGGCTCCGGTGAACAGCCTTCTGGTGAGCAGGCCTCGGGTGAACAGCCTTCAGGTGAGCACGCTTCAGGGGAACAGGCTTCAGGTGCACCAATTTCAAGCACATCTACAGGTGAGCCATGTTTGGATGGGTGCCAGTCATTGACTTCAGGTGGGAAATGGGGAACACATCAAGAAAACCCAATTTTAGGGAAGGAGTGCAGAAGAAAGAATTGTTAACACTTCACAAACAGCTCTCTCAAAGTCTCTCTAGTTCTCGTCACAATCATACCAAGAGGCATGTGGGAGCCTGAAAGCTAAACAATATGGAGGGCCCTCTATAAGAAAAATAAAACAAATACAAAATGCCAGTACCCCTCCAACTTCACTCTCCATAAGAAATTATGAATACACAGCCCTTCCGACTTCCCTAGAAGGGGATCATGAAAGTGCAGAGTTCTGAAGACTAACCTTCATTAGCTTTATGCTAACCCTGCCTCTTAAACCATGTTAGAATGCTATAACTTTACAAATTCTGTAAAGAGATGTGTGCAGCTGGTGGTTCTTTTTGTTTGAACATGGAATGTAAAGCTATTTTCTTTTAGATCCAGAAATGAGTTCCTAGGACAACTGCTAGTCTGTGGCTCTTAATTAAAAGGGTTTGTTCTGGGAAAGAAAACAAGACCCAAAGTTTGATGCCTCAAGTTATTACCAGACATAGTTCACATTTCACTCTATTGTTTAAATATCATTATTCTAAATTTTCAGATGAAAGAAGTGAGGCAAATGTAATATGTCCAATGTCACATGGCTAGAAAGTGGCAAACTTTGGATTCAAACTTAGGACTGTGCAAAGCCCATAATCTTTCCACTTCTTTAGGCTTCCCAAACTGGGGGATTAGCAGTAGAGACAGTAAAAGAGGCAACATGGAAGTATTTCAAAGATAGTGCTGTTAGTGACCTTCAATAAGGTCAATTTGAAAATGGAGAAGGACACACTCTTCACAGGGTTTGCAATGTTAGAGCATTCTAACATAGCTTATTAATCGGTCAAATATGACTCCAAGTGTTTGTGCCTTGTGGGTGAGAGTATGATGGGGAGTACAAAAGGGAGATGAAAATCACACATACATTTTGCTCCTATGCTGTCACATGACAGAAGGGTATCTAATGATAAATGCCCAGGAAGTCAATGCAGATATGGACTGGAGTAAAAATATTAGAGAGAGAAATTTGGGATTCATCAGCAATGAGGGTCAGAGATGAAGAAGAATGAAGGAATTTCCTCTGGCACAGGTCTATCAGACACAGGGCCCAGATCCCCAAAAAGAACTAAGAAATAAATGTGTAGTATCCATGCTACCTATTGCCCATTACCCCTCCCAGATGTGAATCAAGGCTACACATCTGGTCCACAAGGAAATGTCATCAGGCTTATCTTAAATTTTCAGGCACAATATTAAATTGCTACACATGTGCTTATATGAATGATCAAGGAAAATGTCTTCGTGGAGAGGGAACCTGCATCACTCAGAATTCCCAGCAGTGCATGTTAAAGAAGATCTTTGAAGGTATATGGGGACTTCATGAGGCAATTTCTGCCTGAGAACACATCAACTTACTTCTGGTAGGGGGCAGTTGGAATGACAGGGGCCCAGGAAAGAATCAAGGAACTTGAAGATTCAGAACTTTATTTTTTCAAGGACTAAGAACAGAATCCCTTGCCAGGCGAGGTGGCTCACACCTAAAATCCCAGCACTTTGGGAGGCCAAGGCAGGTGGATCACTTGAGGTCAGGAGTTCCAGATCAGCCTGGCCAACATGAAAAAACCCCATCTCTACTAAAAATACAAAACCTAGCCAGGTGTGGTGGTGGGCACCTGTAATCCCAGCTACTTGGAAGGCTGAGGCAGGAGAATCGCTTGAACCCAGGAGACGGAGGTTGCAGTAAGCTGAGATCATGCCATTGTACTCCAGCCTGGGAGACAAGAGTGAAACTCCATCTAAAAAAAATAAAGAAAGAAAGAAAATAAAGAATAGAATTCTTTATTCTACCACCAGGTACTGATGAAGAGATAGATGCCCTTCCCATTAGGCCTAAGAGAAGGCAGAGAGACTAGCTGTCTCTTCCCATTAAAGCAATGTGTTGATTGCCCCATGAGCCATTGGGACATTGACTGTAAGCTATAGCTATATATTCCTGGGACCTAGCACAATGTCAAGCATATGGTAGGCATTTAGTAAATATTGAATGGATAAACTAATAAACAACTGTCTACAAGTCTGTGTTCACAGGTTACCAGACCAGTCTGAGTATATTCCCACACCTCTTTACCCTTACTCTCAGTTCCTCATCCCTAAAATAAGGGATACTGGTTATTTCCATCCCAGGAACCACACTGCCTGACTCCTCTTGTAGTTTTTCTTCTTCCTCACTAGAAATGTCATTTTCCTATTTCTACATGCAGACATTCATCCACCATCACTCGGAAAACATTAATGACACATACCATGAACTACAGAAAGATGACTCAAATATAAACTGTGTACAAAGAGATTATGTTATAATGTAAGAAATAAGAAACAATATCACAAGGGAGAAAATTGTGTCTTAAGAAAGGCACATATAAAGTGCAGAGAGTTCAGGGAAAGGAAAGATTAGAGGTGCAGAGAAGTATGGGGAGAAGGTGGTATTCAGAAAATGCTTTGAGGGAACATTTACGATTTGGGCCAGGAGTTCTCAATCTTGTTTGTACATTACAATCACCTGAGCAACTTTAAAAAATCCTAATGTTCAGGTTGCACCAAAGCAATTAAACCAGGATCTCTGGGAATAGAATCCAGGCATCAGTATTTTTTTAAAGGCTCCTAGACAATTCCGATGTGCAGTCAAGATTAAAGAGATACTGATTTAGTCATACAGCAATGGTTGATGGGTATTCCAGAGACAGGGAATGAAAGCAAAAGTCAGAAAAGTGCAGGATGTAAATAGGAAAAAGAGCAAAGAGTTTTTTGAGGATGGTGAGCAGAGACATAGAAGATAAACTTGGAAAGGTTGACTGGAGCCAGCTGATACAAGAGCTTCAGTGTCAGTTAAAAAGAGTTTGAATTTAATAGTTCTCCTTTATTTATTGCTTCCAGACAGTATGATATGCATTTTAAAATACCCTTTATCATTTAATCCTCACAAAGTAGGAGCTTGCCTAAAGACCTGTTACTAGGAAAAGGCAGAGCCAGTAGCCCATCCAGGTTGGTCAAAGCGCTTCTTCAGGAAGATTACCTTAGAAGCAAGTTACAGTGGACACAAGAGAACCTGTTAAAGGGCTATTGTAATATTTCAGTAAAAGGTAATAGGAGTGACTGATGGAAAGACTTATTAACATCTCTCCCATGTCTTTTCACTCATTCTGCATCCCTGTTTACACTCTACACTTACTCCAGCTACGCAAGTCACCACTTCCTGAACAGTTTCATGTTTTCATGTTTTCTCCAGTTATGCTTCAGCCTGAAATTATCCTCTTTCCTTTCTAATCGAAATGCTAACAATTCTTCATAGCTTAGTTCAGTCTCACTTCCTTCCTAAGAATTTCCTTGATACTATGCCCCCCTTAATCAAAATACCAAAATTAATCATTTATTTGCCAGCATAGCATATAACATGGTTTTTCCATTGCATGTAATAATTGGCTATTTTTATCTCTCTCAGCTCTTGACATCAAATGATGTTATTAATCTTTGCATTCTCCAGAGTCTAGCATAGTTCCTTACTAGGTCCGTTAATTTTTTTTTTGAGATGGAGTCTTGCTGTCACCCAGGCTGAGTGCAGTGGCGCGATCTCAGCTCACTGCAACCTCTGCCCCCCAGCGATTCTCCTGCCTCACCCTCCTGAGTAGCTGGGATCACAAGCGCCTGCCTGGCTAATTTCTGTATTTTTAGCAGGGACAGTGTTTCACCATTTTGGCCAGGCTGGTCTTGAACTCCTGGCCTCAAGTGATCCACCTGCCTCGGCCTCCCAAAGTGCTAGGATTACAGGCATGAGCCACTGTGCCCGGCCAAATGTTTGATAAATGGAAACCGAGTGACAGAAACAAACTAGATTGCAAGTAGAACTGACAGACCTTCACAACAAATTGGATGGAAAAAGCAAAGGGAAGAATCAGAGATGACAGAGGTTTTGAAGGTGTGGTACAGGAAGTATATAAAGGAAACTCACAAAAACAAGCAGGTTTGGGGAGGAAAGTAATGAGTTTCATTTTGGGCATAGTAAGTTTTAGATGCCCTTAGCATATTGGCATGGAGGTGATCATCGGTTAGTTGGTAATGTGACAGTTCAACTTGGGAGAGCAGAAATAATTGGATCCAGAGGAGTAGATGAGCAGTGGGGAAGACCTTGTCAGAAGCAGAGAGTATCAAGAAAGGGTGTAGTTTCAGGCCAGGTGCAGTGGCTCACGCCTGTAATCCCAGCGCTTTGGGAGGCTGAGGTGGGCGGATCACAAGGTCAGGAGATCGAGACCAGCCTGACCAACATGGTGAAACCCCGTCTCTAATAAAATTACAAAAATTAGCCAGGTGTGGTGGTGCGCCTGTAATCCCAGCTACTCAGGAGGCTGAGGGAGGACAATCGCTTGAACCTGGGAGGTGGAGGCTGCGGTGAGCTGAGGTTGCACCACTGCACTCCAGCCTGGGCAACAGAGCGAGATTGTCTCAAAAAAAAAAAAGAAAAGAAAAGAAAGGGTGTAGTCCACAGTATGATGTGCAAGCAAAGAGGTTAAAAAAGTCCTGAGAAAAGGATGCAGAATTTGATGAGTAGATCTCTATGACTTTTGAGAGAGGTTTCGGCATAGTAGGGTCATGATTCAAACTGTGAGGGGCCAAGGTGAGGAGGATAGGCAGACTCTGGGAAGGCTGTAAGGAAAGGAAGGATAGTGCTAGGGGAGTAGCACGATTAAGAGAAAGTATTTTAAATTTGGGGTAACCTGAGCATCCTTGTAAACCAAAAAAGGAGTCCATAGAAACGGACTGACAATATAAGAAAGGAGTGGGCAACTGATGGGGGGCAAGTTCCCAGAGGAAGCAAATAGAAGAGAAAGAGAAGGGATAATGGACAAGTGGAGGTCTTGACCATCCTGCATGGAGACACTGAGCATCACAGATAAAGGCTAAGGTTGGAGGACGAAGCTTTCTGCTCACTAGTCTGTCTCTGCTCCTTTCAGGTGGAAAACTCCAATTCATGGTTCAAGGGTGTGAGAACATGTGCCCATCTATGAACCTCTTCTCCCATGGAACGAGGATGCAAATTATATGCTGTCGAAATCAATCTTTCTGCAATAAGATCTAGAAGCCTGGGCCCTTGCTTGTTTTGACTCAGGCAGTAAAAAGCCTCCATCACTCTATTTGGCTCATTTTATATTTAGTTCCTTCCCCAGTCAACAACTGACCACATCTGCCTCTGCCTGAGCATTAGGATGCTCAAACATCCTATCTTTCTTCTTCTATTCATGCTTTTATCCATTCTTCTCTGTCCTGTCTTCCCTGCTCCAACTCTTTCTCTCAATATTCCTGATTTTTTTTTCAATAAATTTCACATGGTTAAAGCACACAGGCTCAAGACAGACCTTTTTTTCCCCCATTAATCTAGTTGCAGGGTCAACATGAGCTTCCTTCCACACCGACACTAAACTGGGTGCATTGTTTAAGCATTCCATATTTATGAAAGTAAAGGAGTCTCCAAGGGCAGAGACAACAAAGAGGAATGCAAAGTAGGTATTAATCTTTTACAGGGTGTAAACGTGCAGGTACTTCTGACACCCCCCCTTTTCCATCCCTACACACTCTTCCATTTATTATGGCATACAAAAACTCAACTCTTCTTTGGCTCTTGAGAGTTTCTAGTCTTCAGTAGTCCACTACTAACATAATGATAATAGTATAATGATTCCTTATTTGCTATATATTGCAGCAGTTCATAATGCTTAAATCATTTTTTTCACACACAATGTTACTGAATCATCTATACAGGATAGGAGGGCAAATGGAAATACTAAACGGTCCCTCATATAAGTGTTATGTTCTTCAAGATGTTTTCACATACACGGTCTCATCTGATCCTCAGGAAAGATCCCAGAGTGGTAGACAGGAAAGATGGCATCATCCTTTTTTGCAAATAAGGAAATGTGACACAGAGATGTTTTCTTTATTCATACTCCATGTTGTTCCAAATTTACCAAGGTTACAGAGCTACAGAGAGCTATAGGCAGATTCCACAACCAAATCTGCAAGATCTAAATCTGAGCTGTTTCCACCACAATGAAAGTAGCCAGAATGGTTCTAAGAACTCTTAGAACAGTACAACAAGAAGTCAATTTTACTGTATATAAAATTTAAAATTTCAACATATATACACATCATGACCCCTTCCCCAAAATATATTGCTAACAAGCTCTTCACTGGCAATAATGGTAAGCTGGAAGAAAATGGAACATCTTCAAACTTCTGAAGGAAAATTATTTTGAACTTATACTCATACCCCTAGATAAAATAGTATACAAAAATAAAATCCCCAAAGCAGGAACTAAAATCCTAAATGAATTTTCAACTTGGCCAGAAGGGAAATGAAAGCCTGCCAACATTGTCAACACTAATAACTTTTTTTTTTGAAGGGAGAAGATAAATAATAGTCTACTAGGTATAGGTGTTGAGGGAAAAATGTAAGTTCAAATATGTTGTTAAAATTTAAGGAGCCAGGCATGATGGCTCACACTTGTAATCCCAGTGCTTTGGGAAGCTGAGGCAGGAAAATAATTTGAGACCAGCTTGGGCAACACAGCAAGACCCCGTCTCTACAAAAAGTTAAAAAATTAACTGGGTATGATGGCTCATGTCAATAGGCCTACCTACTTGGGAGGCTGAGGTGGGATAATCACTTGAGCCCAGGAGTTCAAAGACAGCCTGGGCAACATAGTGAGACTCATCTTAAAAAAAAAATTTAAGGGTAGGAAAATTCTGGCTTCCATTTATAGTGGAATAATTTGAAGTAACCCTCTCACAGGTAACAATTATATGTTCTGGACAAAACATAAAAAAAAGATTTGAAAGCTCCTCCAAAGGAACTGAAGAGAAGTCACCACTAAAAAGAGAGATTTGTGAGCTTATGCTGGAGGGTACTTCTCAATCCATGCATCACAGGCTGGCAAAAAGCCACAGGCTCACTGGTTTGAAGTTTCAGAGAACATAGGTTGGGACTAGCAGAGCAGCTGCAAAATTAGGGGGTACTCCTGAAAATAAGACAGCCACAGAGAAGCCCCTAAATTTGAGGATAACCTCTGACCAAATTATTGTCTGGTCACTGACTCCAGGAGGCTCAAAAACAATAACATCTGAAAGCTGAAAAAATAGGGCAGTGATTTTAGCTTCTGTCCACATTGAAGGAGACAGACCTAATAGAACAAAAGTCAATACTCTTCAGAGGAACAGAAGAGTACAGAATCTCTACAATTCCTCATTTACTATGTCTACTATGTAATAAAAAATTATTACACATAGAAAAAGCAGGGAATTGTGACCCATAGCCAAGAAAAAAAAGCAGTCTATAGACCTTGACCCCCATATGAATCACAGATACTGGAACAAAGTGAACAAAGGCAATAAACAGCTATTAAAGATACATTCAAGAATGTAAAGGAAAATAGTGCCATACGAATAAACAGACAATGAATCTTACACAGATACTGAAACTATAAAAATGAACCAATGGAAATTATTGTATTTACTGTACTAAGAAGTGCAATAATTGAGAAAAATCCCTACATGGTTTAATAGCATATTGGAGACCATGTTTAGTCACCAAATTTGAAGACAGATCAATAGTAATTATCAAATCGGAAGAACACAGGAAAAGAATTAAAATAAAGCTTCAGTGAACTGTGGAACATAACAAATAATATGTAAGATATTGCAGTTGAGAATAGGAAAGAGATGAGACAGAAAAAGACATTTAAATAAATAATAACTAAATTTTGCCAAATTGGGTGAAAAACATAAACTTATAAAATCTAGGAAGCTCAATAAACTCAAGGGAGGATAAATACAAAGAAATATGCCTAGGCATGGTCGGGCACAGTGGCTCATGCCTGTAATCCCAGCACTTTGGGAGGCCGAGGCGGGTGGATCACGAGGTCAGCAGTTCAAGACTAGCCTGGCCAACATGGTGAAATCCCGTCTCTACTAAAAAAATACAAAAATTAGCCAGGCGTGGTGGTGGGCGCCTGTAATCCCAGCTATTTGGAAGGCTGAGGCAGGAGAATCACTTAAACCCGGGAGGCGGAGGTTGCAGTGAGCCGAGATCGCACCACTGTACTCCAGCCTGGGCGACAGAGCGAGACTTCATCACAAAAAAAAAAAAAAAAAAAGGAAAAAAGAAAAGAAAAAGAAATATACCTAGGCACATAATAAGCAAATTACTGAAATTCAAAGAGAAAAATTCAAAACTGGTCTAAAGAAAAGATACATTACATATAGTGGAACACTGATACAAATGTTGACTGATTTCTCATCAGAAACAATGGAGAGCAGAAAACAAGAGGAGATACTTCGAAGTAATGAAGGGAAAATACTGTCAGCAGAATGTTATCTCCAAGATAATAACCCTTCAAAAGCGAAGGTAACACATTTCCATATAAACCAAAGCTAAGAGAATTCACAACCAGTAGATGCACACAAGCTAAAAGAACTTCAGGCTAAAGAGAAACAATACCACGTGGAAACCCTGACCTACAGGGAGAAATGAACAGTTCCAGATATAGTAAAGATGTGGGTAAATTTAAGACATACATACTATTTTTCTGAATTTTAAAAGCCATGCCTGCACAGACTTTTTTTTAATGTAAGTAGATATATATGACAATAATAGCACAAAGGATGAGGAGATAAGTGGACCTATACTTTTGAAAGGTTCTTATTTTTAAGTGAAGTAGTACAATATTAACTTTAAACTGTGATAAGATATGATAATCCTTGGAAAAAAGAATTTAAAAAATACAGAAAGGTACAGTTAAAAAGCTAATAAATAAAATGAAGGCTGGGGACGGTGGCTTATACCTGTAATCTCAGAACTTTAGGAGGCTGACATGGGAGGATTGCTTAAGCCCTGAAGTTCAAGACCAGCCTGGGCAACACAGCAAGACCCCCTCTCTAAAAACTATTTTTTAAAAAAGTATCTGGTCATGGTGACATGCGCCTATAGTCCCAGTTACCCAGAGACTAAGGCAGGAGAATTCCTTGAGCCCAGGGATTTGAGGCTGCAGTGAGCTATGATTGTGCTACTGCACTATACCCTGGACAACAGACAAGGTCTGTTTTTGAGACAACAGATCTTGTCTCAAAAATAAATAAATAATTAATTAAAAATGAGAAATTAAAATGAAATTTTAAAAAACCCCCAACAATTAGGTGGGTCAAATAAAAATGTTAAACAAAAAAAATGGCAAAAATCCAAATATCAACAATTGAGTATACATCATCACTACAGTGGTCTTGTGAAAATGCATAACTTGAACCCAATAATGTGAGAACATGAGATAAAACAAAATTTAGGGAAATTATACAAAATAGCTGGTCTGTATTTTTCTAAAGTATCAAGGTCAAGAAATATAAACATCGAGGAACTATTCCAAATGAAAGGAGACTAAGGGGACATGAAAACCATGCATGATCTGGGTTTGAACACAGGCAAGGGGAAAAACTTTTTTTTACAAAAGACATTGTTAGGACTGATAAAATTTGAATGCGGACCTTGAACTAGACAATAGTGTTATATCAATGTTAAATACCCTCATTTCTGTTAACTAAACCAGGTTGTCTGTGAGAAGGTCTTTATTCTAAGGAAATACATACTGAATTAATTAGAGGAAAAATACTAGCAACTGAGACTTAATGATGGGATACATTATTTAGACTAATCCTTACAATGAACATAGTAACTAAAACTTACTGGAAACTCTTTTAAAAATCAGCCAGGTGTGGTGGCTCATGCCTGTAATCCCAGCACTTTTTGGGAGGCTGATGTGGGTGGATCATTTGAGGTCAGGAGATCGAGACCAGCCTGGCCAACATGGTGAAACCCCATCTCTACCAAAAATACAAAAATTAGCCGGGCGTGGTGGCATGCACCTGTAATTCCAGCTACTTGGGAGGCTGAGACACAAGAATTGCTTGAACCCAGGAGGCAGAGGTTGCAGTGAACTGAGATCGTGCCACTGCCCTCCAGCCTGGGTGACAGAGCAAGACTCTGTCTCAAAAACAAAAAACTTAGTACTGGAAGTCCTAGCCAGAGCAATGAGGCAAGAAAAAGAAATGAAAGAGATTCAAATAGGAAAAGTCAAACTCTCTCTCTTTACTGATGATATGAGTCCATACATGAAAAACCCTAAAGAATCTGACACAAGGCTCCTGGAATTGACAAAATCAATGTACGACAATCACTAGCATTTTTATAAACCAATAGTGTTCCAGCTGAGAACCAATTCAAGAGCACAATCTCATTTACAATAGAGAGGAATCATTTACAAGGAATAATATGCAGCCATGAAAAAGAATGAAATAATGACCTTTGCAGCAACATGGATAGAGCAGGAGGCCTTTATACTAAGTGACCTAATGCGAGAAGAGAAAACCAAATACAACATGTTCTCATTTATAAGTGGAAGCTAAACATGGAGTATACATGAATGTAAAGATGAGAACAATAGACAGTGGGGATCAATAGCAGGGAGAGAGAGAGATGGGGGAATGGACTGAAGAACCATCTGTTGGGTACTATGCTTACTGCCTTGGTAACAGGATCACTGGGACCCCAAGCCTCAGCATCGTGAAATTATCCCATGTAATAAACCGGCATGTGTACCCTTTAATCTATAACAAAGGTAAATTTTTCTTTAAAAAAAAAAACACCGAAAAACACAAAACAACAACAACAACAACAAAAGTTGTCTGAATGGATTGAAAAAAAAAATCAAGATTCAACTATATCCTGCCCACAAGAAACTCACTTTACGAAGATACATATAAACTGAAAGTGAAGGGTTGGAAAAATATATGCCAAGTAAACAGAAAGCAAAAAAGACCAGGATTACCTGTATTTATATCAAATAGACTTTAAGCAAAAACTGTAAAAGGAAATAAAGAACATCCTTATAGATTGTTAAAGAAGTCAATATAGCGAGAGAAATAAAAATAGTAAATATACATGTACCCAGCACCATAGCACCTAAATATATAAAGCAAATATTACTAGATCTAAAGGAAGAGACCGACTGCAATACAGTAATATTAGGGGTCTTCAACAACCCACTTTGGCAGTGAACGGATCATCCAGATCATCAAAGAAACATCAGAGGTAAACTATACTTTAGACCAAACAGATCTAACAGACATTTATAGAACATTTCATCCAACTACTGCAGAATACATGTTCTTGTCATCACATATGGAACACTTTTCAAGTCAGACCATATGAGAGGCCACAAAACAAGTCTCAAGAAATTCAAAAAAGTCAAAATCATATCAAGTATATTGCCCAACCACACTGGAATAAAACTAGAAATCAATAATAAGAGGAACTTTGGAAGTTGTACAAATACATGAAAATTAAACAATGTGCTTCTGAAAGACCAATAAGTAAAAAGAAAAAAAAAATTAGAAGTAAAATTAAAAATTTCTTAAAACAAATGAAAATGGAAACATGACATACATCAAAATCTATGGGATCCAGCAAAAATAGTGCTAAAAAGGAAATCTGTAGCAATAAATGCTTACATAAAAAAACAGAAAAAAAATAAACAACCTAAAAATGCACCTCAAGGAACTAAAACAAAGAACCAAATTTTTTTAAAAAAATCAAATCCAAAGTTAATAGAAGCAAAGAAATAAAGATCAATGTAGAAATAAATAAATTTAGACAAAAGTGCATAAGATAAATGAAACAAAAAGTTGTTTTTTGGAAAAGATCAACAAGATTCAAGAAATCTTTACCTAGACTACAAAAAAAAAAAAAAAAAAAAAAAAAGGGGAATGAAGACCCAAATAAATAAAATCAGAGATGAAAAAGGAAAAATGACAACTGGTACCACAGAAACACAAAAGATCATTAGAGACTATCATGAACACTATATGCCAAAAAATTGGAAAAGCTAGAAGACATGGATAAATTCCTGGATACAAACAACCTATCAAGATTGAACCATAAAGAAATAGAAAACCTGAACATATCAATAATGAGTAGCAAGATCAAAGCAGTAATAAAAAGTCTTCCATCAAAGAAAAGCTCAGGACCTGATGATTCACTGTTGAATTCTATCAAACGTTTAAAGAACAACTAATATCAATTCTACCCAAACTACTCAAAAAAGTGAAGAGGAGGGAATCCTATCAAACTGATTTTACCAGGCCAGCATTACCATAATACCAAAATCAGGCAAAGATGTAACATAAAAAGAAAATTCCAGACCAATATCCCTGATAAATATAGATGCAAAAACCGTCAACAAAATACTACAAAACAGAATCCAAAAAACACATTAAAAAGATCTTCCCCATGATCAGGTAGAATTCATCCTAGGGATGTAAGGGTAGTTCAACATATGCAAATCAATAAACATGACATATCAACATCAATAGAATCAAGGACAGAAACCAAAAAAAAAAAAAAAACAAAGCTGGAGACATCATACCACCTGACTTCAAATTATACTACAAAGCTATAGTAACCAAAACAGACCGATACTGGAATACAGATACACACGTAGACCAATGAAACAGAATAGAGAACCCAGAAATAAATCTACATTTTTATAGCCAACTCATTTTCAACAAAGATGCCAAGAACCTACACTGGGGACAGTCTCTTCAATAAATGATTCTAGAAAAACTGGATATCCATAGGCAAAAGAATGAAACTAGAGCCGTATCTTTCACCATACACACACACAAAAATCAACTGAAAATGAATTAAAGTTCTAAATGTAGGACCTGCAACTATAAAACTACTAGAAGAAAACATTTGGAAAACACTAAGAGGACACACGGGTCTGGGCAAAGGTTTTTCTGTGGAAGACATCACAAGTACAGGAAACAAAAGCAAAAACAGACATAGTATTACATCAAGTTAAAACATTTCTGCACAGCAAAAAAAAATCGGAATGAAGAGACAACCTACAGAATGGGAGAAAATATTTGCAAAGTATCCATCTGACAAGGGATTAATAACCAGAATTCATATGAAACTCAGACAGCTCAATAGCAAATAAAACAAAAGAAATCTGATTTTAAAATGGGCAAAAGAACTGAACAGACATTTCTCAAAAGACATACAAATGGCCAATAGGTATATGAAAAAATGTTCGGCCAGGCATGGTGGCTCACACCTGTAATCCCAGTACTTGGGGAGGCTGAGATGGGTGGATCACTTGAGGTCAGGAGTTCGAGACCAGCCTGGTCAACGTGGTAAAACCCTGTCTCTACTAAAAATACAAAAAATTAGCCAGGCGTAGTGGCGGGTGCCTGTAATCCCAGCTACTTGGGAGGCTGAGGTAGGAGAATTGCTTGAACCCAGGAGGTGGAGGTTGCAGTGAGCTGAGATCGCACCATTGTACTCTAGCCTGGGCGACAGAGTGAGACTCTGTCTCCAAAAAAAAAAAAAAAAAATAGTTCAACATGGCTAATCAGCAGGGAAATGCATATTACCACATTGAGATACCACATTGAGATATCTCTCCTGTTAAAATGGCTATTATCCTGGAGGCATCATACTACCTCACTTCAAACTATACTGCAAGGCTACAGTAACCAAAACAGCATAGCACTAAGTACAAAAGCAGACACATAGACTTGTGGAACAGAATAGAGAGCACAGAAGTAATGCTGCACACCTACAACCATCTGATCTTCGACCAAGTTGACAAAAACAAGCAAGGGGAAAAGCACTCAAATGGAAAGTGGATTCAAACAAGCAATGGAAAAAGGACTCAATAAATGATGCTGTGATAACTGACTACCCATATGCAGAAGACTGAAACTGGACTCCTTTCCTGTACCACAAACAAAAATAAAGTCAAGATGGATTAAAGACTTAAATGTAAAACTAAAACTATAAAAACCCTGGAAGATAACCCAGGAAACACCATTTTGACATAGGCCCTGGAAAAGATTTTATGATGAAGACATCAAAAGCAACTGCAACAAAAACAAAAATTAACAAATGATATCTAATTAAACTAAAGAGCTTCTGCATGGCAAAAGAAACTATCAACAGAGTAAAGAGACAATCTATGGAAAGGAAGAAAATATTTGCAAACCACATAATTCAACGAAGGTCTAATATCCAGAATCTACAAGGAACTTAAAAGGAAAAATACATAAAAATAAACAAATAAAAATAAAAACTGCTCTCTAATATTAAATTTTAAAAAGCAATTCAGTGGAGGAAGGATAGCCTTTTCAACAAATGGTGGAACAACTTAAGATTCAGAGGCAAAAAAATGAAATTCAACCTAAGGTTCACACCTATACGAAAATTAATTTGAAATGCTTCAGTCTTAAACTGTCAAAATTTAAGAAAAAACACTGGAAAAAATCTTCAGAATCTAGGCTTATTCTAGGATAGACAACAGAAACATGATCCATATAAGAAAAAATTGGTAAACTGGATTTCATTGAAATTAAAAACTTCTGCCCTATAAAGCACTCTGTTAACAGGATGAAAAGATAAGCAACAGAATGGGAGACATATTTGTTTTTTTTTTTTCACAAATGACATATTTGACAAAGGACTAGTATCTCGACTACATAAGTAGCTTTAAAAACTCAATGTAAACAAATCTAATTGGAACACGAACAAAAGACATGAAGAGATATTTCACCAAAGATACATAGATGACAAATGAGTACATGAAAAGATGTTCAACATCATTACCCACTAGGGAAATGCAAATTCAACTCACAATGAGATATTACTACATACCTATCAGAATGGCTAAAACAAAAAATAGTGACAACATTGATGAGGATGTGAAGAAACTGCATTACTCATATATTGGTGGTGAGAATATAAAATGGTACAGCCATTCTGGAAATGAGTGGCAGTTTTCTCGAAAACTAAACATATGACTACCATATAATTGAGTAGTGCCACTCCAGTACATTTATCCCAGAGAAATAAAGACTATATTCACACAAAAGCCTGTAGATATTTATAGCAGCTTTAGTCACAATAGCAAAAGAGTAGATATAACAAAGATGTCCTTCAACAGGTGAATGGTTAAACAATACCGTGGATACCACATAGCAATAAAAAGGAATGAACTTGATACAGGCTAACAACCTGGATGAATCTCCAGAGAATTATGTTGAGTGAAAAAAGCCAGTTCCAAAAGGTACAATACTATGTGATTTTATTTATGTAACCGCTGTAGTCTGAATGCTCGTATTCCCCTCCAGACAAATTAATATACTGAAACCCAATTCCCAATGTGATAGTATTGGGAAATGGGGACTTTGGGAAGTGATTAGGTTATGGGGCAGGACCTTCCTGAATGGAATTAGTGCCCTTAAAAAAGAGGCCCTAAAGAGCTGCTTTGCCCCTTCCACTATGTGGGGACACAGTAAAAAGGTGACATCTATGGGGAAGAGGCCCTCACCAGACACTGAATCTGCTGGCACCTTGAACTCGGACTTCCCAGACTCCAGAATTGTTAGAAATAGATGTTTGTTGTTTATAAGCCACACAGTTTACAGTGTTTTTGTTCTAGAAGCCTAAACAGGCTAAGATACCATTCTTATAATGACAAAATTACAGGAACAGAGAAAAGATTAATAGTTGCCAGAAGTGGGAGGAAAGTGAATGTTGCTATAAAAGGGTATCATGAGGAATTCTGGTGCTGATGGAAATGTCCTATCTTGACCTTATCAATGCCAATATCCTCGTTATATTATTTTATTGGATACCAGTGGGGAAAACTGAGTGAAAGGTGCACAGGATGTCTCAGTATTAACTCTTACAACTACATGCAAATCTACTATCTCTTCAAAGATATGTATGTACATATATTCACATAGAAACACATATATATTATCAAAATAGACAATTGTATATAAATTATAAAAGTGTAAAGATCTTTGATTGTCAGAAAGAGGACAAGAGACTGACTTCAGACTATAACAAGTATGCATATTGTAATAGCTAGAGTAACCCTCAAAAAAAAAAAGCATATAGATTCCAAATTAGGAGAGGAGGATAAATACAGTGATTTTTAAAAAATACTAAGCAAGGTTGGGCGCGGTGGCTCACGCCTGTAATGTCAGTACTTTAGGAGGCCAAGGCGGGCAGATAACTTGAGGCCAAGAGTTTGAGACCAGCCTGGACAACACGATGAAACCCTGTCTCTACTAAAAATACAAAAATTAGCCAGACATGATGGCACACGCCTATAATCCCAGCTACTGGGGAGGCTGAGGCACAAGAATCACTTGCACCCAGGAGGCAGAGGTGGCAGTGAGCTGAGATGGTACCACTGCACTCTAGCCTGGGTGACAGAGTGAGACCCTGTCTCAAAAATAAAATACTAAGCAAGAAAAAAAATTTTTTAAGGCAAAAAAAAAATGGTAGAAAAGAATGCAAATCCAGTGGAACCAAAGTAAGATGATAGAAATAAATCCAAATATATCAGTAATTACAGTGAAAGCAAATGGAATCAATGGTCCATTGAAAAACAAATACTGTCAGATTGGATTTTTAAGATAATTAAAAGAGGGACATTTTATATGATTTAGAAAAGTAAAAGTAAAAAGATAAAAAGTTATGCCAGGCCAGGCGCAGTGGCTCACGCTTGTAATCCCAGCACTTGGGGAGGACAAGGTGGGCTGATCACCTGAGGTCAGGAGTTTGAGACCAGCCTGACCAACATGGAGAAACCCCATCTCTACTAAAAATACAAAAATTAGCCAGGCGTAGTGGCGCATGCCTGTAATCCCAGCTACTCGGGAGGCTGAGGCAGGAGAATCGCTTGAACCCAGGAGGCGGAGGTTGCAGTGAGCCAAGATCGCGCCATTTCACTCCAGCCTGGGCAACAAGAGTGAAACTCCGTCTCAAAAAAGTTATGCCATGCAAACTTTTTCTTTTTTTTTTTTGTTAATAAATCCTTTATGAAAATCATATAAATATTAGCCAAAAGAAAGCAAGTGGGGCTAGATTAATATCAGATAAAGAATATTTAAGGCAAAAGTATTATATCTATAAAGAAGTTACTTCTAAATAAATAAATGGTTTAATTCACTAAGAAGATATGACAAGTATGTATCAGTATATAACCTAAGGAAATAGTCCCAAAATGTATAAAGCAAAATTAACAGAACCTAGCCAGGCATGGTGGCATATACCTGTAGTCCCAGCTAGTTGGGAGACTGAGGCAGGAAGATCGCTTGAGCCTAGGAGCTTGAGTGTAGCCTAGGCAATATAATGAGACCCTGTCTCTTAAAAAAAGAAAAAAATGAGAACCACAAGTAAAAATACACAAATCCAAATCATAGTAAATTTTAACATGCTTCTCTAGTAATTCACTGTATAAGCAGTAAAGATATGTAAGATCTGAATATGATTAACTCAGTTAATTACATGGAGATATACAGAAGCCTGTACCCAACAATTGTAAAAACTATCACTATCAAAAAATTCTACTTCTAGGTACATACCCAAGAAAACTGAAAATGTGTGGACACACACCAAGCTGTAAAAGAATGTGCACAGCAGCCTTATTCATAATAACCAAGAAGTAAAAAGAACTAAAATGTCCACATAATGAACAGAATGTACAATACACACACACACGCACACGAAAATTATTCAGCCATAAGGAGTCCTGATACATGCTACAACATGGAGAATCTTGAAACCATTAAGTGAAAGAAGCCACACATGTATTATCCAATTCTATTTATATGAAATGTCTGGAATAAGCAAATCCACAGAGACAAAATGTAGGTTAGTATTTTCCAGAGACTGGAGGAAGAAAAAGTGGGGAGTGACTGCTAATGAGCAGGGAGGTTCTTTCTGAAAGGATGAAATTGTTTTAGAATTTGAGAGTGGTGATGGTTGCATAACTTTATGAACATACTAAAAACCACAGAAGTGCACTTTAAAGGGAGTACAACACTTTAAAAAGTGAATTTTAAGCTATGTGAATATCTCAATAAAAACATTTTTTAAATAAAAACAATTCCCAAAGGCCTGGAAATTCAGAAACATAATTCAAAATAATTTATGGATCAAAAAATAAATCATATAAAGATCTGAGAACTACAATGTAAAAATATAGAAAAAAGTCATAACAATATTAGAAAAAAATTTGAGCTGGATAACAAAAATAGTACACATAAAAATTTGTGGCATGAAGAAAAATGGTACTTAGGAAATTTATAAAATGCCTATATGCAACATATAATTGACACAGGACTAGTATCTCGAATGTATTTATAGGATATGCAGAAAATAGAAGAAAGATCTGAAACTATCATAGCAATCAAACCCACAAATCTAGACTTAAGAAAATCATAGAGTAAACCAGCTGGATTCTTCAACCAATAAACTGCAAGAGAAAAAAAAGGGAATAAAGAGGGAACTTACAGACTAAAAGCAACTTAAAAGACATCAATCGATTATTATGTTTAAACTTTATTTGGATCTGATTCAATACAAAGTATAAAAAATAATTAAAACATTTGAGTACTTGATTGGATATCAATGAAGACTAGTGAAAAAAAATAATGATCTTTTCAATAACCAGTGCTAAACTGGATAGCCATATGAAGGAAAAAAATGAAACCTAATCTCTACCTCACATTCTACACAAAAGCCAATTTCAGATGAATTATAGACCTAAATCAGCCAAAAAACAGGCCAGGCAGACATGGTGGCTCACACCTGTAATCCCAGCACTCTGGGAGGCCAAGGCAGGATGATCACTTGAGCCCAGGCATTCGAAACCAGCCTCGGCAACACAGTGAAATCTGGTCTCTTCAAAAAATAAAAAATTTGCTGGGCATGGTGGTGCATGGCTATAGTCCCAGCTCAGAAGGCTGAGGTGGAAGGATCACTTGGGCCAGGGAGGCTGAGGCTGCAGTGAGCTGTGATTGTGCCACTGCACTCCAGCTTTGGAGACACAACAAGACTCTTAAAAAAAAAAAAAAAAAAAAAAAAAAGCAAAAGCCATGAAGCTTTTAAGAAGATTACATGATTACATACAAGAAAATCTTCATGATCTTGGAGTAATGAATGACTCCTTTAATACAAAATATAAAACAATAGACAGAGGAAAGGTCTAAATAGGACATTAAAATTACAAATGTTCATGAAGAATGGAACAATAAGCCGCAGAATGGGAGAGTATATATATTCAATACATGTAAATTGACAAAGGACTAGTATGCTGAACATATGAAGAACTGAAATTATTAAGAAAAAGAAAAGGCAATTAGAAAAATAAGCAAAAGACTAGAACAGGCATGTCATAAAATGCTCTACCTCATTTAAACTTAGGAACAAGCAAATTAACACCACACATATATCATTACACAGCAACAACTTGTTAAAACAGACTAGACCAGACTGGGCAACATGGTGAGACCCTGTCTCTACAAAAAATACAAAAGTTAGCCAGGTGTGGTGGCATGTGCCTGTGGTCCCAGTTACTTGGGAGGCTGAGGCAGGAGGATTGCTTGAGCCTGCAAGGCTAAGGCTGCAGTGAGTCATGTTTGTACCACTGCTCTCCAGCCTGGGCAGCAAAGTGAGGCCCTGTCTCAAAGGAAAAAAAAACATTAACAAAAACAAAAACAACAACTTATACTGACCACACCAACTGTAGGTGAAAATTTGGAATACTAGAAATACATTCTGTTGCTATGAACATTCTTATGCTTTAGATCATTCCAAACTGTTTTTCCAGTAACTGTACACTTTTCTCCTATGGAAACACTAATCTGTACAATCACTTTAGAAAACAGTTTGTCATTATTCTATCCTAATATCCAGCTATTCCTCTTCTGGATATATACCTTAGACTCTAGGACCTAGCAAAACAAATGAACATGTACAAGAATGTCCTTAGAAGAATTTTATAATAGCATCGAACTGTACACAATCCAAATATCAATTAGCAGCAGAATAGTTAGTGGGATGTTCATAAATACATCCTATATAAAAATTAAAATTAATGAATTCAATATGCACAAAAGCATGGCTATAAAAAATCAACACATGAAAAATACAGCAAAATGTATATAAAGTTCGTTAATAAAAACCATATTAATTAAAAATACATAAACTAAATGATATTATTTGCATAAATAGCTGAGAACACTCTAAAACACACGAAGGAAAAGATTATCACCAAAGTCTATTTTGTGATTATTTCTGGGGGAAAGAAGTGGGTTGTGATTGGGAGACTGCATATAGGAAGTTCTTAAGGGTCTGTAAATGATCTTTCTACAATTGAGTTGTGGTTAAGTGAATGTTAACTTTACAACTGCACATTGAAGTGTACATATTTTATGTATTTTTATATAATTATGCTTATCTCAACAACCACACACACTGTACACATTAAACACACACA